>NC_000004.12:138618350-138921381 GCF_000001405.40 Homo sapiens | reverse complement strand
TATGTCCTCTTCCTAGAGGGTGAGGACTCTTTTTCATATTTGAGTAGCTAGAACATAGAAGAGTTCAATAAATATTTGTTGAATAAAGGCAGATGGAATTTAGGAAGCATAAAAATGGGGTGACCCTTTCCTTTTTTTTTTTTTTTTTTTGAGACAAGGACTCACTCTGTTACCCAGGCTGGAGTGTAGTGGCTCAATCTTGGCTCACTGCAGCCTCAACTTCCCCGGGTTCAACCCATCCTCCTGCCTCAGTTCCCCAAGTAGCTGGGACTATAGGTGTGAGCCACCACACCTGGCTAATTTTTGTATTTTTTTTTTTTTTATAGAGATGGGGTTTCACCATGTTTCCCAGGCTGTTCTTGAACTCCTGGGCTCAAGCAATCCACTCACCTTGGCCTTCCAAAGTGCTGGGATTACAAGCATGAACCACCACACCTGGCCTGACCCTGTTTTGAAGTATGGTGCTTAGGATGGAAAGAAGGGAATGAAAATAGAAAGCTAAGGGTCCCATACATGTATTGCATGTTTACTCTACCTCTAACTGTGCTAAGTACTTTGTGTACATGACACAGAAGAACTCATATTTAATTTCATGAAGGAAGAAGCATCAGTTTAATTTTACAAACATGGAAACCAAAGCTTAGTGAGGTTGTGCCATGTTCAGTCACATGCCTGGCAAAACCATAGCTGTCACTCAGGTCAGAAAATCAGATTCACTTCAAATTTAGTGCCAGTTGTCATCAATATGTACTGTATCTTACAGACACGCTTTCTCAATGCTTGAGTTTGGGCAAACCTTGCTGGCAGGGTTCCTCCCCACCCCCTAGCCTGTGTCTCGCCTGTGTCTTCTGGATGCTAAGCCTGTGAATATTAATATTGTGACAGAGAATATCAAAGTGTGAGTTTTCCTTGAAAGTCATATATAGTTTGGGGAAAGGAATAATTTGATGACATTTCTGATTTTATTTACTGTTAGGGTTTTTCTTTTTTATTTTGGCAACATCTGGCAATAGGTCTCTGCATTTAAACACAAATCCCTAATGAGTTATTTGGAAATGAAATGATTGTCTTATTTTAGGAGATAGAGAGAGAGAGAGGGAATGGTGAAAGCTTTCTTGTGCTTATGTCTAGTATCAGTATCAATCAAATATTTTTAAAAATTTTGGGTTTTAGAATAAAATCTCACTTTCAATTTTGGGAATCTCTGTTTCTTCCTTTGCCTTGGGCCTTATTGATTTATTTTTGGGTTACTGCACATTTTCTTGCAATTCTGGATGGTGGAAATGTTTGCCCTTTAAAAGCAGGGGGCACTCTGGGTACAGACTGATGCTTCCTTCAAATCTGGAGTGAGAGAATTTTCTTCCTGGCAAGGGCCCCCTCCCACCTGCTCTGCTGTGGACATTGAATCCCCTCAGGGTGAAGGGTGGAGAATTAGCACGAATACTTAAAGCGGGTCTTGCTTACTCCGAAAGGAGTGAGGGACGGTTCTTCCCGTGCCTCTTTCAGTTTGGAAGGACATCCTAGGATGGATGTCATCAGTTCCTTGATGTAAGGAAGAGAGACTAATAAGAGGCATAAAAACTTCTTTTCCCTTATTTCACTTGACTCTTTGCGTCTGTCACAGATCCTGCTGGACTGACAGAACATTACACAAATAACCCTCCTTCTTAAGTAGCGACGGGGCGGCGGTAGGCATTTTTTCATTTAGAGTCTATCAACTGAGAATTGATAAAGTCATCTCAGAACAACTGTAGTTTGACCCTGACCTGACAAAAGAGATCGAAAATGTCTCGTGTGGAGAGAAGCAAGGGGGCTGGGAACATCATTGCCTCAGAAAGAAGCTTCAAGTCGGCTAAGGGCTGACACCCAAGCACCCCGCGAATGTGTTTAATAACTGGAAAGCAGATAGTGAAAGAGCAGTCAATAAACAATTGTGGTTTAATAAATTATTCATTTTAACAATACGTCCAGTGTTTGCCCAGAGATGGGAGAACGGCTGTAGGTTTTTTCCCCATCTCCTCGTCTGGTCTGAACCTGCCTGGATGCTGAGTTGTTCGCCATTCTGGACGGCAGAGGGCACTCGTGTCACACCTGAAAAGGGGATTGGCTGAGCCTTCCCAGCGCCTATCCGTGCTTATGAAGGAAAGATAGCAGAGATAGGAAGACGTCGAGAAGACGGAGAGAGGAAGATAGAAAACGAGTGGATAGCCCCGGAAATGAAAAATATATATTTCTCACAGGCAGATCAAATTCAACCCTGCACTGAAGCAAGGCATAAAGAAATAAATAGAAAACAGTCGCTCTATATTTCTTGGTTAAAATAATTTATTTATTTGAAGATCGTAGGATGACAGATTTGGAACAGTCGGGACAAAGGCAAGGAGATATTCAAAAAAATTTAACAGATTTATTTTCATCTTGAAAACCGAACTCTGATTTTCAGGAAATACTCTTAGGTATCGAGCGGTTCTCTTGGGCTTCACTGCCAGGGATAAATCAAAAATGCCTTACAGCTACTGAGGGCCCCTGGGCCGCTTGGAACAAAATCCCACCACACTTTAAAGCATGCCCTTCATGGAGATGAATCCCTAACATCAGTCAAACTCTGTCTTCACTTCTGTTCTCATGGCTCTGTGCTACGGCCTGATTTTATTTATGATACTGTGTCACATGAGGCGAGGCTCCTATTGTGGGTTGAGAAGGGCCATTGTACTCCCTGGGATATTTACTGTATACCTAGGGCGCTGAGGTATAATCTATCCTCTGCAGTAATGCAGATTCTAAAACGAATGGTATTTATTTATAATAACACGCGAGGCAGCCCACAGGGAAGTGTCATCTTGTTTGTAATCAATCCCAGTGTGAGGCTGTTGTTGCCGCACAATCAGCCTTTGCATTAAGTGACAAACTGGCTTCGTCTTCTTATTCTGACTGTCATTTTTCTTCGATGGGGATACATCATCTCTGTTACAAGGCCTTGGAGCTGAGTACCACACACAGACACACACAAATGCATGCCCCATGATCGCACTCAGGAAAAAACCCACGGTCTCCCATATGGCTGTAAACAAACTCTAGTTTCTACCAGTCCTGATGGTGAGCACGAATATGTTGAAAGAAGCAGGCACAGCAGAAGAGTTCGTTGTGCTCGTGGTCATGTAAATGTTGTATCTGGTGAAGGTGGGTCATTGTTACAGACTGAATTGCATCCCTTCAAAATTCATAGGCTGAAGCCCTAGTAACCGTTTTTGTAGACAGGGTCTTTTAGGAGGTAATTAAGTCTAAATGAAGTCATAAGGGGGAGCCCTATTTCAATACTACTAGTATTCTGATAAGAAGAAGAATAGATACTAGGGAGGTGGGTGCAGAGTTTTCTGAGTGAGCACACAGCAAGATGGCGACCATCTGCAAGCCAAGAAGAGAGGCCTCAGGAGAAACCCAACCTCTGGCACGTTGATCATGGACTTCCAGCCTCCAGATCTGTGAGAAAATAAGATTTCTGTTGTGAAAGCCACCCAGTCTGTGGAATTTTGTTATGGCAGCCTGAGCAGACTAACGAAGAAATTGGTACCGGGAAATGGGGATGCTGCTGTAACAAATATGTAAAAATGTGGAAGTGGCTCTGAAACTGGGTAATAGGTAGACCAAGCTTGTCCAACCCACAGCCCATGGGCCACATGAGGCCCAGGATGGCTTTGAATGTGGCCCAACCCAAATGTGTAAACTTTCTTAAAACAATATGAGATTTTTTTGCCTTTTTAAATTTTTTATTTATTTTTATTTTTATTTTTTAGCTCATTAGCTATGGTTAGTGTTAGTTTATTTTATGTGTGGCCTAAGATAATTCTTCTTCCAATGTGGCCCAGGAAAGCCAAAAGATTGGACACCCCTGATGAGGTCTATGCTAGAAAAAGCTGACATTGCTGTGAATCTCAATTGTTAAAAGTAATTCTGGTGAGAGCTTAGAAAGAAAAGAGGAGAGCTGTTAGAGAAAGCTTCCATCTTCTTAGAGAATACGTGAATAATCATGAACAGGATGTTGGTAGAACTATGGACGGTTAAGGCCATTCTGGTGAGGTCTCAGATAGAAATGAGGAATATGTTAGTGGAAACTGGAAGAAAGGCAGTCCTGGCTATAAAGTGATAAAGAAATTGGATGGATTGTGTTTGTGTTACGGTGTTTTGTGGAAGGTAGAGCTTGTAAGCGATGAAATTAGATATTTAATTGACTTCTAAGCAAAGCATTAAAAAGTGGCTTGATTCCTCTAAAGTGCTTATAGTAAAATATGAGAAGAGAGAAATGAGTTGAAGAAAGAATTGTTAAGCAAAAAGGAACAAAAACCTAAAAATTTGGGAAATCCTTAGCCTGTCCATATCGCAAAAAATGAGGAAGTGTGCTCAGGAGAGAACACTAAGGATATGGTTGACTAGCCATTTGATATGGAGGCTAGTGTGGGGGTGAACCACAACCTATTTAGCCAGCCTAGCAAAAACACTGCCAGTTTGAAGGGATGGAGACAGGATGAAATGAAGAAAGGCTGCTGGACTTCTTAGGTCCTACAGGAGTGAACCATACAGCAATTTGGCTGCAAAACCATGCTCTTCTTCTAGATGAGGGAATAATAACACTAAAGGTGATTTGGAGATCATCAAGCCTGCCTCTTTGGTTTCAAATTATGGGTGGGGAACCCATTACCTTGGTTTCAACAGGCCGGATGGTGGCTGCCTGGAGCTGTAGGGATGGGGTCACCCAGAGCGCCCATCTTGTGGGAGCCTCTTTTTCTCCCTTGCTAGCTTTGAAGAAGCAAGAGGCCATGTTGGGGAACCCCCTGCAGCAAGGAACTGCAGATGGCCAGTGGCAGCCGAGGGCTACTTCTGGCCAATATTCAGCAAAATACTAAAGCCCCCACAGTCCTACAACCACAAAGAGCTGCATTTGCCAACAATCAGAGTTGAGAGCAGATCCTTCTTCAGTTGAGTCTCAGATGAGAGCGAAGCCTTAGCCGGCCCTCGATTGTATCCTTGTGAGACCCTAAACAGAAGACCAGCTAAGCTATGCCCAGACTCCTGACCCACAAAAACTATGGGATAATAAATGTTTTCTTTTTAAAGCTACTAAGTTTGTAGTGATATAGTTACACAGCAATAGATAACACTAAAAACCATATCCCCCTTTTTTTTCCATCTCTGTCCTATTGTCCTGTCAAAAACCAAACTACTTCCAAAGTGAGCTGAATGAACTTTCCTACTTAATATCAGCTTAGGTCTTAAAGGCAAATTTGTCTGACTATCTGGAAGAGGACATGCCTTCTGTTTAGGATAAAGTCAAAAGTTAGATAAAAAGAGAAAACAAATTGCAATGAAATTGAACTTACATAGTTAATGGTAACAAGCTTTAGGACTGGGCCTGGTTATAAATCAGACAATGATTATTTGGTAGATAAAGAATGCAGCTGCTGCAGGGCAGGCAGAAGGCAGATCCCACAAAATGCAGGGAAAGCACTGCAGGGTGTTCCTGCCTTTGCTGAGATTACATCTTTCCTGGAATATTCTCACCAGCTCACAGTATCATTCAATTCCTGTATGTCTGCAGGTCCAGTTCAAACACTGACAACCTCATGAAAACTTCCATATCAACAGATCAATTCTTTTTTATTTTTATTTTTGAAACAGGGTCTTGCTCTGTCACCCAGGCTGGAGTGCAATAGTGTGATCTTGGCTTACTAAAGCCTCCACTTCCCAGGCTCAAGCAATCCTCCAATTTTGGCCTACCAAGTAATTGGGACTACAGGAGTGCACCACCACATCTGGCTAATTTTTTTTTTTTTTTGTATTTTTTTGGTAGAGATAGAGTTTCCCTCTATTGCCCAGGCTGGTCTTGAACTTCTAAGTTCAAGCGATCCACCTGCCTCTGCCTCCCAAAGTGCTGGGATTGGCTGGGCGATGTGGCTCACTGTAATCCTGGCACTTTGGGAGGCCGAGGTGGGTGGATTGCCTGAGCTCAGGAATTTGAAACCAGCCTGGGCAACATGGTGAAACCCCATCTCTACTAAAAATACCAACACCCCTCCCCCGCCAAAAAAAAACCAACCTAAAAAAAATCCAAAGTGCTGGGATTATAGGCATGAGCCATTGTGCCTGGCCCATATCGAGTCACAGAAATTCTCTTGAGCGATAAACGAATATTACTGGCTCATGTCACCGCATTGTTTATCGGTAAACTGGGCTTCATGTGAGGTTGATCCAAAGGTACACAAAATCATCAGGATGCTAGCTAGGGGTTTCTTTAATTTAAAAAGTTTTATTTTTCTCTCACTCTCCTCATGGTAGCAAAAATGATTTTATTTCATAATATTTCTCTTTCCAAAGGAAGAGAAAATACTTTTATCCTAAAGTTCCAAGAAAAACCCTGAGAATCACACTGATGGGCCTGCTTAGCCTACAATGCTTACCTCTGAGCCCAGTGTTTTGATCAGGGGGATGGAAAGTGCTGGTTGGTGTAGAAAATCTCTGGGGCTCTATCCCTGGGATAGAATCAGCTCCCCTAGAGCCACATAGATCCCCAAACAGAAATCAATGTCCACTCAACCTTTATTGCCTCTAGCCCATCCTTGTTTTTCTACCTCTGAAATAAAAATTTAATAAGAATGTTGATGGATGAACAAATAATGAATGGTTTTGGTGAGTTAGTATTGTTCCTATTTTTAGCCAATCCCTTAGCAAAGTTAGGATGTTTGCCTCCAATTTTGATCCTTCCACATTTCATGCATGGATTGCAGGCCTTTCCTAATTAGATGATGTGCCTTTTGAAAGCAATGACTACACATAACTTCTCAAATACTCTCCCTAAAACATCAAAACAAAAAAACCCCAAAAAACAAAAAAACATGTGTTTGCAATTTAAATAGGTATTGCCAATGGCCTAAGCTGAAGCCTTGATTGTATCTTTGTGAGACCCTAAACAGAAAGGTATTAGCAATACCTATTTAAATTGCAAACACACGTATCATTATTTATTTATTTATTTATTTTGAGATGGGGTCTTGCTTTGTCACCCAGGCTGGAGTGCATTGGCAGGATCATGGCTCACTGCAGCTTCAACCTCTCGGGCTCAAGCAATCCTTCTGCCTCAGCCTCCCAAGTACCTGGGACTAAAGGTGCATGCCACCACTCCTGGCTAGTTTTTTGTTTTTGTAGAGATAGGGTCTCACCATGTTGCCCAGGCTGGTCTCAAATTCTTGGGCTCACACAGTTTGCCTTCCTTGGCCCCTGAAAGTGCTGGGATTACAGGTGTGAACCACCCCACCTGGCCACAAACACATATATCTTTTGATCTAGCAATCCACTTTTAGAATTTTACCATACAGATATATACTGGCACACATGTAAAATGGTATATGTTCAAAGTTATTCATTGTACCATTATTTTTAGTGGAAAAGATTAGAAGCAATCCAATTATCCATTAATATGGAACTGCTTAAATAAATTACAGTGGAATGCTAAACTATACTCTTGCAATACAAAAAAATGGCCTGGCGTGGTGGCGGGTGCCTGTAGTCCCAGCTACTCGGGAAGCTGAGGCAGGATAATCGCTTGAACCTGGGAGGTGGAGGTTTCCGTGAGCCGAGATTGCACCACTGCACTCCAGCCTGGGTGACAGAGTGAGACTTCGTCTCAAAAAGGAAAAAAAAAACAAAGGAAGGTCTCTATGCATTGGTATGGAAAGACTGACAAGTCTTTGGTTAAATGGCAAATGGAAAAAGAAAAGCCCAAGGTGCCGAACAGTATGTAGAGTGCATTACCTTTTGTGAAAAACAAGAAGGAAAAATATGTATGTTCACATGTGCGTGTATTTGCATAAAGGAACTCTGAAGGATACCTTACAAATCCAATAAAGAGTATAGAGAGCTGGTGGAGGACAGGATGGGAATAAGATGTTTCACTCTGAACCTCTGCAGACTGTTTGATTTTTTTGAAACCTGTAAATGTTTTACCTATTCAAAAAATTTTTAAAAAATTCTGAACCTTTCAAATGCGTTTCCCTCTTGCCTGTCTGGGAAGTGGTGGATGAAACACTGTAGGCTCCTTTATCATTTATGTAGCGCTTGTGCTGTCTCTTGCCTTAGGCTGGAGGGGACAGCTTGCTGTAATGGTAAAGAGTGTGCCTGGAATTTGGAGTCAGTCAAACCTGGATTCCAATTTCAGCTCCATCACTTGCTAGCTGTGTGACCCAGGGCGAGCTATGTCACCTCTCTGAACTCTGTCCATTTACAGGAGTGAAGAAAAAATCAGATGTTAGTAACATGCTTAGCACAGTGCATGGCAGTTACTAAGTACTCTTTAAATGATGGTTAATATCAAAGTACAAGGACCTAGATGTCAGGGGCTTTCTGCTTTGTTTTGATGTGTTTTTTTTTTTTTTTTCTCCCACCAGCTCAGTCTTGGGAGTGCTTTGTGTAAAGTCAAACAGAGGGCTGCCATGAACATGAGATGATGTGGATGGTGACATATTTATTTCCTGAGAGATTGCAGGGAGATAAGTTTTTAGAGTTCTTGCTTTTAACCCATAACTAGGAAGAGTAAGTTCTTACCTAGTCCTGGAAAACAAGGGCAGAAACTGTTGCCTGGTTTCCACCTCAAGGCTTGACCTACCTTGGTTTCCAGCACGGTCAGGTAGCAGCAGGACAGCGACCATGAAACCAAGGGCCCCTGGAGGCTGGGCTCCCTGCCAGGACTCAGGAGGAGTGGGCCAGAGGCTGAGCAGCCTGAGTCTCCGGTGCTTTCCACCACACTACAGATGCTTCTTTCCATTCTGCTGCTGGAGCCCTGAGAGGATCGTTAATTCAACAAATAATTATGAGTACTTACAATGTTCCCGGCAACTGGCTATGATTCTAGAGAAACAAAGACCAGTGAAATCTGGTTTTAAAATCATAGCTAAGACCGGTTCTTAGTACACTTGCCCTTTGTTTACTGTGCAGGTTTAAAGATGTGAGTTTCCTTAACTCCTTCCATTGTAGATTTATTCTCCTACCCTTTTCAATTTTGTCATTTAGGTCTAGCTGAGACCATAATATTTTTTGGCTTATCTAAAAGAAAGACATTTAGTCCCGTTAACCTGAAAGTCCAAAGGCACTGATATTCAGCCAGTGAAGACTTTGGTTACACAGGGTGCATTTAGCTTAATCCATAAAAGAGAAGTAATATTATAGCAGCCACATCCCAGAACAGGGAGGGTGGAGGTGGCCAGTGTATTTGCATTAAACCCTCTGTGTTTACACAGGGTTGGGAACAAGAAATATCTAGACTAGTGGATGAGTTCGTGACGTTTTGGCAAACATAAAACTTAATGTTACCTCCCATTTTTCCCATGTATCAGCTTGAGACGATGATGATAGAGGATGGCATAAAAATAATGAAGAATCTTTAGAGGATTTATTTCTTTAACACTGAAAACACCATTGAGGTGCTTTGATATTGTAATATCAAGAAATTGCTAGGCTTCCTTATTGGCTGAGAACTCGGCTTCCTATTCTGAGACAACTAATTCAGTTTCTATCCAATAGATGAAAACTGAAATTAAAGTGAATTAGACCTATTACATACTACGTGATTAATACATAAGGCTGGGACCAGGTCTTCTTTTGTCTTAGTAGGGAGTAGTAGCTGTATGCCCAGCAAATAATGGATCTGAACAATGTATCACCCCCCATTTCAAACCCTCTCTAGCGGTCTCCAGTGCAAGGGGTGGAGGTGTTGGCTCCCTGCAGGTATAAACACACAGGCATGGGGCATAACGTTCCAAATCAGTGACCAGCATGTCAGAGACCCTTCTGTATCCGTGCAGCACTGAGGTGGAAGAGGAGCCAGGGCTTCAGTGAGTTCTGGGCAGCTGAGAATAACAGCACCTCACTCCCACCCCTCACTTGGCCTGTGCAGGGGCTCTCTCCACATTTTATCGGCGTTCTGAATGCACTGCATGTGTTTCCAATGCTCTGGGAAATGGAGTAGAGACCCAGAGCTCTAGCCTTGGAGGGATGGCTGAGTTTAGCCAGGTGCTGTGCTTGAAGGCGCTGTTAGTTTCCAGCCACCTCCTGAAATGTGTCCGTCCTCACCTCCGCCGCTGACTCACAAAGGGCAGAGCCTGCCATGAGATCCCAGGCTCAGTACTTGGGTTGTTCGTGTCATTTCCTGCAATGTTTATCCGTCCTCTCCGTGTACTTTGCCAGCTAGAACAAAACAGTGCTGCTATGGAAACTGCAAACACCAGGCAATCCTGGCCCCGCCACTTGGCAGCCCAGCCGGGAGAGAGATAATGGCTTTTGTTGTTATCTATCGGATGCTGATGCTCAGTCGGTTGTACCCTTAGGCCCTAACTAGGGACACGCTGACACTGCACCTTAAGCTCTCTTTTGTAAACTTCCTCTGCCTGTGATGCAGGCCTGAGATAACCAGTCCAGCTAGGGCGCCGGCTCATTATCCTGATGACAACCTGGGGCTTTATACTTTCCTGACAGCTTCTGTAGGTTCTTCACTCCTAGGTGACCCAGAACACTCAAAAAAGCCTGCTGAACTCTCCAACTTGCAGAGCCCAACTGATTGGCAAATCTTACAACCTGTTTTCCTTTCTTTTTTCCCCCCAGTGCTAATAAATACATTATCCCAGAGACAGCTGTGACTCATGCATTAAACCCAGACTGCAGCAGAGTGGTGGTAAGACTCACCCCGGCAGGTGCAGCCCACGGCACCCAGAATAGTGGCTATTTTTTTTTTTTTTGGGATGAATACAAATTACAGCCCTCTAAAAACACATTTAATACAAAACTCCAAAAGGTTATTAAAACCTCTCTGTTGGCTGCAACATTTAATAATAGGTCAATTTACTCTATCAAACATCAACAATAATAATGCTGGGAGAAGAGGAGCCTCGGAGACTGAATAATTGGATGCGGCAGCCTTTCAACCCTGGGTTGCCAGGTTAAATCAAACACAACCTGGCAGGAGTAGGTGTGGACAAACACAGCTGTGTTTAGAATGCGCTGATGTCTTGGTCTATTTTTCCAACATTTGTGCTTTGAAAAGAGCTTTCTGCTTGAAATGCAGCCTCTCTTGTGCTTTGGAGCTCACATGTGTGGTAGAAGAAAGTTATTCCATCTCAGTTTCTGAGATATCTCAGGCACTGACTTTCTTGTTCTCTTAAAGTAGTTTTTTTTTTTCTTAGTAACACCCATTTTCTCTGGTTTCAAACTGCTCTTTTCTGGAGGAGATAATCGCCAAAAAATCTTTTGACCCATTTGCTTGCAAATGGTAAGAAATGTTTGATATTCTTAAAGCTCTTGGCACATAAAGTAGGGTGATTTTCAAATTCTGTTTGATCCTTCTAAAAGCTAGCTAGCCTTGTTCTCAGAAAAATTGTGCAGGCACAAAAATACAGTTCTAATTTCTGACTATTATTTCACACTTGTAGGCTGTTGCTCACAGGAGTGTATGGATGAGAGAGAGAGGTGTGAGGCCATCATCATTAATGGTGCTCCCTTGCCTCAGAGAGGCAGCAGCAAGGGCAGTGCTGGTTAAGAATTTAATGGAGTCCTTGCATATGGTAATCAGAAGCTGGAGGTTGCCTGGGTGTAGCTAAGGGAGCCACAGTCAAAACGTAAGATGTATATGACTTATCAATGGGTTGGATTCTTATTTCCGGTGGCCAAGGGGGCGCAATTTGAATTTGCAGATAGGGGAGGATTGGTGATGAAGAAAAAGGACCACCCTGCATAATTACGTATTCACTTTCCTGTGAGAGAGGCAGTCTTGCAATCTACAGGGCAGGAGTTAAATAAATTATACACGGTTGGGGAAGATGATGCAAAATGGTAGGCCCACATAACATGGGCACGCCTACCAGGCAGCTCAGTTGTGTTTGGCATGTAAAGCTTTAAAAAAATTTTTATTTGAAGTACGTAGTTGCCACATTGTAAAACTTTGGAGAGTTTCTATAGATACTTAGATATTAATTTTTTTAAAAGGATTGCAAGATCTGGCCACACTGACCTGCAGCTTGCATGGTAACAGCTGGGGACACGGGGAAAGAGCTGCTTCCTTCAGACAAGGCATGGCTCAGCAAGTTTTCCATAGCTTTGTGCACAGTCTGTTTCAATACTGGCATTTTCTGTATGGCCGCTTCAGATGTTCATGTTTGTGACTCCTGGTCTGAGACTATTAGCTCTTTGGGTGTGTGTGTGTGTGTGTGTGTGTGTGTGTGTGTGTGTGTGTGTGATTTACCTGTGGGTAGCATTATGTGTGGGAGCTTTATGTGTGAACATATCCATAAAAGTGAGAAAAAAATAGAGAGTTTGGATATAGAATGCCAATGTTTTTCTCTATCTTGCTAGAGCTTAAAGTGCCGAAGTCACCACTCATTATTATGCCAAAGTCTCACTGTTCTCTTTGGGGCATTATTTAAGATGAATAATTCAGATTTAGTAAAATGTATAGCTAGAAGGAAGAATATAGATTTTGGAGTAAGCCTAACACCTGAGGGCAGGGTTTCTTGAAGGGTTAATGAAGACCCTTAGTCTGAGGTGATATTTGTCTGGGTAATTAAGGCTATGGTGTGGTCACAGATAGCCCTGGGACCTCAGGGGTGAAGCACTGTGAGGGTTTCCTCCTTGCTCACAATACAAACTCTGATGTAGAGTGGGCAGCACCTCTCCATCTTGTAGCAGTGCCTCCTAGAACATGTCACCTTCAAGGAACTGTGGTCAGAAAAGAGAGGGAGTGGACGCTGTCCTGCAGGGGATTTATGACCAGGCCTGGAAGTGGCAAACATCACTTCCAGTCATATCCCATTGCCCAGAACCCCATTGCATGGCCCTCACAATGCCTGCATGGAAGGCCGAGGATGGAGTCTTCTCATGTGCTTGGGAAGAGGAAAATGAAACAAGACTTGATATCATTGTCTGTGCCGCAGAAGTTAAAGGAAAGGTGCGTTTTCCTTCCTTCCTTCCTTCCCTTCTTTCCTTTCTTTGCTTTCCTTCCTTTCCTTTCTTTTCTTTCTTTTCTTTTTCTTTCTTTCTTTTCTTTCCTTCCTTCCTTCCTCTTTCTTTCCTTCCTTCCTTCCTTCTTTCTTTCTTTCTTTCTTTCCTTTTTTCTTTGTGATAGCAGCTGGAACAGAAGGAAAGGCGTGGTTTTTTTTTTTAAAGACATATTCTCACGCTGTTGCCCAGGCTGGAGTGCAGTGGAGCAATCTGGGCTCACTGCAACTTCCGCCTCCGTGGTTCAAGCAATTTTTGTGCTTCAGCCTCCTGAGTAGCTGGGATTACAGGTGTGTGCCACCATGCCCGGCTAATTTTGTATTTTTTAGTAGAGATGGGTTTTGGCCATGTTGGCAAGGCTGGTCTCGAACTCCTGACCTCAAGTGATCCTCCTGCCTCGGCCTCCCAAAGTGCTGAGATTACAGGCGTAAGCCACCACACCCAGCCAAAAGGCGTGTTTTTGAGAGAAGGGCAGACCTCAGGACAGGAGAACAGAGTTAGGAAGTGGGATATGCCCCTCGTTGAGGTGAGTTGCCTATCTGGGTCCTTTTCTCTCAGGCTATGGGAAACATCTTCAGTACATGGCTGTGAGTCTGTTCCAGTGTAGTAACTCCCTTTAACTACCCCAGACTTTTAGGGAAATGTGACACACATCCCCCTGTAGCCTTATGCCAAGTGAAGCAGAGAATGAAGAGGCAGCACAGCAAAGGGACATGCTCCCTGCCTACTTCCCTTTCTGCCTTTTTCCCTGGAGAAGCAGTGGCATCCTATTTGAAGAGTCTGTGACCAGGAGCACCCGGCAGTGACTGGCCATAGAGTGAATGGTGACCTGGCCCAGAGCAGGGAGCATTTCCCAGTAGAGAGCTCAGGAGGAAGGTAGTCAACACCTCCCCTTTAATCCCTACCAAAGAAAGCTGACCTTCGCAAGGGGATGATCAGTGCTCAGGCTGTGCTTCACTGTAAAACAGCTCAAAGACCAGATCATATCAGTAGCCTTCAGTATTGATCAGTACTATTGATCGAGCGGCTGCATAGCCAGGCACCACGCTGAACACTTTGCAACCTCATCTTATTCATCTTCATGACAACCTGATGAAGTAGATGGACTTCTCCCTATTTTATGGGTTAGGAAATGGAGGCCAAGAGAGATTAATTTACCCAATGTCACACAGCTGGTGAGTGGCAGAGCCCAGTCTAACCTGAGTCTGTTTGATTCTAAAGCCAGTCCTACACTTCCCTCACTAGCAATGGGCAATGGGTCAACTCCACTATATTCATTTAGGAAGGACACCAGTTTTCCCTCTCAGGAAAATCCTTAGTAAATGGGTTTCTGTTTATGACTTATTTGGATCTGCAGACTATATGCCAGGGTTTTAGGCAGGCTTGGGATCATTCTTGGGGTTGCAGTTGGAATCAAAAGACCTGCTTTGTGAAGTGTCTTAGAGCCTCGATGTCCTAGAGTTCTAGGAGACCCTGGGCAGGAACATATAGAGTCCATGTCTGTTCAGGAGTTTGCATCACTTTGATAGCCTAGGCAGTGTCCTGGAGATGACAGCCTGAAATAGACTCTGAAAAAAACACAGAAATAAATAATAAATACACACAAATTACCTAAACTACATGATTCAGTTAATATTTAGGCTCTTATGCCTGCATATCTGGCTGGCTGTATATATATATATATATAGTTGGAATTACCTGGAATAATTATATATATATATATATATATACTGGCTATGTATATATATACTAGCTGTGTGTGTGTGTATATATATATATATATATATACTCATATACTATATGTATATATATGTATGTATATATATATACATATACTATATACATACAGTATATACTATACAGTATACATATCCTGTATATATATGCATACATACACACACACACACACACATACACAACCCAGTTTCAGGGTTGTATATATACAACCCCACAACCCCAAGGATAATCCCAAGCCTGCTTCAAACCCTGGAATGTGGTGTGCAGATCCAGATAAGTCATAGAAGCCCATTTTCTGAGGATTTTCCTGAGAGGGAAATATATATATATATACACACACACACACACACACATAGATATGAGTGATATATATATACGTACACAGATATAAATAATAAATATACTTGTGTGTATATATATATGCACACACACATATTTATAATTATATTTTTTACAAAAATGATATTCAACTCTAGTATTATTTTTGCACCAGGCTTTTGGGTGCTTTTCCTTGAATATGTTAGTGCTGATGGGGGTGTTGAACACCAGGACTCAGGTGTGAGTTGAGAGCAAGGTCAACAATCAGGAAGAAATAGCATAAGTTGAGAGGCAAACTCAGAGGTGAGGCCAGGGGCTCAGCTCAGAGTCCAGGAACAACTAACAGCGGTTCCTAACTTTCTTGGCACCAGGGACACGTTTCATGGAAGAAAATTTTTCTACAGATCATGGAGAGAATGGTTTCAGGATGAAACTGTTCCACCTCAGATCATCAGGCATTAGATTCTCATGAGGAGCCACAGCCTAGATCCCTTGAGTGCACAGTTCCCAACAGGATTTGCAGTCCTGTGAGAATCTAATGCCATCCCTGATATGACAGGAGGTGGAGCTCAGGCAGGAATGCTTGCTGGCCTGCTGCTCACCTCCTGCTGTGCGGCCCAGTTCCTAACTGGCCACAGACCAGTGCCAGTCTGCATCCCGAGGGTTGGGGACCTGTGAACTAGAGGATATCACAGGGCCTGTTTTTGTGGTTTGGTAGCAGGACTGACCCTTAAATATGCCAGACTGAGCAGAGTGGTGAAACAATGAACTTTTCTCATTTGGATGTATAGATTAAATAGTTCAATATGATGATGCCTTGGAATTACCTGGAATAATGTGATTTTTACTCCCATGAAAGTTTTGTTCTATCAGGGTCTGTTTCATTTGAAAACAAAAAAACCTTTGCTTGGGCAAGAGTCCTAGAGTGGTTCAGAGCTGGCAGTATTCTTTTCAGGCAGATAGAGAGATGATGACAGGACACAGAGCTGATGTCCTACCCCTGCCATTCCCTCCCCTCTCTCCCCACACTTTCTTTAATTTTGGATCCTGTGTCTTTTCAGCAACCAAACTTCTAAATTCAGAAACTTGGTAGTAAAATTCAGCTTCTCTGGCCTTGTTTCTGAGGAGTGCCTATCAGAGTAACACACAGGGCCTTAATGGTTTGTAAATGAATAAAAATCAATGAATGGATTAAACTGACACCAGAAGTTGAAGCTCAGTGAAAGAATCAAGTTTTTCATAGTTTCCTCCAAGTACAACATTGAGATGACCTCATTTCAGGGTGTTAGTTTAGTGCTTTTGCTTTCTAAATGAAGGCGTCAAGCCATTCCATTAGGTAAGTCAGGCTGCATTACTTACATGCTGCTTTCTGGCTGCTGGGGAAGGGAACGGAGGGCGTGTTGGAAGTCAGAGAACATCCCTGACAGTTACAGTGGAATCAATAACCATTTCTTTTTGGGACCCAAGTGTACGGTTTAATTTCTAGGCATGGGGAGATCCCAAGCTTTCCAATTAACAACTCATCTTTTTTTTTTTTCTCATACCTAGTGTAATAAACCAAACACTGCAAACTTGAAAGAGATTGAGAGAAAAAAGTAAAACCATGAGAGAAATAAAATGTAAAAAGGCAGAAATCCTGTTGCCCTAAGGCTAGTTAGGTGCTTTTATTCAACACCAGGTGAATAAAGTAACTATGATATCCAAAGACTTTTAGGGAGCCACCAGGAGTGCGAGGGGGTGATGGGTCACAGGAAGGGAGGCTGGGAGCAGGAGGCTGGTGTCACACATTTCAGGAACACCATCCAGGTGGGGCAGGATCCTTCACTGAGGAAGCTGAGAGGAGAGACTCATTGGCTCACTGGAGCCTGTTATTTGAATATCAGTCATTCTCGTTTTGTTTTTTTTTTTTAAACTTAAAAAAAAAATTTTTTTGAGATAGATCCTGCTCTGTCACCCAGGCTGGAGTGTAGTGGCGTGATCTGGGCTTACTGAAACCTCTGCCTCCCAGGTTCAAGCGATTCTTGTACCTCAGCCTCCTGAGTAGGGAGGCTGGGATTACAGACGCACACCACCATGCCCAGCTAATTTTTGTATTTTTAGTAAAGACTGGGTTTCACCATGTTGGCCACACTGGTCTCAAACTCCTGATTTCAAGCGATCCACCCACTTTGGCCTCCCAAAATGCTGGAATTACAGGTGTGAGCCACTGTGCCTGGCCATTCTCGTTTATTGATACTCACTAAATCCCAGTGGCTCGACCTCTAATCTTTGCATTTCTGTAAGATGGGTATCATTTTCCTCATTTTGTAAGGGTAGAAATGGAGGCTCAGAGAGGTTAAGACAGGTCACTTGCCCACTTAATCATTAACATTAATTGAGCCCCTACTCTGTACCAGGCCATGTTCTAAGCAATTAATGTGCTCACTTATTTAACCTTCATAATGTCCCTATGATGCAGGCTATGCTTATTCTCTCCATTTTACAGATGAGGGAGCCAAGATACCAAGAGGTAGAGGGGCTTCTCCAAAGTCACATAATTAGTAAATGGGAGGACCAGGATTCAAACCAAATCTGTCCGACTCCCCAGCTTCTTTTGTTTTTCCTACCTTAGCAGGTGGCAACTCAAAAAGCTGAGAAATATCACAGACGTCACAAGCTCAGAAAGCTGAGAAATATCAAAGAAGTTGTAAAATTCAGAAAGCAATGTTATATTTTTATTAATGTATTTTCTGGGATACGTTTATATATTTTTTCTACTCTTCTTAGGGGCAGTCTATGCTTTGATTGCCTCTTTACATGACAATGAATTTGTAATATCAATTTTTACAGTGAGAATAGAAAGATAATTTAGTTCTTCCTCTGGCATGACTGATCAAAGTTTTTTTTTCCTTATTAGAGCTTGGAGTGCATAAATCATGTGATGTCACACACAGACAAACTCATTTAGTACCACTATAGAAGTTTGGCCTATGATAAAGGAGTTATGATAAATTCTGTTTTGTGCAATTCTTATCAAAAAAGAAAAAAATGTCGAGTGCATTTATAATTACATGTCATGCATTATTGAGTATATTTCTGCCAGAAAACTTTTGTTTTGACTAGGCTTCAACGGGAATCCTCTAGTTACAATTTTACATGTCTGAAGATTAAAATAATTTTCCAGTTACAATTGTAATCCTCCAGTTACAATTTTAGATGTCTGAAGATGAAAATAATTTTTCACAGACTACCTTCTGATTCCTTACATTTCAAGCCTTATTTCTCCTCTGCTACCCACAAACTTCCAGTGCTGGGTGCTACAGATAGGGTGACTGCCAGGGTCTGAATGTTTGTGTCCCCTCCCATGTTCATATGTTGAAACCTTATGTCTGGTGTGATGGTATTAGGATGTGGTGCCTTTGGGAAGTGATTAGGTCATGAGGGTGGAGTCCTCATGAATGGGATTAGGGCTCTTTTAAAGGAGATCCCCGAGAGCTGCCTTTATTCTTCCATCGTGTGAGGACCCAGAGGAAGGTGCTGGTCTTTGAACCAGGAAGTGGGCCCTCACCAGACACCAAATCTGCTGGGGACTTTATCTCGGACCTCCCAGCCTTCAGAACTGTGAGAAACAAATTTCTGTTGTTTATAAGCCACCCAGTCTATGGTACTCTGTTATAGCAGCCCTAATGAACTAAGACAATGGCAATACATCTGAGTTTATCTGGGCTAGTCCCAATTTTCAACTGCTGCCTTGGAATAATTTTTTGTTTGTTTTTGAGACAGGGTCTCACTGTATCACTGGGCTGCAGTGCAGTGGTGTGATGATGGCTCACCACAGCCTTGACCTCCTGGGCTCAGGTGATTCTCCCACTTCAGCCTCCCAAGTAGCTGGAACTACAGGAGTATGCCACCAAACCTGGCTAATTTTTTTGCGTTTTTCTTAGTGATGGGGTTTTGCCATGTTGCCCAGGCTGGTCTCGAACTCCTGAACTCAAGTGATTTGCCCACCTCGGGCTTCTAAAGTGCTGAGATTACAGGTGTGAGCCACCGCGCCTGGCTGGCATAATTGTTAATAATATCTTTCTTTTCCGTCTCAGAAGTGTCTTGGTGGGGAGGAAAGAGATAAGGCAGCCAGCCTGTGACCCACATCTTTCCTGATTCCTGGGGGAATGCTTCCAGAAAAGAAATCAGGTGACCTGGTTTAATCTCCTTGTACACATGCTGATGATAACTGGACCTTCTGGTAGACTAATGATATTTGGGATAGGAGTGTCTTTTTTTTTTTTTTTTTTTTTTTTGAGATGGAGTTTTGCTCTTGTTGCCCAGGCTGGAGTGCAATGGCATGATCTCAGCTCACCGCAACCTCCGCCTCTTGAGTTCAAGCGATTCTCCTGCCTCAGCCTCCCAAGTAGCTAAGATTACAGGCATGCGCCACCATGCCCATCTAATTCTGTATTTTTAGTAGAGACAGGGTTTCTCCATGTTTGTCAGGCTGGTCTTGAACTCCTGACCTCAGGTGATCTGCCCACCTCAGCCTCCCAAAGTTCTGGGATTACAGGCATGAGCCACCACGCCTGACCTAGGAGAGTCTTTAAAGAAGGCATGTTCTCAGTTGGATAGCCCTAGCTTAGGATTACTTAACATCAATAAACCTAGACTGTATACATTTATGAGGCATGATTCCCAAAGGGGATTATGTTAACTCTACAACTTTCATAACCTGAACACTCCCCCAAGTATGATGTGATACAAAAACCTCATCTAGAGACACCATATATTATTCCTCTGGGCCAGAGTATGTGTTTAATGTGGGGAGGAAGGGCCTGAACAGGTACACAGAGCATCCCACCTTTACCTGCTTTGCTGTGCATCTTGATTGCTTATATCCTTAAGGTTACTATTAAAGCTTGAGTTTGAGTAAGGTCTCTGATTTGTGTTGGCATGATTTGACAGTCTGACCCTTGAGGCTAACTCAAGTAGTTTGAACAGTAGATTATAGACCTAAGACACGTTCACATTGCAATGTGACCTCTAGCCCTGCACTTTTGGATCGCAATGCTGAGAGAGTTTTTCTGACATCCTGCCAATGACTTGACTAGACACAGAAATGAGTAACGTGACTACCTAGGTGGTGCTGACGTTGTTGCTCTGCATTCTATATTTTAAGAACCTTTAGTTTAAAACCATTGATTGGACTCTCTAGGTCCCAATCCCATTCTTGGGTCTTACTCTGACAACAGGAGTCAGTGAATCTTTGAAACCTGGCTTTCCAAATGCTGTATATGATTGCTTCTGGGCTATGCTTTTTTTTTTTTTTTTTTTTTTTTTAAGACAGTATCTTCCTCTGTCACCAGGCTGTAGTGCAGTCGCGCAATCTCGGCTCACTGCAGCCTCCACCTCCCGGATTCAAGCGATTCTCCTGCCTCAGCCTCCTGAGTAGCTGGGACTACAGGTGTATGCCATCACACCCAGCTAATTTTTGTATTTTTAGAAGAGATGGGGTTTCACCATGTTGGCCAGGATGGTCTCAATCTCCTGACTTCATGATCCACCCACCTCCGCCTCCCGATGTGCTGGGATTACAGGCATGAGCCACTGCACCTGGCCTGGGCTATGCCTTTTAAGACCCAGATATAAGTCTATTTGGTTTTGCAAAACCACTGCATTATTAAATTTTCTAGTCCCAGTCCCCTCCCAATGCCATTTAGGCCAGAGTCAGGGGACCCAGTCAGAACAAGCACTTGATGAACCTTTAGCAAGTTTCTGCTGTTATACCACAAAGCTGTTGAGGACACAGAGGACCCAAGAAATTGCACCCCTTTCCCTTCTAGTCCTGTTGTTCAACATAACATATTGGACAATCTGCAAGGAGATGCCAAGATCTAATAATAAAATGCCAACAACATAGAGATATGCCAAAGTTTGATGTAGAATCTCTCCCATTATCAAATTCCCAGGGAGAGATTAAAATTCAATAATTAAATCTTAATATTTCAAGCCCAGATATGTTAAAGTCCAAAAGACGAAAATTAGAGCTAAATATCTTTTGCCCTTGAGTTGAATATTCTTAAATTAAAGCCCCCAAATTACTGCCTCCAGTTTCAAATTCTGCTGAGTCACGGGAACTTCCAACCCACCTAAACACACACATTAAGTACAATTGCAGCAAATTGTGCCACTTCTGATGACACCTCCCTCATGTCCACCAGCCATAGCTGAAGGCCAAGTGGTCTGCACCTTTCCCTAGTGGTTCGTTTGCTTTTGCCAAAACTGCATGTCTTTGTGCAAGGCCAAAGTGGTGGGTGCCTTTGCTTGAAACCACCATGCATGCAGCTTTCCCTCCATGGAACTAGTCTCTTGGCTAAGGAAAAGCCATCTTAATTTGGAGGAATGGGGATAAACTTTCCCTATTAACACAGATCAGTGGGCTTCAATACCTATGGTGGCCTCTGAGGCCCACAGATTCTAAGATTACATCCACAGAGATTCTGATTAAGAAGGTTTGGCATGCGGCCTGGATATTGGTAGTTTAACACGTGCCTCAGGTGATTCTCATGAAAGTCTGGTCGACTGCATTTGATTGCAGACTTCTTGAATGTATCCCCAGTTAACAGCACAGCGTTTATCTAGCACTTGTGAGAGGCTGAATATTTGTGTACTGAATAAATCACTGTGAATTCACAAGGCGAGAAGGGATGGCAGAGAACCTGAGGCAGGATTTCATACTGTTCTTAACTGTACTGATAGCTCTTCTGTAGCTTTGTCAAGGATAAGAGATTCTTCCCTTTCTGAAAATGTATTTGTTCTTGGGTTTTATATTTTAATTGATGTGGAACTGGGAAAGAGGAAGGGAGGAGAACATTATAAAATCAGTTCTTCCTAAAATTACTGGGACCCTAGGATCCAAAGTTACGTCAAGCTACTTGTCAATGAATGTCGCTCTCTATAGTGTCTGGTGCCAGATAGAATCTACATTGGATGCTGAACATAATATATTTAATAATTTTCTGATAGTCATAGAGTTTTCTCTACAATGCTTTATAATTCATAATTTTATATAGCTACTTTTTCATCTTTATTTTAGAGACAGTGTCTCACTCTGTTGCCCAGGCTGGAGTGCAGTGGTGCGATCATAGCTCACTATAACCTTGAACTGCTGAGCTCAAGTGATCTTCCTGCCTCAGCCTCCTGAGTAGCTGGAACTACAGGGCTATGCCACAATGCCTGGCTAATTAAATTTATTTACTTATTTTTTGTAGAGACATGGTTTTTCTATTTTGCCCAGGCTGGTCTTGAACTCTTAGCCTCAAGTGATCTTCCCACCTTGCTCTCCCAAAGTGTTAGGATTATAAGCATGAGCCACCGCACCTGGCCTATATAGCTACTTGTGATTTGAGCTCCACTTTGACTCCCAATTGTAGACCTGACCGTACTCACTTACATCTTGATTTTTGAAAACGTAGGTGCAAAATTCTTGCTCCCTGCAAGTTCCTTGAATCTTCTTATGCTTACTCTTTCTTGCCGAATGTCTCCTACACATCTCTAAAATAGATAGCTAAATCTCCGCAGCCAATTTGATTCTCCAAGAAATCACGAAAAATCCTTTGATTAAGGAACTTAGCCAATAGCACTCTGTATAGAATGAATTTTTAAACTTTTACCAGTCCCTACTGTATTTTTTGGAAAGCCACAGATTTTGCTTAACTTGGCTTAGTAATGAGTCATCAAGCATAGGCTAAGGCATGATTTCCTACTGTTAGGAAAGCTGTCACTAGACTTAATGAAGATAAGAAGTAGTTATGCAGCAAAAAAGTGGCTCTGGGGTGCCTTGGCCCTTTGGTGTTGTAGAGGTTAATTAAGTAATCCTATTGCACATGAGAGTGTGTGTGCCACCAGCAGCCATCTCAGATCAGGTGAGGCTCCTGAGCCACCTAGGCACCAATTAACATGCTTGAATACTTGCAGGTGAGGCTGGCTGTCTCCACTGTTACGTGAGCCACTGTGCAATCAATCACTCGGCTCTTTTTATTTCTGAATTTACCATTGTGAAGGGAAAACCCACAATTGGAAGACATTTATATACTGTATTCTTCTGAGTGTATTCTAAATCCTTCTTCTACTTGTGAAGCAAAAACCTAGCTCTAAAAATAACTCTGTGTGCTGACAGTGTCACATTATGACACATTCCCTATCCTCTTAGTTCCAGAGTAAACAGATGCGTATCTTGTACCTTGGCCAATCAGAGAATTAGGTCTCAGCCACTACATTCATCTGCTATCTCGGCTGGTCTCCTGCAAATCTATGCAAACCACAACCCAGGGATAGTTCATTTTCATCAAAAAATTTCTTATCTCCCATCTGTGTTACCAGTTTATTTGTCCAGAAACAATTTCACTCAATCCCTTCACCAGTGGTTCTCAAACAAGCATGCATCTGACTCACCTGCAGGGTTTGTGAAAATGAAAGCTGGCCAGGCACTCCCTGAGTTTCTGATTCAGTAGGTTTGGGTTTGATTCTGAGAATTTGTATTTCTCCCAAGTATCCTGATGCTGTTGCTGGTCCAGGGACAACACTTTGAGAAGCACTGCCCTAAACCAATTTTATTGATTCTGATTAACTTCTAGACTGTGATAAATTTAAAATACCATTAGGTGAAGTTAAATAACATCAGGTGGAGATGATGTTTAATTAGACTAAGTAAATTAAATAAATTAGATCAATTTAAAATGCTATCAGATAAATTTAAATACCACTGGGTAAATTTAAAATACTACCAGTCAGAGATGATATACCCACAGGTCCTGTGAAAAGGGACAAAAAATCAGGAGTGAATGAGACCTTTGAGAACCTCTTGCTCCCATGAATTCTTCAACAATATATGGAAAGAGGTTGAGGCAGTGAATTGTACATGTTTGTGTGTTGATACAAGTGTACAGAACATAGTAATATTATGGGGCATTATTACATCAGGTTGGGGGCTAAATTTTGGGTCAAAATATAGCCCTTACAGCCTGATATGGTTTGGGTTCAATATGCTGATAATGCAGGGGTTAGTTCTCTCTCTTAATTCCAAAAATGTTTACTGAGGGTCTGTTATGTACACGGAACTGAATCAAACATAGCTGGGTAAATTGGATGAAAAGACATGGTTCTAAGAGCTTGCATTCCAGTGTGTTAGATTAGTCAGAACTGTGATACCGAGCATAGTGTAAGTGCAATAAGAGAAGCATTATTTTGATGTTCAAAGGACGAAAGGATTGTCTGATGCCGGAGTTGCAGAATGGAGAATGAGAAAATGTGTAATAGAATTGTTTTTTTTTTTGAGGTGACAGAAGTCCCTAAGACAGGGATTGTGAATTGGTTGTGTATCTGAGGGCACTAGTTATTATGGTTTGAATGTTTGTCTCCTCTTAAGACCATATGTTTGAAACTTAATCCCAAATGCAGCAGTGTTGAGAGGTGGGGCCTGATGGGGTGTTTAGGCCATAAGGACACTGCCTTCTTGAATGGAGTAATGCTGAATTAAAAAGAGCTTTTGGGGCTGGGCGTGGTGGCTCACGCCTATAATCCCAGCACTTTGGGAGGCCGAGGCGGGCGAATCACGAGGTCAGGAGATTGAGACCATCCTGGCTAACACGGGGAAACCCCATCTCTACTAAAAATACAAAAAATTAGCCGGGCGTGGTAGCGGGCGCCTATGGTCCCAGCTACTCACGAGGCTGAGGCAGGAGAGTGGCGGGAACCCGGGAGGCGGAGCTTCCAGTGAGCTGAGATGGCGCCACTGCACTCCAGCCTGGGCGACAGAGCAAGACTCCGTCTCAAAAAAAAAAAAAAAAGAGCTTCTGGGAATGGGTTCCCTGCTTCAGCCTTCTGCCGTGTGAGGACACTGCAGGATGCAGTGTTCAAGGCACTCTCTTGGATGCAGACACTGGGCCTTCACCAGACACCAAACCTGCTGCTACCTTGATCTTGGATTTCCCAGCCTTCAGAACTGTGAGGAATAAACTCCTGTTTATTATTAATTACCCAGTTTGTGGTATTCTGTTTTAGTAGCACAAAATGGGCTAAGACAGTCTGAGTGGGCAGTTGGTGATTGAGTGTGGGTGTATGTTTGAAGGTTGAGTGTGAATTAGGGGGAAAGTGTGAGGGTCTTCATCAAAAGAATAGGGCATTTTGAAGAGAAAAGCAAGAATGGAAAGGTACGATAGGGTCAGATATGAAAGGCCTTAAATATCAGCTTGAGGAATTTATTTTCAAGGGCTTTGGGGGACTCATTGATGTTTTTTGAATAGGAGAAACAATCAGGTAAACAGGAAAGATGAATTATGGCAGGGTGACTCTAACAGGTTATGGTCAATGAGCATTTGCTAATGTGCTAGGCTCTGTGCTACATACTTCATACAGAATATCTCATTTAATCTTCACTACATCTCTGACAGATAAGTACATTATTGTTCCCATTTTACAGATTAGGAAACAGGGAGCATAGAAACCTAAAGGAAGTTACCAATGACCTGTAACTAGTAAATGGTGGGTAGAGAAATAGTGAGAGCCTAAGTAAGGATGTTGATGGTATGAGTACACAGCAGGGGACATGCTCTGGGGACATAACAGTATTGCAAAGATAGTATCCACGGGCTAGGCAATGACCAATTTTTTTTTTTTTTTTTTTTTGAGATGGAGTCTTGCTCTGTTCCCCAGGCTGGAGTGCAGGGGCACGATCTCAGCTCACTGCAACCTCCGCCTCCTGGGTTCAAGCGATTTTCCTGCCTCAGCCTCCGGAGTAGCTGGGATTTCAGGTGTGTGCCATCACGTCCGGCTAATTTTTGTATTTTTAGTAGAGATGAGGTTTCACCATGTTGTTCAGGCTGATCTCGAACTCCTGACCTTGTGATCCGCCTGCCTTGGCCTCCCAAAGTGTTGGGATTGCAGGCGTGAGCCACTGCGCCCAGCCTTGGCGATGACCAATTGTGAGGGGAAAGGGAGAGAGACAAGTTACAGTGGACTCAGAAATTTTGAGGCTGGATGATTTTGGAAAATGTGTCACGATTAATATTTTTTCCAGTCTTGATAATATTAACAATATTAAGAGGCTTTATTGTTTTTGAAAAGAAAAGGAGAATACAAGAAAAGGAGAGAGATATGCGATTGAAAAGGATGTGAGGAGAATAAGAGTTATTAGGTAAAGGGAGGCCATGCTGCCAGCACATTGCTAAGTGTGGGTGTAGGGGGCACAAATGTAGCATCCACTTTGATTTTATTTTCAGAACCATCTGTGCTTCAAGATTTCCTCATATCTCTGCCTGTGCACTCTATGAAGTATAATTTCAAGTGTCTACAAGTTCTTTGCTTCTCCTTTCACTAGGAGACACAGCCTACTTCCCCATTCTTTGGATTTGTGCTGTCCTTGACCAATACATAATGTGGTGGAAGCAATGTTGTACAAGTTCTAAGCCTGCTCCTTGAAAGGTGTGGCGTGTTCCCACTTGCTGCCTTGAAGTGTGGACCTCATGTAAGAAAGCTCAGGCTAGGCTGCTGAAGGAGAACCTGAGGAGTAGAGACAAGCCAGGCTCAGCTGAGTCTCCTGACATGTGAGTGAGGCCATCCCAGACCACTAATCTTCATCTGAGCCAGGCCAAAACAAAAAAAACCACCCAAATTGCTCAGAATCATGAACAAATAAATGATTAGTATTTCAGGCCACCACATTTTGGGGTGGTTTGCTATGTAGCAAAAGCCAACTGATTCACCATGTCACTTGATGGACCTCTGGTCAATATCATCAACTGTGGCTTTCCCAGTCTTATAACAGATCCAAAGAAGTTATTCTGCCATTCCACTGCAAACACTTTGCTTTCCAGTCCTGAAGGGCTTAAATTCATTTCTTCTTATTTTAACAACAGAACAAAATAGCAAGTCTAACTTAGTTTGTCAACTCAATGATTGATCCAGGAAAATTTTTTTTTCCTGAGTTCAATGTTCAGATATCTCTATCACTAACTTATTTTGATAAGAAAGTTACCCATAAGTGATAATTATTATTGCCCAACTCAGTGATTTCCACCTCTAATGAGCATAAGTATACTCTGAGTAACTTGTAAAATGTACATTCTTGGGCCTCATTCTCAGTGATGTGATTTAGTAAGTCAAGGGTGGGGCTCAGGAATCTACACTGATAATAACCCAAGATAGTTATGATACTGGTACTTCACTGATCATACTTTGAAAACATTGGCTTAAATCTTAAAGATTGATTCTGAAATAATCTATTTATTTCTCTTCTCTGACCTTGCTCTTGGATTTGCCCTTCATTACAGGTAATCAGAAACATTTCCTAAAACAGGCCAACTGGTGAATAATTATTGATGTACTAATGCCAACCTCCCACACTTGTGCCATATAAATGCTAGATTTACTCATGTAATTTCCTCTGTTTTCTTTGATATTTGCTATGGTTTGAATATGTCCCCCAAATTTCATGTGTTGGAAATTTAATCCCCAAATTCATATGTTGATTGGAGTGGGATCTTCGGGAGGTAATTAGGATTAGATAAGGTAATCAGGGTAGGGACCTCATGATGAGGCTGGCGGCTTTATAAGAAGAGGAAAAGAGACCTGAGCTGACACGCATGTGCTTGTCCTCTTGCTATATAATGCCCTTCATGATGTTATGATGTAGCGAGAAGGCACCAGATGCAGATGCTATGCTCTCCCTTTTCTTAGTGTGATTCCTAAAAAGTGTGGTTTGGGTGAGAAGGCTTCAAAATGTTTATACAAGACAGAGAGAGGAAAGAGAGAGAGAAAAGTTGAGGTAGATAAGAAAAATATAGGAGAGGATTTATAAAATTATTAAAGGGCAATGTCTACAACTATTATTTCATTTTCTTTCAAGTTTTTAAGTTTTGGTAAAATTTCAAGTTTTCAAGTTTCAGGAAAATTTGTGCAGGAAGAGGCAATTATCTGTTTCAGACTTATTTACTACTTCTGGGGCTCCACATGACTTTGAAAGTGAATTAGAGCCTGAAGAAATGACTTCTCCTTTGTCTGAATTTGCATAGTGCCAGTTTCCATAGTTTATTTCTGACCAATTTCACCATGAGCAACTCAGGAGTGCTGAAGGAAATAGGGTTCATGTAAAAACAGACAGTGTTGGGGATCTTTAGGAGAGTGACTAATTTTCCCTGTGCCCCCACCAGGATTTTTTTTTTTTTTTAGACAGTGTTTCACTCTAGTTGCCCAGGCTGGACTGCAATAGCGCGATCTCGGCTCACCGCACCCTTGGCCTCCCGGTTTCAAGCGATTCTCCTGCCTCAGCCTCCTGAGTAGCTGGGATTATAGGCATGTGCCACCACATCCGGCTAATTTTGTATTATTAGTAGAGATGGGGTTTCTCCATGTTGGTCAGGCTGGTCTCGGGCTCCCGATCTCAGGTGATCCTCCCACCTTGGCCTCCGAAAGTGCTAGGATTACAGGCGTGAGCCACAGTGCCCAGCCCAGGACCCTTTAAATTCATCTTTTGACTCATTTCACCACCTGGTCAACATATAGAACTTTACTTTCATTGACAATTCTTGAGGTTTTAATGGTTTCTGTTGGCAGTGTTAGGCAAAGTTTGAATGAAAGCAACAAAAGTAAGAAATGCATTATATGGGGGAGATGCCCTGATTTTTCTCTGATTGTGGTAGAAGGATCAGAAAGTGTGGGCGAAAATGGGGAGGAATGAAAGAGGAGCTGATCTGAGTCACAGTTTCTCCTGCCATGTCAAATCATATCCAAACTATTTTTAGACGATTTCAAAATAACTGGTGATCTTAGTTAATTCAAATATCCATTCAATTTTGTGAAATGAAAATCAATCAGCCTGATTGTTTGACAGAGGTGGCCTGTCAATTTGACTAAAGTCATGGTTTTTCAACCTGAAGTGGTGGGTTTGGGGGATAGGAAGGAACTCCAATTCAGAAACTACCAGGACATTTTTTTTTTCTTTCAAAATGCATATACCAGGGCCCCTTTCCTCAGTTTGATTTCACGCTTGGGGTTCTGAAAAAGCATCTAGGTCATTCTGAGAGGCCCCTCAACCCTAACTGAGAACCTTCTAGTTAAAATAGTCACATTCAGGCAATTTGAAAGACCTGAAATATCTCCCTGGCCTCAGCAGTTTTAATAACAAAGGAGTGAATTGGTGGTTGATTTTCTAAAAGAGAAAATCTAAACAGTCCTATGCTTATTCTAAATGATTGGAAGGATGATTTCTTTCTGGAGGGCATGGGAGATGGTGCTTCTGTTTACGTTTTAGGAACTCAATGACGATGACACCACAAACATGAACCTTTATTTCACTGGAATTGATCGTTCTCTTCTGCTCTGCACTACACTACACTGTAGCTGCTCTCAGGCTGGCTCTGACAGTGAGGGGCTTTCTCTTTTGAATGTTTGTTTTATGATCTAAAACCCAGCCTCACCCACAGAATAGCTAAGTCCCTCGCATGACAAGGCTGTGTGCCATCCGGGGATTTACTAATGGCTAAGCCGCATTATGAACATAGATTTATGATCACCTTCCCAGTCAATTAAAATTCCAGATATTACTAAGGCAGAATTCAATTAAGGTTAATTGGGGCTTCTGAAAACTTCTTTTCCAAAGGGAAACCATGATGGGATTGTGACTCCTGGTGGGTTTTATCAGTTTTAAATAACTTTCTGTGCCTTTTTTTTTTCTTGGCACAAGACACTTCCTCTCCTGACTGCAGGCTCCTGCTATTATCATTCGATTCAGATGTTGATTTTTCTGTCATAAGTTATCATTGTGACTTACTTGGTTTTGCTTTGTCTTTTTCTTAAAAAAAGAGAAAAAAACCTAAAACAAAAAACAAAACAAAACTCCCAAGGCTCGCAGCAGACCAGAACCCTAACAAAACCGCAACCCGTGCTGCCCGGAAATCACAGTCGTCTGACATGAAGGAAATATTGTCATTTGGAAGATTGTGACAACGTTTCAGAAGCAATTATCCAAACTGGAAAAATAACCCATTCCTTTTCTTTTGTCATTAAGGTGGATGAAAAGGTTCGCAAACATTGTCAACCAGGGGGAAAAAAACAGGTGCAGACCAGAATTACAATGCAAGTCAGGCTCTCCATTCTACCCTAAATTTTATTTTCTTGTCGTCAAGGGCTATTGTGACAGTTCTTAGCACAGTTGATTGAACTGGGAAAACACATGGGACGAGGCCTTAGTCACCGAATGCAGAACGTGCAATCCGTAGCTCGCAGAGCAATCTGGAGCAAGGAGTGAATAATAATTTCAGCAGTTTATTTTCTCAGAATTTCCCACCTATTGTTCATCACTGGAGACTAATAACAAAAAGCTAAGGAGAAATTTTCTTTTTGAAAATAAGAAATGATAAGTGTGTGTGCATAGGAGAGAGACTGCAACTGCTCAGATGTTCTGTTGTTCTTCCAAGGAGCAGAGCTAGGCATTTGCTGCGGGCAGATAGGAGCCCTCGTCAGAGGCTGCTTTTTCTTCAATTAGCACTCATTCCCTGTTTCACACACCTGGGCCTATCACTGTACAATGGTTTGGCACCCCGTGAGGCACAATGGTTTGCCACTGCATGAGGCCATCATCCATCTGGTAGCAGAGTCCACGACTGAACACCCATACTGGGCGCACTTTCCCACAGAGAGTGGCTTTGGCAATGGCCTTGCTTCCATGAGAACAGAGGAAGGATTTCCATAAGGCCAATCATAAGGCTGCTGATTCACATCATATCCTTTCTTTTTGCATTTTCAGCAGGTGGTAAAACAGTGCTGAGGGCAGGTTGTGAAATGTGAAGGTTTTTTTTTTTTTTTTTTTTTTTTTTTTTTTTTTTTTTTTTGACGGAGTCTCACTCTGTTGCCCAGGTTGGAGTACAATGTTGTGATCTCAGCTCACTGCAACCTCCCCCTTCCCGGGTTCAAGTGATTCTCCCGCCTCAGCCTCCCAAGTAACTGGGATTACAGGCGTGTGCTACCACACCCGGCTAATTTTTGTATTTTTAGTAGAGACAGGAGTTTCTCCATGTTGGTCAGGCTGGTCTCGAACTCCTGATCTCAGGTGATCTGCACTGCCTCTGCCTCCCAAAGTGCTGGGATTACAGGCGTGAGCCACTGCACCGGGCCCATGTGAAGTTATTTACATGTCTGGTATTATGTGGCAATTAACAGGTCTATGTAGCATCTCATGTTTTAAATGAACTTCCTTCCAGTGTGTCTTTTATTTGTATGTGAGGGTCGCATTTAGATGGCTTCTGCCCCACTGCAAGAAGTAGGCACATTAGAGCTGTTTTCTGGGGACGCTTTTTATCTCATTAGCACAGTGCTCCTATCCTTTGCTTTCACCTATAGATACAGAGACTCCAGGAATGAAGGCCTAACTGCACTGGTAACTACTCACATACTATCTTTGCCAATTTCCTGTTTCCTCTCTTTTTAAAGACCTACTGGAAAAGAAGGGAATAGAAAAAGAGAGATTCTAAAATTATATAGCAGTTAAGGGGAAAAGTTTCTGTAATCAGAGATCTGGGGTGTAATTATATGATAGCCAGAAGAAAGAAACATGCAGAAGGAATAAGTCTCTGGAGTATGATTACTAATGAATTCTCTCTATTCCTTATGGGAAAGAGCCACATTTGTAAAATTAAAAGTCAATGCCTCTTTGATGAGAGGATTTGCAGGCTCTGCTGTCCTTTTTTTCAAATACTGTGTGCTTGGAAAGAAGAGTGAGGAAGTTAAACCTCTAGTCAAGGGCGTTTGAGCAGAGCAGGCAGCTTGCTTTTTCCCTCTCCTATTTCAAGACTATGTGAGACTTTTTCTGAAAGAGCTTGATAGGTGTTATGTGCATGGCTGTTTTGAGGAATACAGCCTTGTCTATACAACATTAACATACTCAGTCAATTCAGAGGAGAACAATAGTTTAGTTATATCAGTCTTTTGGCATTGTGCAGCCAAAGCAAGTGGTTGGCTGGATTTTTCAGTTTTTATTGTATTTGGGGGTCACGTTGAGTTTGTGGGTATGCGCACCAGCTTATGTGACATGCAGGGGTAGCAACCACAAAATGGCACACTGCCTGAGGCCATTGTCTATCTGGTGGCAGAGTCCACTACTGAAAAACACATAATTTGAGAGGAGCTCAAGAAACATCTACTTCATCAATCTGCAAAGTTGCCTGAAATTCAACCATTGCAGTGACTACTTTGGGTCTCATAAAAATGCCACCAATTAGCAGCTACATTAGCAAACCAGAAGCAGGACCTGGGTAGGGAGTAGATGGGATGGACAGTTGTTTGCAGTGGTCAGTCCATACAGGCTGAAGAGAGCCCGTTATTAAATTTTCAGGAAATTCAGGAGCTGGTTGTTAAACATAGCTATTGTTATTAAGAATTAAATTATATAAATTTATAATTAAATTATATTGGAAACAAAGTTTAGTAAATATTGAAAGCTCATCATTTCCTATTAATGTTACACATTTTATGATGGTCTGTGCCTCGAGGCTGTTTATGACTATTGTACTGTGCGGTAGAAATGCCACTGTACATTTTTTCCTCCCTCTGCCTTCAGTGATGTCACACTGGTAGCTTGAAATTAGCCATGAGAGCATTTGCATCATGGAAATGGCAAATCCTACAAATCAGGGCTGTATTGTTTTTTGGAGAACGGCTTGTAGAACATTTACCAGAAAAACCCTGGGTTTCTGTATGGAGTGGTGGTAGTGGTGGTGGGGGTATAAGGACCTGTGTACTGGATAAGCAAATGAGTTTATTTTTAAGTTGAGGAGTTATCTTAGTTTGGGCTGCTATAACAAAATATCATAGAGTGGGTGACGTAAACAACACAATTTTTTTTTTTTTTGCTTTTTTTTTTTTGAGACGGAGTCTCACTCTGTTGCCCAGGCTGGAGTGCAGTGGCAAGATCTCGGCTCACTGCAACTTCCACCTCCCGGGTTCAAGCAATTCTCCTGCCTCAGCCTCCCGAGTTGCTGGGACTACAGGCGTGTGCCACCATGCCCAGCTAATTTTTTGTATTTTTTAGTAGAGATGGGGTTTCACCGTGTTGGCCAGGCTGGTTTCGAACTCCTGACCTCGTGATCTGCCCGCCTCGGCCTCCCAAAGTGCTGGGATTACAGGTGTGAGCCACCGTGCCCAGCCAACAACACACTTTATCTCTTACAGTTCTGGAGACTGGAATCCGAAATCAGGATGCCAGCGTCATAGGGTTCTGGTGAGGGCCCTCTTCCTGACTTCCTCACACGGCGGGGAGAGAAAGGGATGACACAAGCTCTCTTCAGTGTTTTCTTATATGGGCACTAGTTGCATCCGGAGGGTTCTACCCTCATAAATTACCTCCAAAGCTTCTATCTCCAAATGCCATCACATTGGGGATTAGGATTTCAACATATGACTTTTGTGTGACACAAACATTTAGCCCATAGCCGAGAGGAAATAAAACAGTAGTTTTCAGGTGATGGGGGACCCTGGGTTTCTCTGTAGGAGAAGGAATGCTGTCCAAGGATGGGAGGATTTGGAATAAACTCCCCACACTTTGCAGTTCTGTCTAGGGCAGGCTGAGGCCCTCTCCTCTGCTTTCTTTCCCCTGATTGGACCACTTCACATCAGCATTGGCCAATGGCCTTTCCTAGTCCTTAACTGTGATACTCCCTAGGGAAAACTTCTGAAAGACCATGGAATCTGTTCACAGGTTATGTACGCATGGACTGAATGTTTTTGCCTCTCCAAAATTCAAGAAATTCCAATCCCCAATGCAATGGTATTTGGAGTTGGGGCCTGTATTAGGCCATTCTTGCACTGCTGTGAAGAAATACCTGAGATTGCCTGTTTAGAGGGGGAGGAGCCAAGATGGCCAAATAGGAACAGCTCCGGTCTACAGCTCCCAGTGTGAGCGACACAGAAGACGGGTGATTTCTGCATTTCCATCTGAGGAACCAGGTTCATCTCACTAGGGAGTGCCAGACAGTGGGCGCAGGACAGTTGGTGCAGTGCACCATGCGCGAGCCGAAGCAGGGCAAGGCATTGCCTCACTTGGGAAGCGCAAGGGGTCAGGCAGTTCCCTTTCCTAGTCAAAGAAAGGGGTGACAGACGGCACCTGGAAAATTGGGTAACTCCCACCCGAACACTGCGCTTTTCCGACAGGCTTAAAAAAATGGCGCACCAGGAGATTATATCCCACACCTGGCTCGGAGGGTCCTACACCCACGGAGTCTCACTGATTGCTAGCACAGCAGTGTGAGATCAAACTGCAAGGCGACAGTGAGGCTGGGGGAGGGGCACCCGCCATTGCCCAGGCTTGCTTAGGTAAACAAAGCAGCCAGGAAGCTCGAACTGGGTGGAGCCCACCACAGCTCAAGGAGGCCTGCCTGCCTCTGTAGGCTCCACCTCTGGGGGCAGGGCACAGACAAACAAAAAGACAGCAGTAACCTCTGCAGACTTAAATGTCCCTGTCTGACAGCTTTGAAGAGAGCAGTGGTTCTACCAGCATGCAGCTGGAGATCTGAGAACAGGCAGACTGCCTCCTCAAGTGGGTCCCTGACCCCTGACCCCCGAGCAGCCTAACTGGGAGGCACCCCCCCCAGTAGGGGCAGACTGACACCTCACACGGCCGAGTACTCCTCTGAGACAAAACTTCCAGAGGAACGATCAGAGAGCAGCATTTGGGGTTCACGAAAATCCACTGTTCTGCAGACACCGCTGCTGATACCCAGGCAAACAGGGTCTGGAGTGGACCTCTAGCAAACTCCAACAGACCTGCAGCTGAGGGTCCTGTCTGTTAGGAGGCAAACTAACAAACAGAAAGGACATCCACACCAAAAACCCATCTGTACATCACCATCATCAAAGACCAAAAGTAGATAAAACCACAAAGATGGGGAAAAAACAGAGCAGAAAAACTGGAAACTCTAAAAAACAGAGCGTCTCTCCTCCTCCAAAGGAACGCAGTTCCTCACCTGCAACGGAACAAAGCTGGATGGAGAATGACTTTGACGAGTTGAGAGAAGAAGGCTTCAGACAATCAAACTACTCCGAGCTACAGGAGGAAATTCAAACCAAAGGCAAAGAAGTTGAAAACTTTGAAAAAAATTTAGACGAATGTATAACTAGAATAACCAATACAGAGAAGTGCTTAAAGGAGCTGATGGAGCTGAAAACCAAGGCTCGAGAACTACGTGAAGAATGCAGAAGCCTCAGGAGCCAATGCGATCAACTGGAAGAAAGGGTATCAGTGATGGAAGATGAAATGAATGAAATGAAGCGAGAAGGGAAATTTAGAGAAAAAAGAATAAAAAGAAATGAACAAAGCCTCCAAGAAATATGGGACTATGTGAAAAGACCAAATCTACGACTGATTGGTGTACCTGAAAGTGACGGGGAGAATGGAACCAAGTTGGAAAACCCTCTGCAGGATATTATCCAGGAGAACTTCCCCAATCTAGAAAGGGAGGCCAACATTCAGATTCAGGAAATACAGAGAACACCACAAAGATACTCCTCGAGAAGAGCAACTCCAAGACACATAATTGTCAGATTCACCAAAGTTGAAATGAAGGAAAAAATGTTAAGGGCAGCCAGAGAGAAAGGTCAGGTTACCCACAAAGGGAAGCCCATCAGACTAACAGCGGATCTCTTGGAAGAAACTCTACAAGCCAGAAGAGAGTGGGGGCCAATATTCAACATTCTTAAAGAAAAGAATTTTCAACCCAGAATTTCATATCCAGCCAAACTAAGCTTCATAAGTGAAGGAGAAATAAAATACTTTACAGACAAGCAAATGCTGAGAGATTTTGTCACCACCAGGCCTGCCCTAAAAGAGCTCCTGAAGGAAGCACTAAACATGGAAAGGAACAACCGGTACCAGCCGCTGCAAAATCATGCCAAAGTGTAAAGACCATCGATGCTAGGAAGAAATTGCATCAACTAACGAGCAAAATAACCAGCTAACATCATAATGACAGGATCAAATTCACACATAACACTATTAACTTTACATGTAAATGGACTAAATGCTCCAATTAAAAGACACAGACTGGCAAATTGGATAAAGAGTCAAGACCCACCAGTGTGCTGTATTCAGGAAACCCATCTCATGTGCAGAGACACACATAGGCTCAAAATAAAAGGATGGAGGAAGATCTACCAAGCAAATGGAAAACAAAAAAAGGCAGGGGTTGCAATCCTAGTCTCTGATAAAACAGACTTTAAACCAACAAAGATCAAAAGAGACAAAGAAGGCCATTACATAATGGTAAAAGGATCAATTCAACAAGAAGAGCTAACTATCCTAAATATATATGCACCCAATACAGGAGCGCCCAGATTCATAAAGCAAGTCCTGAGTGACCTACAAAGAGACTTAGACTCCCACACAATAATGATGGGAGACTTTAACACCCCACTGTCAACATTAGACAGATCAACGAGACAGAAAGTCAACAAGGATACCCAGGAATTGAACTCAGCTCTGCACCAAGCGGACCTAATAGACATCTACAGAACTCTCCACCACAAATCAACAGAATATACATTTTTTTCAACACCACACCACACCTATTCCAAAATTGACCACATACTTGGAAGTAAAGCTCTCCTCAGCAAATGTAAAAGAACAGAAGTTATAACAAACTGTCTCTCAGACCACAGTGCAATCAAACTAGAACTCAGGATTAAGAAACTCACTCAAAACCGCTCAACTACATGGAAACTGAACAACCTGCTCCTGAATGACTACTGGGTACATAACGAAATGAAGGCAGAAATAAAGATGTTCTTTGAAACCAACAAGAACAAAGACACAACATACCAGAATCTCTGGGACACATTCAAAGCCGTGTGTAGAGGGAAATTTATGGCACTAAATGCCCACAAGAGAAAGCAGGAAAGATCCAAAATTCACACCCTAACATCACAATTAAAGGAACTAGAAAAGCAAGAGCAAACACATTCAAAAGCTGGCAGAAGGCAAGAAATAACTAAAATCAGAGCAGAACTGAAGGAAATAGAGACACAAAAAACCCTTCAAAAAATTAATGAATCCAGGAGCTGGTTTTTTTGAAGGGATCAACAAAATTGATAGACCACTAGCAAGACTAATAAAGAAGAAAAGAGAGAAGAATCAAATAGATGCAATAAAAAATGATAAAGGGGATATCACCACCGATCCCACAGAAATACAAACTACCATCAGAGAATACTACAAACACCTCTATGCAAATAAACTAGAAAATCTAGAAGAAATGGATAAATTCCTCGACACATACACCCTCCCAAGACTAAACCAGGAAGAAGTTGAATCTCTGAATAGACCAATAACAGGATCTGAAATTGTGGCAATAATCAATAGCTTACCAACCAAAAAGAGTCCAGGACCAGATGGATTCACAGCTGAATTCTACCAGAGGTACAAGGAGGAACTGGTACCATTCCTTCTGAAACTATTCCAATGAATAGAAAAAGAGGGAATCCTCCCTAACTCATTTTATGAGGCCAGCATCATCCTGATACCAAAGCCGGGCAGAGACACAACCAAAAAAGAGAATTTTAGACCAATATCTTTGATGAACATTGATGCAAAAATCCCCAATAAAATACTGGCAAACCAAATGCAGCAGCACATCAAAAAGCTTATCCACCATGATCAAGTGGGCTTCATCCCTGGGATGCAAGTCTGGTTCAATATATGCAAATCAATAAATGTAATCCAGCATATAAACAGAACCAAAGACAAAAACCACATGATTATCTCAATAGATGCAGAAAAGGCCTTTGACAGAATTCAACAACCTTCATGCTAAAAACTCTCAATAAATTAGGTATTGATGGGACGTATCTCAAAATAATAAGAGCTATCTATGACAAACCCACAGCCAATATCATACTGAATGGGCAAAAACTGGAAGCATTCCCTTTGAAAACTGGCACAAGACAGGGATGCTCTCTCTCACCACTCCTATTCAACATAGAGTTGGAAGTTCTGGCCAGGGCAATTAGGCAGGAGAAGGAAATAAAGGGTATTCAATTAAGAAAAGAGGAAGTCAAGTTGTCCCTGTTTGCAGATGACATGATTGTATATCTAGAATACTCCATTGTCTCAGCCCAAAATCTCCTTAAGCTGATAAGCAACTTCAGCAAAGTCTCAGGATACAAAATCAGTGTACAAAAATCACAAGCATTCCTATACACAAATAACAGACAGAGAGCCAAATCATGAGTGAACTCCCATTCACAATTGCTTCAAAGAGAATAAAATACCTAGGAATCCAACTTACAAGGGACATGAAGGACCTCTTCAAGAAGAACTATAAACCACTGCTCAATGAAATAAAAGAGGATATGAACAAATGGAAGAACATTCCATGCTCATGGGTAGGAAGAATCAATATCGTGAAAATGGCCATACTGCCCAAGGTAATTTATAGATTCAATGCCATCCCCATCAAGCTACCAATGACTTTCTTCACAGAATTGGAAAAAACTACTTTAAAGTTCATATGGAACCAAAAAAGAGCCCGCATCTCCAAGTCAATCCTAAGCCAAAAGAACAAAGCTGGAGGCATCACGCTACCTGACTTCAAACTATACTACATGGCTACGGTAACCAAAACAGCATGGTACTGGTACCAAAACAGAGATATAGATCAATGGAACAGAACAGAGCCCTCAGAAATAATGCCGCATATCTACAACTATCTGATCTTTGACAAACCTGAGAAAAACAAGCAATGGGGAAAGGATTCCCTATTTAATAAATGGTGCTGGGAAAACTGGCTAGCCATATGTAGAAAGCTGAAACTGGATCCCTTCCTTACACCTTATACAAAAATTAATTCAAGATGGATTAAAGACTTAAACGTTAGACCTGAAACCATAAAAACCCTAGAAGAAAACCTAGGCATTACCATTCAGGACATAGGCATGGGCAAGGACTTCATGTCTAAAACACCAAAAGCAATGGCAACAAAAGCCAAAATTGACAAATGGGACCTAATTAAACTAAAGAGCTTCTGCACAGCAAAAGAAACTACCATCAGAGTGAACAGGCAGCCTACAAAATGGGAGAACATTTTTGCAACCTACTCATCTGACAAGGGCTAATATCCAGAATCTACAATGAACTCAAACAAATTTACAAGAAAAAAACAAACAACCCCATCAAAAAGTGGGCAAAGGACATGAACAGCCACTTCTCAAAAGAAGACATTTATGCAGCCAAAAAACACATGAAAAAATGCTCATCATCACTGGCCATCAGAGAAATGCAAATCAAAACCACTATGAGATATCATCTCACACCAGTTAGAATGGCAATCATTAAAAAGTCAGGAAACAACAGGTGCTGGAGAGGATGTGGAGAAATAGGAACACTTTTACACTGTTGGTGGGACTGTAAACTAGTTCAACCATTGTGGAAGTCAGTGTGGCGATTCCTCAGGGATCTAGAACTAGAAATACCATTTGACCCATCCATCCCATTACTGGGTATATACCCAAAGGACTATAAATCATGCTGCTATAAAGACACATGCACACATATGTTTATTGCAGCACTATTCACAATAGCAAAGACTTGGAACCAACCCAAATGTCCAACAATGATAGACTGGATTAAGAAAATGTGGCACATATATACCATGGAATACTATGCAGCCATAAAAAATGATGAGTTCATGTCCTTTGTAGGGACATGGATGAAACTGGAAATCATCATTCTCAGTAAACTATTGCAAGGACAAAAAAACCAAACACTGCATGTTCTCACTCATAGGTGGGAATTGAACAATGAGAACACATGGACACAGGAAGGGGAACATCACACTGTGGGGACTGTTGTGGGGTGGGGGGAGGGGGGAGGGATAGCATTAGGAGATATACCTAATGCTAAGTGACGAGTTAATGGGTGCAGCGCACCAGCATGGCACATGTATACATATGTAACTAACCTGCACATTGTGCACATGTACCCTAAAACTTAAAGTATAATAATAATAATAAAAAGATATTTTCAAAAAAAAAAAAAAGAAATACCTGAGATTGGGTAATTTATAAGAAGAGAGGTTTAATTGGCTCATGGTTCTGTGGGCTGTACAGGAAGCCGTTGCTTATCCAGTACATGGGTTTTTATACCACCAGCAGTACCACCACCACCAGCACCACAGGCATCTGCTTGGCTTCTGGTGAGGCCTCAGGAAACTTACAGTTATGGCAGAAGGCAAAGGGGGAGTGAAGTGTCTCACATGGTAGGAGTAGGAGCAGGAGCAGGAGAGAGATAGAGAGAGAGGAGGGAGGTGCTACACATTTTTAAACAACCAGGTCTTTCAAGAACTCGCCACTATCCTGAGAACAGCACCAAGAGGATGGTGCTAAACCATTCACGAAAAATCTGCCCCCATACTTGAGTCACCTCCCACCAGGCCCCACCTCCAACATTGGAGATGACTATTTGACATGAGATTTGGGTGAGGACACTGATCCAAACCATATCAGGGCCTTTGGGAGGTAATTAGATAATTAGAATAGAGCCTCCATGATGGGATTATCCCTTAGAAATGGAAGCAACATGAGATCCCCCTTTCTCTCTCTCCACGAGCACACACCAAGCAAGGAAAGGCTATATGAGCACACATTGAGGAGGTGGGGCTGTCTAAGCCAGGAAAAGAGCCCTCACCAGACAGAGTCTACTGGTGCCTTGATCTTGGACTTCCCAGCCTTCAGAACTGTGAGAAATAGATGTCTATTTTTTTAATTTATTTTTATTTTTTGAGACAGAGTTTCACTCTGTCGCCCAGGTTGGAGTGCACTAGCGTGATCTCGGCTCACCGCAGCCTCCACCTCCCGGGTTCAAGCAATTCTTCTGCCTCAGCGTCCTGAGTAGCTGGGCTTACAGGCACCTGCCACCATGCCTGGGTAATTTTTTGTATTTTTAGTAGAGCTGGGGTTTCACCATTTTGGCCAGGCTGGTCTCAAACTCCTGACCTCAAGTGATCTGCCCACCTCTGCCTACCAAAGTGCTGGGATTACAGGAGTGAGCCACAGCACGCAGCCAGATGTCTATTGTTTAAGCCACCCAATCTATGATATTTTGTGATAGCAGCCTGAGCTAAGACAGGTTATAAGCATAATTTAGTACAAATGAATGAGGGGCATGAATTCAAGGTATTTGCCTACACACAATGAAAGACACATGTGAGGATTCCAGGGTGCATTGTGCCCCCAACCCCTTGTATAATATTTCAGAATGATAATGGGGAAGACACTTTTCTGGGAACCAGGAGGCCCTTGCCCTGAAGTCAGGTTCTGAATTTCCAGCTGAGAAATCCTGGGTGGGGAACAAACGGAATCTCTGTGTACTCATATGTAAAATGACATGCTCATCATGATGTTGTGAGAATCAAAAGGGAAGGTTGTTTGAAAATTATAAGACATTGTGCAAATGTAGTCCAGGTGGTACTTTCGTTATTGTTATTTGTTTGTTTATTTTTCATCCTAACCCTCAAAACCGGTGAAACCAGGGGGTAGTTTTTGTTTTTTTTGTTTTTTTTTTTTAGAGATGGGATCTCATTCTGTTGCCCAGGCTGAAGCAGTGGCACAATCATTGCTCACTACATCCTTAAACTCCTGGGCTCAAGCAATCCTCCCACCTCAGCCTCCTGAGTAGTTGGTAAATACAGGCACACACCACCACACCTAATTTTTAAAAAATTTAAAAAACATTTTGTAGAGATTGGAGTCTCTTTATATGGCCTACACTGGTCTTGAACTCCTGGGCTCAAGTGATCCTCCCGCTTTGGCCTCCCAATGTGCTGGGATTATAGGGGTGAGCCATTGTGCCAGCCTAGGAGGTAGTTTTATTTTTATTTTATTTTATTTTATTTCATTTTTGAGATGGAGTTTCGCTCTTGTTGCCCAGGCTGGAGTGCAATGGCCTGATCTCAGCTCACCACAACCTCTGCCTCCTGGGTTGAAGCAATTCTCCTGCCTCAGCCTCCTGAGTAGCTGGGGTTAAAGGCATGTACCACCACGCCTGGCTAATTTTTGTGTTTTTAGTAGAGACAGGGTTTCTCCATGTTGGTCAGGCTGGTCTTGAACTCCCTACCTTAGGTGATCCGCCCGCCTTGGCCTCCCAAAGTGCTGGGATTACAGGCATGAGCCACCATGCCCGACCCCTAGGAGGTAGTTTTAAATTCATAGGTCCAGCACTTTGGGAGGCCAAGGTGGGCAGATCACCTGAGGTCAGGAATTCGAGACCAGGCTGGCCAACATGGTGAAACCCCTTCTCTACTAAAAATATAAAAAATTAGCCAGGTGTGGTGGCGGGCACCTGTAGTCCCAGATACTTGGGAAGCTGAGGCAGAATTGCTTGAATCCAGGAGACGGAGGTTGCAGTGAGCTGAGATTGCGCCACTGCACTCTAGTCTGGGCAACAGAGCAAGGCTCTGTCAAAAAAAAAAAAAAATTCATAGGTCCAGGAACAAAGGAGATTTTATACATATGCGGAACCCACTGTACCTTCTTCTCCTGCTAGAAAAAGCCCTATCTGTAATGAATATATGTGAATCAGAACATTTCTAGTATTTGATTTTTCTCATTGAACTCTCTTATTTTGTTTTGGTTTTCTTTCTTCCCTTCTTTCTCTCTCCCTATATGTCTGTCTCAGGTCTTTTTCTTCCCCTGTCTTATTTCTATAACTACTCATATTATAGAATTAGAGTATTTTGAGTTTTTCTCTTGTATCAATATCACCTTTTATTATTTTCTTACTAAAACTTCCCCTCCTCCTGAAGTTAGGTGCATTTTTGTACTGTGGGACCCTTGATGATTTTTCCGACTCAGTGGTCCTAATATTCCTTGCTCTGAGGATAAGACGTGGAAATTGCTATTGGAACTCTCCTAAGGCCAGGCAAGTTGATGCTTGCAAAAGTGGCACAATGGAGGCTTAGAATCCTACCTTTCCTTGAAAGAAGGACAGCAATTAACGTTGGCAGTGGAGCAGAACTCACTTGAATTTGCACTTGTAAATCTGCACCTCTTCTTAAGCAAATATGATAGGAAGAATCCAGATTTTCATCAAAAATAAATTAAAAATGGAGCCCTCACGTTATAAAAGAATTCGCGGGGAGATTTCCTTAGTGAGAAACTCTTCCTTAATGTACTTAAACCATGTTTTGATTCGCATGAATTCATTACTGATAGGCTTTTTCTAGTAGCATGCTGGCTGAATACATGAGGCACAACAAGGATAAACTACAGGGGCAGCTCACATTTTCAGTAAGTTTATTAACCAGTATTTTGTATGGCATTTTACTGCTTTTTAAGTTTCTTTTTTAAAGGGGGAAGTCAAGCCCAGGTGAGCCTGTTGTTTTGCTTCTGCCCATTTGGGTTTAAAACACAATCTGTTTATTTGGGCCCTTGGCTCTGTTCGGTTTTCACTTTAAGCAGGGATTTTGGTTTCTGTGATGTGTGGAGGGAGAAAGTAGGTCACTAATGAAATGCTTCATGCAATGAATAAATGATCTGCCATCCGAACAGCACACAAAAGATGTTTACCAAGGGGACCGTCCAGACCTAGAGAATGAGTAGCAAAGCCAACTGGGGAGGCTTCCCAGGAATCGACCAGGATGTCATTCTGAGTACCAACACCGGCCCAGGCGGGATCTCTGAACTGCAGGAACTCTGGTCTGGTGGCAAATTCGAATTTCATGTCCCAAAGGCACCATCTTCTGTGGGGCAGAGTTTGCCAGAGGTTACTGGGGGCAAAAACAGCTGTCAGAGCTGTTTTTCCAGATTTGTGTTCACAAGGCTTCATCTGTAGTATTTTCTGCTAACTTCTGGGATATTGGACTCCAAGGAGAGGAGGCAGATTGAAGTGAGCCATAGAATGACAGAAAGTCCTTTCTCTGGAGACCATAATCCCCCTTGAAGAAGATATTCTGCATTGATTGTGGTACTACCTGTATTCGTCTCCTGTAACCAATTGTCAGAAACTGGGCGGCTTAAAATAACAGAAATGTATTCTTGTGCCATTCTGGGAGCCAGAGTTTGAAATCAGTTTCACTGGTGTGAAGTCAAGGTTTTGGCAGAGCCGCGCCCCTCTGGAGGAGCCAGGGGAGAATCTGTTCCTTGCCCCTTCTAGCTCCTGGTGGGTGCCTGAAGCAGCCACATTGCCTTCTCTTCTGTCTGTGTCAAATCTCCCTTTGTCTCTTTCTTATAAGGATACTTGTGATGGCATTTAGGGCCCACAGAGATAATCCAGGATAATCTCCCCATTTGAAGATCCTTAATCATATCTGCAAAGTTTTTGCCAAATACACTAACATTTGCTAGTTCCAGGAATGAGGATTTGATATCTTTGCGGCCATTCTTTAGCCTACTACACTCCCTCTCTTAATTTTTTCAGCAATACCGTGTTTCAGTGTTAGTGTAGCTCTAATTGTTTGTAATTATTGAGTGGCATTGGAAAGCTCTTCCATGGACTTCCTGCCAACTAAGGGCTCTCTGGCCTTGCATCATCCCAAAGAGGATGGGGGAATAAGATACAATACCCTGGTAGGGAGGAGCATTTTAACACAGACATTGCTTCCCATTGCCTGTGCATGATGATAATAAAAAGCAGAACTGCTGAGTCTGTTTTATTGTTGAAAAATTTTCTAATGACAATGTACTCCTCATTTCCTGCACCCAGGGCTGACCACTCTCATATTTCCCATCTTGGTACTCCACTGCTCTGGCCAGCATCCTGATTTACTGATCATAGTAGACCCGGAGAGGTGAGAAGGCTCGCCCTCAGTCACAGAGGTAGATACAGTATTGAGACCAGCACTCATGACTTCTCATAGCCTAGGGCTGCGTTCTCACCGTTTGTGTCCCTCCTCATACCTCTGACTGGTTCCCTTCTCACCAAGCTATGAAAGCTCCAGAGGTTCAGCCTGACCCTCAGGCTCTTCTTCTGAGCAGTTATCTTCTGCTTCTCCCTGGGGCCTTTTTCTCCTTCCCAATCTAAGTCTGGTTTTTGGGTTATATTTTATTTTTCTGGCTTTCTCATTTCCTGCAGCTCATAAAACATCATGTTTAAGGACTCCAGTGCTGCTCACAATGGGGAAAGAGAATGAGGAAAACAATCAGCCACAGGGATGTAGCAAATATTCCAGACACCATACAACATTCTTAAGGCAGCGAGTCATCATCCATAGTCCTGTCTTCCCTCTCCTAAAGTGTGTGGGAAATTCCTCGACACGTTCCTGGATTCCTTGTTTTATGTGGCCAGTTCTCGCTCTCCAGGTCTGATTAGGCTGGATGCTAGACTAGACTGTGTGGAGTGACGGGGCTCATTGATCCTTCTCATCTTCCTCTCTCATCTTTCTGCGTATGGGGTACTTAAGGTTCATCCTCAGGTTCGCTAAGACTCCTCTTGGGAACTGCTCTACACAATTGCTTGTGCAGGGTGTGCGTTCCTCTCTCTTTACATCCACACCCACATGAAGTCCCTGAAAACATTTGCATAGAGCGCAGAGCCAGGCAGAGGCTATTTGCACCATACCCTAAACCCCAATATAGTTGCCAGCTAGCTCAAGTAGAATACTTACTCACTCACTTTCCCTAGGCTAGAGACAACCCTCCGTGTCCTTCAGCGCTAAAAGGCCAAGTGACCTTCATCACCTTTTTGCCCTTCATTCTGTGTGCTCTCCTGTCCCCTTCCCCTTCCCAGACCATTCTTTCTTTTTTTCTTTTTCTTTTTTCTTTTTTGAGATGGAGTTTCACTCTTGTTGCCCAGGCTGGAGTGCAGTGATGTGATCTCAGCTCACTGCAACCTCAGCCTCCCAGCTTCAAGCGATTCTCCTGCCTCAGCCTCTGGCACAGCTGGGATTACAGGCATGCACCACCATGCCTGGCTAATTTTTGTATTTTTGGTAGAGATGGGGTTTCACCATGTTGGCCAGGCTGGTCTCGAACTCCCGACCTCAGGTGATCCACCTGCTTCGACCTCCCAAAGTTCTGGGATTACAGGCATGAGCCACCGTGCCCGGCCTCCAGACCATCCTTATAGGGCAGGAGCAGCTCCCAGGAGGAGACACCCCCAGGCTGTCTTCCTTCTAAGATGTGAGTGAATCAAAAAAGAAACTAGCCGTATTTATTGCCCAACTGAAAGTTCCATGCCATAGCCCCCAAGGACTACTTGGATTCATCCTCCTGAAAATGGTGGAGAGGAGCCCCATGCCACCCTCGCAGGCCATCTTTCTGTAATGTTTTCCCAAGTACCTTTCTCTCCTGTGGTGATCTTGCAGGCTCAGTCCAGATAATCATTTTTCTTTCTCTCCTGGAGAAGTTTGACATTTTCTACATTGACCTACAGATCTTTTAAGATTTCCTCTTTTAGTCTGCCAGGAAGACTGTTGGCCCTGGAAGTCCTGCTCTCTGGAGCTTGGTTGGTCTGCTCTATTTTGTTCACCAGAGACTCCTCACTGGCTGGTCCTAATGGTTAATTCTACATTAGTTGAATGTCAGTGTCTTTTCCTACCACTTTATGCCATTGGGTCCACCCTCTCTAGACAGCCTGGCCCACTGGGAGAAGCCATCTTTCTTTATTGTATCCCGAATCTTTTATGTCTCCCTCTTATAGCATCCAGGAATCTCTCCTTACTCCAAGCTCCTGTTCTGTCCAGACATGGCTCTTGTTCACAGCTCCTTGTGGAGCAGTGGTGGAAAGATTGGGCTCCACCTGGTTCAGGTTATTGCAGGTGGGATCCCCATTTCTGTTATTTTACTCTCTGGTTTCTTCTCTCCCTCCTTCTCCCTCTCCCATGCCCTCAGTGGAGCAGTCCTTTAAAACCTCATCTTTAAAAAAGAAAATACTTCAAAATACAAAGACAATAAAAGATATAATATCCACTGAGGGACCAGGAGGCTAATTTCCTCACATACATTTTCTGATAATTTTGGCAAAGCTGCTTCCCAAACATCTGCATTAAATATTCCTCACCACAGGTGTGTGCTTAATGTGCTCTTCGAGTAAATAACACTCAGAATTGTAATCATGAGGTGGTCTGGGACCAGCCAGGTCATCTATCTGGATTTACACCTTGGGAATCCAGGGAGAAGGAGGCCTGGGACCAGGGCTGCATGGGAATAGTTCTGCTACTTCTCAGCAGCATGGAGAAGGCAGCTGGGTTCAGGGCCTTCCAAAGAGGCAGCACCCGCTCTTGAACAGCACAGCGCCTGAATACCAACCTGTTGTTAATTCAGTCACCGTGCCGTCATTCCGGTGCTTCACAGATGAGAAAAGTGAGGCACTTTGAGTAGTCAAAGATTAGACCCTAAGTACCTCAGTCCCCTCGTCTTGCAGATGAAGAGGATGAACTAATGTTTCTCCTCATTCTAAAATGGTCTGATTTTATAAAATCACTCCTTCCAAATTTATACACTATTGCTGATGAGTGCGGCTGCCTCTCTAATTTCTGTGGCATGTGAAGGGTTTTCTAGCAATCTGCAGCCTGAGCTGAATGCCTCTTTGTGCTTTCCATTGCAGTCTAAAATAAAATCTTTGGAATAGTAGGAGGGAAAAAAAACCCTTCTGAAAAAGTCTCAGTAAAAGAAAAGTGCCTTTACTGTAGCCTCTGTTCCACAAAAGGAAAAAGATCTTGACATTTTCCCAGGAGTGAATGAGCAGGTAGAGCAATTGTAAGAGTTAATGGCAAGGTTTCCCAAGAGCTCTGGGATAAGGACAGGATCATGACCAAACTTCTCAATGAGCTTTTTAAGGGATGATGTACAAGCTGGAATGTAGGATGCCATTATGTTTCTCAGGTGAGGAACAAAAAGGTTGATTTAGTGTGTTTCTTGCTCTCCCCTTCTCCTCTATAGCCTGCACATTTATCTATGTATGTAAGTATGTCTGCATCTATGTATGTGTCATTATCTGTGTATCTATTTGTATGTATTTAGGCATGCGTATTTGCATGTATCATAATCTATGTATCTAACTATCCACGTATCTGTGTATGTATCTATATCTATCTACCAATTACCTATCTACTTACCTGTCTCTGTTTCTATCTATCCTCTATGTATCTATCTATCATCTCTCTATACATTCACCTGCTTTTCTGTCTCTGTATCTCACTTGCTTACTCTCTCTGCCTCTTCTCATTTTTGTTTTGTCAGGCTGAAATTACTTATCTTCCCAGTAAGGATGAATAATAAAGCAATTTTTTCCCACCCGTGGTATGTCAATCATTCTCCTGAGTGGACTGTTCAGATAGTTTCATAGAATTAAAATTCCAAGACTGCCCCCAAACTTGAAGCATACATCTATAATGCCTCCTGAGGGTTTTCAGAGGTTCCAGTACAGGTGATCACAGCTGCTGACAGTGAGGGCCTCTTCTCTGAAGGGTCCTGGAGGACTTTTAGTGTGATCATCAAGGAGGCATCCCCAGGCGCCTGTTGGCAGTAAGAGTCCACATCTTCCCATTCAAATTCTCTTTGTCTCCTGAGTTGTGGATGGAATTTGGTGGCTGTAGAGTCCCATGGAGGATCTCTTAATGTCATCTCCTCCTTAAAGAGTTACAGGTCTTGGAAGGGAGACCTGCATTTCTTGAAAGCAAACATAGTCATGAAACCTGTAAAAAGAATTTTTGAAGAGCAAATAATCTAGTTTCTGTCTCTGCTCATTTGACTTGCTAGAATTATTTTAGTACCTATAGCTGACATTTATTGAGTGAGAGCTTAGGCACTGTTATATGTGTTTTACATGTATTAACACATTTAATTCTCACAGTAGCCCAATGGGGTAGATACTATTAATAGCCCTATTTTACAGGAAGGGGGTTAATGAGGAAACATATCTTTTTGAGGGTAAGGCATACATTCTGCTTGGGGATTAAACAGACTAGGGAATCAAAAAAGTGAATTTCTGTCCTACCCACATTTTACTTTTAAATTCCCTACTGATATGTAAAAATAATTTTAAAATAATTTAAAAAATAGGGCAATAAGAATAAATAGGGCAGGGGAAAAGTAGAGCAATGATGACTAGATTTATGATCCGCTAGGGTTGAAGTGAGTGGAGGAGTTCTCCACGTCAACTTGTGACCCCCCTCGGCCACTCGTCTGCTCTTGAGAGCATCTTAAGACAGATGTTCATAGCCATTGTCATAGTGCTGCCGAAGCCCGATCTCCAGCACTTCCTCCCTCCATGAAGACAGAATTGCTGGGTCTAAGGGAATCTGGATTTCCATCTATGCCTAACTTCTGTTGACCTTTACTCTTAGCAGAACAAAAGAGGGAACTTTAAGGCCCAGATCCCCCTTGCCTCTGACCACTTTGTTTCCGTGCCTGTTGGCAGGTGTAGGGTGGAAGAGAGAGGGGACTGACTCCGAGCCGCTGCTTCTGTGAGGCGGGTGGGATCTTGATTGCACGCCGCGGATAGTGTAAGCTGCTGTTTGACGTCCCTCCGGACAGCACCATTAACCGCCTGAGCTTTCAAATGGGCTAAACTTGGCTTCCGTTTTTAAGCCTTTAAACCAGAGCATGGAGAAAGAAGGCCCCGCTAGTGTAGGATATTGACAGCTTAGCTAAATTTAGAGGCCATGTGGAATGTGATTTTCCATATGTCCCTTCCTGATGCCAGTTGGCACTGCAGAGTTCACACAAACCCTGCACATTTTCATACTACAACGCCCTCCACGCACATGCACACCTACACACGCATGCACACACATGTGCCTGCATGTGTACACACACACAGGCAATTTGTGCATTTCAGAGTATGCTTCAAGCCAATGACTAAGCAGAGACAGCTTAGCACTTTGCAGATTTGTTTGAAAATAGCTCCTTTCTAAATGCCACAGAATCCGATTGCAGCTCTCTCTCTGAAATCTATGAGGAAATGTCATATGCCCAGCACCGGTCTGAGGCACAACAGTTCTGCTGGCCAACTGTAGTCTTCTGTCAAGCCTGTATAAAGTATGAACTCTTCAGCTTTCACCGCCAGAGCCTCTCATTCTCTTCAAATTCTAAGAGGAAAAAGCTTGGGAGACCTGACAGGATATGGCCACTAGATGGGGCCAAAGGTCTGTGAAACATTTTTGTGGGCGCTGAAATCTGTAATTCCGCCCTTAGCTGAAGAATCCTTGCGGAAGAGAAGAGACCTTGATCATAAATCCCACACGCAATAACAGGTTCATAATGCATCCTAGTGACTACACGTTGTAATTTTTTCTCCCAGAGAAATAAAATTTCTCTTTCAATGGAGAAGGATGTTCCTTTACATCGAACATGTGCTAATGTTAAATCTCTTTCCTAAGAAGCCAGCAACTAAGCCTTTAATGTGCACTGACCAAGACATCTGGGCAATGCCTGCAGTGAAATGCAGATTGATAGCTTGAGGGCCTAAGAACACATAAGCCACAGTCTTGGCAGCCTAGATAGAGAGGGCTATTTTTCCCCTAAAAAATGAACATTTGACTTGTCAAAATGTTTTCTCATTGATCCACTGAAACAGAATCTGCAGATTAGAGAGACAGGTTTACAAAAAATCTCATTCATTTTCGAAGAGAAGTTAAGGGGAAAACAGAGACTAATTTCTTTCACTTAAAATGTATCTACCTATTAAATACGGAGCAAAATGTTGAGTGAATAAAATGTCAGTGGGACAGAAATCCATTTGTTTGTTGCCCCTGACTCTTCCCTTCCTACAGCCTTCCCTGTTACCTGGGAAGTGGAAATCAAAGAACATAAAAAAAATTGCTAAATGATATAATTAGCAGCAGAATCTATGTATGAAAACAGTTAGCACCAAACCTACATCTACATATCCATTTATTCTTCAGAGCCTCGCTCTGTCGCCCAGGCTGGAGTGCAGTGGTGCAATCTCGGTTCACTGCAACCTCCACCTCCCAGGTTCCGGCGATTCTCCCGTCTCAGCCTCCTGAGTAGCTGGGATTACAGATGTGCACCACCACGCCCAGCTAATTTTTGTATTTTTAGTAGAGACAGGGTTTCACCATGTTGGCCATGGCCGGTCTCGAACTCATGGCCTCATATGATCCGCCTGCCTCAGTCTCCCAAAGTGCTGAGATTACAGGCGTGAGCCACCGTGCCCAGTCAATTTATTCTTAATAGTGATCCTTTTCTTAGCAGTGCCATGCAGCAAAAAGGGCTGACGTTTTTTGACTACGATGCACCTTTTGGTGCTTTACTGGTGAACTCTTTACATGATGATTATTTATGATGTGCAAAATGTGAGATTAGAGAAAAAAAACAAAACAAAAGCAAAACACCTAAAACTTAATTTGATGCTGAGTTACAATTCCTTTGAAATTTCAACTGTTAGGGGTTCACAGCCATTTCTCCAAACTGATTTCTTGGAACTGCACTAGGAGAGCAGGTGGCTTGTGTGTCTTTTTCACTCTTGTATGCCCAGCACTTGGCATGGTGTCTGGTACAGAGTGGGCTCTCCAACTACTTGCAGGATGAGTGAGTGGCATGCAGGCCTGGCTGTGGGCCTGGCACAGAGATAATATGTTCATTTCCATATTTTGTAGGTGTCACAATCTGAAATCTGGTTATTTCAGATTGACCCTTCCAGAGGCAGAGATTTATCTAGAATCCTTGAAACCTTACAATTTCAAAAAAAAAAAAAAAAAAAAAAAGGATAAAAACTACCACATCCTCATTCCTCAAATGGGGACAAATTCTGCTGCTTTTCAAAGAAATCAAACCAAGATTCTCAAAGTAGAATGTGGTGCAATAATTTTTAATAGCTTTTTTATTACTGTGTTTATCACAAGTAGGAGGCATTTACTTTGTAAATATTCTCCTTTTCCAGAGTTTGGTGGTGTTTTTCTAGTTTCCATAATGTTAAATAGTCATCCCATATTTAGTCCAGGCTCATGTGGCCATTTGCAAAAGGGATGACAGTGTACGATGAGGCACACACTCATATTTAGACTCTAACATAAACAGAGCAGTGACTCTTAGGTGAGAGAAGTGTTTCTTCATTCTCAGAAATAGAATAATACAGGAAGCAGATGCATTATTCTAGGATATCAGTTTCTTTTTGATACTTCAAATGACTTCTCACCTGCAATGCCTCCCCCTCCCCTCCCCTCTCCCCTCACCCTCTCTCTCCCCTTCCCTTCCCTCCCCTCCCATCCCTTCCCTTCCTCTCCCATCCCCTCCTCCTTCTCCCCTTCTCTCCTCTCTCCTCCCTCCCCTCCTCTCTCCACTTCCCTCCCCTCCCCTCCTCTCTCCTCCCCTCTCCCCTCCCCTCTCCCCTCCTATTTCCCTTCCCCACTCCCCTCCTCTCTCCCCTCCCCTCCTGTTCCTTCCTCTTCCCTCCTTTCCCTTTTCCTTTGGGCAAGGAGATAGAGGTCATTTTCTTTCCCTTAAGATGAGATAAATCATGGTCTCTGGTCTTAAAACAGGGATGGTTCTGTCTTCTTGGGCTGCATCCCAATTCAGTGACGTGAAAACCACAGGTCAAGGGTGTACCATTTGCCTCTCAACAAGTGGGAGGCAATCGAGCCTCTGCCTTCTCCACAGCTGCTGAGGCCACAGACCCAGTGAGCAGGGATCCAGAACTGGACTCCAGCTCCTTTCCCAGCCAGACTCTGCGTTAGAACCCCTGCTGGCTGTCAGACTCATGAAGCAAATGGAATACAGTGTAGATCCTCTGGGTTTCCACATTTCAGCCACTTTTTCTTATGAGTTATTTGCTCTGGTCAGCATGTTGCAGGAAACACTTTTCAATGTGGTCTCCTGAAGTCCCCTTACTGGTCTGGGGGACCACACCACCCTACTCCCCAGGGAGGTTTTCTGGGTACTGACAAGACTTACAGCAGCATAGCTCTCTCCAATGATAAGAGTCTCACCAAAACTCACCAAAATTCTCTCTTCTCTCTGCCCTCTTTTCCTATCCTTATCCAAATGCAGATACCAAGAATTGTGGAAGGGATTGGGGGGTTATCTCTGTAAATCTGCATAAGGGAGGTCTGTCCCAATCACTTTTATATCATTAATTGTTTTGGGCTCATCAGTAGAAATGGAGGTGAAAGAGTCTCATTCTAATGTCCCGTTTTTTGAGGACTGAATGACATTCTATGAGTGAACACCAAATGGGACAAGATCTCTGTCAACTATCAAATTTTGTGCAAATGTCACTTCTTAGCATCGCCATTCTCTGCTAATATGATAATGGATTCTTATTACAACTACTGTCAAGAAGGATGGAAAAACCCTTTCCAGCTTGAAAACGTACTTTCTGGAAACAGTGCTGCAGATCCTGGGAGGATTAGTGAGTGGTCATCTGTAGTAGGAGAGCAGTTAATTTCGGATGCTGTGTCAGAGATTAGGGACAGTGGCAAATTGTGTGCTGTGATTGTGCAGTGGAACTAACCATGCTGTGGAGACGTTCCCTATGCAAGTTGTATGAGGGCAGATAATGACAGGCAAGTGACTGCAACCCGAGGCGGTTGTGTCTAAAGTCAAAGGGAAATTCAGTCAGCTTCACTTAATAGCTAAAGAATGAGAGGCCGAGGGTGGCATTCCAGGCAGAGGCCTTGGGAGTGCAACTGGAAAGGAGAAGGGGCTGCATGGGGCGGGCACGTGTGTGGTGGGTATATAGTGTGTGTGTGCACAGTGTGTGGAGTATACAGTGTGATGTGTGGTGTCGAGTGGTGTGTGTGTGGGGGGGTGTATAGTGTGGTCTGTGTGTGGTGTGTCGTGTATACTGTGGTGTGTGTGGTGTGTGTGTTGCATGGTGTGTGGTTTATGTGCATTGTGTGGAATATATTGTGTGTGGTGTGCATGTGGTGTATAGAGTATAGTACGGTATGTGTGGTGTGTTGGGGTGTGTGTGTGTGTGTGCATGTTGTGTGAAGTATAGTGTGGTGTGTGGTGTGTGTGTATGTGTGTGCATGGTGTATGGTGATACTGTGTCGGAGTGTGTGTGTGGTGTGTATGGTATATGGAGTATAGTGTGTATGCGGGTGTGGTGTATAGTGTGTGTGGTGTGTAGTGTATAGTGTGTGATGTGTGTGGTGTGTGGAATATAGTGTGGTGTGTGTGTGTTTGTGTACATGTTGTGTGATGTACAGTGTGTTGTGTGGAGGATAGATGGTGTGCAATGTAGTATGTGGGTATATGTGTGTGGTGTATGTATGCTGTGCTGTGTGTGTGGTGTGTATTGTGTGGTGTGTGTGTGGTGTATGCATGCTGTGCTGTGTGTGTGGTGTGTATTGTGTGGTGTGTGGTGCCTGTGTGCCTATAGAAGATGGAAAGGTGTCCTCAGAGATTAATTAGACGCTGACTTGGTCTGACAGAAAGTTGAGGGAGGGGAGGTCTTAAGAGTCAATGTGGAGGTTATACTTGATAAATAGTGAATGTTGAGTCAAATTGGGTTCCCTCAAATCAGGTTTTTCATCACAAAAACAGCACATGCATGCAGCAACACATGACGCATTCTAAAATGTGCATACATCAAAGGCAATGTGTCCCACCGCCGTCCTGCTCAGCTGCTCCAAACTTGTTCCCTTTGTTCCCATCCTGGCCCAGCGCAAGGCTCGATTTCACCCTGAAGTCACTCTCTAGTGCTTGTGTCTCACCTGATTAGGGCCAAGGTGGCAGCTCATGAGTGTCTGGTGTTGCTGGACTGGAGACTGGGAGTTTTCCACTGGAGGGTGGTTGGGAGGCAGGCACAGGGCTGTGCTGGGTAGACTTGGGGAAGCAGATCAGTGCCACTCCACAGGGGACACCACCGGGTGACAACAACCCTTGGTGATGGGTGGTCCTCACCTTGGGGCAAAGCGGCAACACCTCAGCCCCTCTCAGCTTGCTGCAGCTCCCTGGGGCCTGCTGGACTTTCTCTTCTGTGGGGGATCATAGCTGCTCCTTGTCACCCACTCCTGCCCCTGTAATATGCCTCCTCCATTTCTTCTCTATAGACATGGGGGTTCTACCTAAACCTCTGCTCTGTCAGTGTATGGCAGAATCTTCCTGCCCTAGATTTAGGGCAAAAACAAATTTTTTTTTCTTAAAAATTGAGTATTTGCAACATTTTTCTTGTTCTGTGGTCTGTGGTTCATGCCAGGGTAACTATAAAGGGGTCTGGTGAGACTAGATGGGGGAGAAACATAACGATTAATAATGTGAAAGATTCCAATATGTATAATTTAAGAGTGAAAGCCCATCATCATGTCATCCTTTAGAGAAAACCACTGCTTACATCTGCTGTGTATTCTTTCACATTATTCTAGGACTATAATGACGTGCACGAATAAGATATAATTATGACAGTATTATTTACAGAAATGGGATCTTCCTGAAAGTACTCTTCTGCATATTGCCTTTTCCACTCGACACATTCGGACATCCTTCCACACTGTCCGCTGTAAATCAACCTCAGAATCTTAGTGGGGAGGAGGAGGAGGATAGTATTTTGGGGAAGTTGCTCAGGCAATTCTGATAGTGAATCCTCCCTCACTCCCCAGGTGCTGCGGCGTGACCCCTCTGTGATTACAACCCCTGCTCTCGCTGCTCCATGCCCACAGGTGCTGTGCGTCAGTGCCACATCAGCATGCTCTTGATCACTTTCTTGACTTTAAAAGCGTCCTCTTCCCTCCCTCCCTCCCTTCCTTCCTTCCTTCCTTCCTTCCTTCCCTCTTTCCTTCCTTCCTCCTTCTCTTTATCATTTCAAAAAACCACTGAGTATAAAGGATACCATTAATGTGGAAAAAAAGAAACCACAGAAAGGCTTTTCTCTACCTTTTCTTTCCTGTAGATAGAACTGTAACTGAACTTTGAGCGCTCTGAGGAAGGAGACATACTCAGATGCCCACCAAGTAACCCAAGGTCGTGCAGTCTATAGAATGTGGCTTTTTGCCCCTTGGGAAAAAGCCCAGGAGGATCAGGGCTGTCTGGAAGGAGGCTCTGCATGGAGCCTCATGGCTGAGCAAGGAGTCCTTTAAAAGTAACATTCCTTCCTGTCACTGATATTAGGTTTTCTCACAAGGTGTATTTGTGCTTCTGCCTAACAGCATAGAAGGAAACAATGCAAACAGAACCAGAGCAGCCACTGAACTCCTGTGATGTTGTCACTAATCCGGTTGGTGTGGAGAGGAGCCAAGCTGCCAACCGCGTCCCCCACCCCCACATCGCCCTCACCGAGTGCTTGGGTTCCTGCCTCTATCAATCACAAGGCTTATATTCCGAGGCTGGAGGTGGTGCCTCTACTCAGCACTACCTCTGTTTTCACACAACCTCTATTCTAATCTTCATGGTCAGGGTCAACAACAGCATTTCAGCTTTTCCCCGAGACAAGGGAGATAGTTCAGCAAATATCTCTCTAACTTCAATATTCTGTCTCTGTCAGATCAATAAGGAACATTTTTTGACAAGTCTGATGTTCAGTCTTTAAGAGGAAGATAACCTTCCTGAGTGGAGAGAGGAAAGATTTCTGTGCCATGACATGATGACTCTTGACTTTCATCCTCAGCTTTGTGGAAAGTAGTGTTTTAGGGTAATGGGTGGTTGGTTGACTCCTTTTGCCTCTGTGACAGCTTCTTTCTACAAGGACTTTTTTCTTAAGCTCAAATACCAAGGCTAGTAACAAGCATTACAAACCATGACACCAGCAATCCTCAAGAGGAATAAGGAAAAACAAACAAAAAAACATAGCCAGCAAGTAAACGGCATTCTTTGATTTTCTTAGGAATAAGGGACACCGTTCTACTACGGTGTCTCAGGAGGAGTTACCCTGACACAATGGGTGAGATTTCCATTCAGTAGAAAGTTAATCTCACTGTTTTACAATCCTTTCTCTAGTGTTTTATTTTGGTGACTCTTCCTTTCCATTTTACCAATGAGAAATTTGAGGTACTGATAGGCTTGGTAAATATTACAGAGCAAGTGGAATTTGAAACCTTTGTTTTTTGCTTATTAAGAGAGGGTCTCTTTTTTTGGGTGGGGGAGAGGATCTCACTCTGTCACCCAGGCTGGAGTGCAGTGGTGCAATCTTGGCTCACCACAGCCTCTGCCTCCCGAGTTTGAGCAATTCTGCCTTGGCCTCCTGAGTAGCTGGGATTACAGGTGTGCACCACCATGCTCAGATAATTTTTGTATTTTTAGTGGAGATGGAGGTTTCACCACATTGCCCAGGCTGGTCTGGAACTTCTGAGCTCAAGTGATCCACCCGCCTTGGCCTCCCAAAGTGCTGGGATTACAGGCGTGAGCCACCTCGTCTAGCCCGGGTCTTTTAATCTCAATTTTCATATTCCTCCTGGGTTTGAGACCAGATGATATTGTAGATGCACATGAGAACTTCAGTTCAGAGGCAGGAACCTCACTGTGGTCTAAGAGTGCCACCTCACACTCAGTTTGGTCTGGTCCTACTTTAACCCGGGAGCTCCCTGTGCAAAGAACTCTGGTTTGAGGCCACTCTGGGTGAACCATTCTACTTCCTGCTGTCAAGGTGCTTGGGGTGCAAGACAACAAACCACTGGTCAGACAGAATCTGAACTGTGCACTTCCAGTGAAGTGGGATGGATCCAAGGTATTTTTTTCACCCCTAGGAGAAAGACCAGTGAGTTTGGTAGGGATCGCCTGTGGCTGCTTCTGAGCTGCTCAGAAGTCTCTACTTTCAACCTGTCTGGAGGAAAGCATTCACTCTGGGGCAGACAAATTCCAGTTGAAGCAGATATATTAAAATGAGGGACTAGGAGTGTAGATACTTATTTGAGGTCTGAAAAAGAAAGCTGGGGCTTTACAACTAAGAAACTAACTGAACCTTGTTAGAAATCAATGCATCAAGTGTAATTGAGCTGGTAGATGAAGCCCCAGCCAATTGGCGCCTGGGATTTGGGCACCTTCGTTTATCAGCTCTAAGCCTAGTTTGGTTCACTGATAATCTGATAGCAGTTCTGTATGCTGATTGGCTGGGGGAGGTTCTCTTCTCCTCCAATGAGAAGATAATCAATCATGTTACTGACTTTTGTCTTGGCGAAGGTATTTAGATTTCAGCCAGCCGGTTAGCTGCCTCAAGGCCACCTGCTTGACTGAAAAATAAAGAATCCATTTCTTTTCCTTTGCAAGGAGAAGGGAGGAATTATTGACTTGTGTGATAATTTTAGGGGGATGATTAAATCTGGCCTCTTAGGCTCCAGCTAAAAATTCAATTCTGATGACTGATTTTTCTTTTCATACGTCGCTGTGCAATCCTGTGTACTGCCATGGCTAATGTTCCTGATGCTGATTGTCCCTTCACTTTAACAAAGCACAGAATCCCCAGCCCACTCTCCATTTCATGTGCCTCCCAGCTATGAGGACATAATGAGGAAATGCACTCTTTCTGCTTAAGTTAAGAATACTATGAGTGTGCAGGCATGCTTAGAGGCTTTCTCAAGTAACACACTTGCTCTAAAGGAAAGAATCAGAATGGTGATGATTTCTCTGGTGATAGTTTGTAAAATATGCCAGTTTCCTCTTGTGCATTTCAAATTTATAATGCAGTTCATTGTGCATTTGGTGCCATTTGGCTGAAATGTCACAATCTCAGATGCTAAAGTAGTGAACAGGTCCAATGTACTACCAGCCGGCTAAAACCTGAGAGTCATTCTTGACTCTCTCATCCCCTGCATCAAATCCATCCGCAAATCCTGCCATTCAGTCTCCAAAACATGTCTCTACACTTCTCATTTCTCCCCACCTTTGCTAAGTACCACCTCTGTAAAAGCCTCATCGTCTCTCATCTGGACCACACCAGTTGCCTTCAAAGTGATCTCTCTGGTTTTGTTTTTGCTTTCCTACAATCCATTCCCCTCATGGCAGCGAGGGTACTGTTTTAAAAATCCTATCAAATCAAAAAGCCCCCTCTGTAAAAATCTTATAGCTCCCATGATAATTAGACCAAAATGAAGCGCTCTACTGAGTCTTCAGGACCTTATGAGAGCTGGCCTCTGTCTACTTTTCTGACCTTATCTTATATATCTCTTCCTCTCCTTCATCATATTCTAGTGGTTTCCTGAAAACTTCAAGTTCCCTTTCATCTTAGGACCTTTGCACTAGATATTTCCTATTCCTGGAATGTTCTTCCTCTAGCCAAGATCTTTACAGGGTGCCATATATTTTATTCATCGTTCAACTTAAATGTCAACTCCTCAGAGAATCTTTCTTGACTACCCAAGGTAGTATAGTCCTTCTGTATGATATTATCCTGTTTTGTCTTCAAAATAGCACTAACTATTCCCATACATTTTTCTTATTTGTTGATAGCCTGTCTCCTTTATTAGAATGTAAGCTCTGTCACTGTATGGACTTTGTCTATTGTGTCCAGAAGATCCCCAGTGCCTAGAATAGTGTTTTGCAAAGACTAGGTGCCCAATAAACAGTTATTCAGTGAATTGATGAGCAAAGAAGTTTTCCTAAATAATACAGGAAGAGGATGCTTTAGGTGTGGCCCTATCAGGAGTTAGGGAATGGGGCTGAATTTTTTGCAGGTTTATTTTTGATTTATATTCTGGGCTTCTAAGTTGTCAGAGATTTTCTGAGGCCTAATGTCTGTGGTGCAGTTAAATGCACTCAAACAGTGACAACCTCTTATCTTGGAGAGGTGAGAGACTGACCCCATTCTCAGCTGATCTGATCAACTGAAAAGCAAAATGTGTCGTTAATTTTAGGATCCATTATATGTGACATTTTTGTCTTGCTAAAGGTTAGGGGGCAATAGGAGAACTGGAGAAAGCTTGCTAACCAATGTATCTTTATTCACATTTAGAAATTAGTTGGCACTGGGGACAGTCCGTGTATTCACCCTGATTTGAGGTCTAGGTCTTATTTTTCCAGGAAGGGCTAGTGTCTGCACGGTGTCCTCAGTGTCTAGAATATCTTATTCATGCATAAACAAAGGGCAGGCGTGATTCAGACAGGATGAATCCCTGAACCTCACAGACAGGAGAAAAATGTAGAGTCGTGATACTTAAAACATTTCTCAGCCTTAGTTGTCAGCGCTGGTACCCACTTCAGCACATTTCTGAAATGAACTCTGTTAAGGCTAGGTCAGTGACACCATAAAAAATTTTTTTGCAATTAAAAAGGCTTAAAGGGATCACTGGCAAGATGGCCTTTTTTTCTTTTTCTTTTCTTTTCTTTTTTCTTTAAAAACAAGTCACTAAAATAAGAAAACTCAATAGATGTATTTTCTTACATCAGTTTTGCCCATCTGTAAAAGTGAGGGGACCCAGGCTGAGAAGGGCCTCTATTTGAGAAACTCTAAAGGGCAGGTTTTAGAACTCAGTCTTTGCTTGAGAGGCCGTTTTTAACTTCATAAAGGCATCTATCAGGAGACTTCGATGGTCCTTAAAGTTTGATAATTTACAGAAAAAGATAATAGGAAATAAGATAGAGATAAAACAGCTAATTGGGAAAGAGCTACCTTTTTAAAAAAGTTATACTTTAAGTTCTGGGATACATATGCAGAACGTGCAGGTTTGTTACATAGGTATACACGTGCCATGGTGGTTTGCTGCACCCATCAACCCGTCATCTACATTAGGTATTTCTCCTAGTGCTATTTCTCCCCTAGCCCCCCACCCCCAGACAGACTCCAGTGTGTGATGTTCCACTCCCTGTGTCCATGTGTTCTCATTGTTCAACTCCCAATTATGAGTGGGAACATGTGGTGTTTGGTTTTCTGTACCTGTGTTAGTTTGCTGAGGATGATGGCTTCCAGCTTCATCCATGTCCCTGCAAAGGACATGAACTCATCCTTTTTTATGGCTGCATAGTATTCCATGGTGTATATGTGCCACATTTTCTTTATCCAGTCTATCATTGGTGGGCAAGCTCTACCTTTTAGGATGAGCAATAGGCCTTACTTTTTAAATTTACCAGAGGGATGGTAGTGATTTAAAATTTTGTAATAAAGAAAAAGAATGACATCTGCCAAATCACATAATATTAAATGTACATTTTACTGCATTTAACCCATCTGGGCCTCAGGAAATTAGATATTACTGGCTGTTTAATAGATTAACTGAAATACACCAAATGAGAGGTAACAAAGTTAACGAAGAATCAGTAAGAGTCATGTGTCTGGAGTCTTCTTAGTATTCTAAGAGGGAACAGCTATTTTCATGAGCCATCCTGTAATGATAAGATACTATGGGAGGAGATGTTAGCCTCTCTTTTGAATGAAAGGTAATTAGGGTCCATAATGAGAGATTATCTCAGATAAGGAGTTTTATTTTATTTATTTATTGCACATACACGAATGTTTAATCACACCATAGTTTCTAATAGTAGGAAATGTATACAAATTAAATGTCTAAGAAGAAAGGAATACTTTAATAAGTTGTAGTATATAATTATAGTGGAACATCATGCAGCCATTTAAAGTGAGGTGGTAGAAGCTGGGTGTGTGGTGTGTGCTGGTAGTGCCAGCTACTCTGGAGGCTGAGCGGGGAGGATTGCTTGAGCCCAGGAGTTTAAGACCAGCCTGGACAACATAGCCAGAGCTTATCTCTTAAAAAAACATGTGATAGAAATAAATTAACACAAATGGAGCTGGGTGTAGTGGTTTATGCCTATAATTCGAGGAGTTTTAAATCAAAAACTTGCCTAGTTTGTTCAGATAGTTGTTTGGAATTACCAGGAAAACATACAGAGACACACACAGACACACACACACACATACACAGAGAGAGAGAGAGAGTGAGAGAGCGCGGAAGTGACCATGTATTTCTCTGAGGAAACAGGACTGAAGGTTTAGAGAGTGTTGGAGGCTGCAAGATCTTACAGAGCAGCCAACCTGAACTACCTCCTTTGCCAACCAGGAAACCAACATCAGAAGGGATTAAATGACCTGCCAGGGGCCACAAAGATCATTAATGACTAAGCGAGGGCTAGAACCTGGGCGTGTTAACTCATAGTCTTTCTAGACAGAATGGGAAGTTAGAAAAAAAAATACAATTTCTGTCTATTATATTATTTCTGAAATACTGTCTTTCTGCAATGAGGTGGCATATATAATGAAAGCACTATGGAGTCTAAGTTTGAACACAGGATTTTCTACTCTCCACCGTCTGATCTTGGGCAAATCACTTCACCAGTCTGGGTGCCTGTTCCCTGATCTTTTGGAAATACAAGCATAGGCAGTGGTAAGCTTTAGAGACAATATATGCAAAGGCTAGTGTATGTGAGCGCTTGGTAAATGGTATCTACTGTTTACCAGTGTTTATATGTTTAATATGTTACGGGGTACTGGAGTCAGACTGACAGACTTTGAATTCTGCTTTCACCACTTCCTAGTTCTGAGATCTTATTAGTTCTGTAAGCATCGGGTCCTTCTCTTTTAAAATGAAGAAAACAAAAGTACCTACTTCCTAGAGCAGTTGTGGAGATCTAATAATATAGTTCATGTATAGTGTTGAATAGCACATTGCACATTAGAAAAGTTGGATAAACATTGACTTTTATTATAATTATTTTAAATTTGGCCCTGGAAGATATAGGGCAAAAGTTAGTAGACTCCTTCTGTGAAAGGTCAAATAATTAATACCTGAGACTTTGCAGTCTGTAAGATCTCTGCTATAACTACTCAACTCTACCACTGAAGGAAGAAAGCAGCCCTAGACAATATGTAAACTAATAAGTGTGGCTGTGTTCCAATAAAACTTTATTTATAAGAACAGATGGTGGGCTAGACTTGGCCTGTGGCTGTAATTTGCTAATCCCTGATATAGGGCAACTAAGAACTCCTGCTCTAATGGCTTCTGGAAGAAGACATCTTGTTGATATAAGAGGGTAGGTGTCTTCTTTCATGAAAAGAATAACTAAATAAGTCACCTTTAGGCAGTGTTTCCTATAATCAGACCCTATTCATGGTAGCATTTACTTGCAGGGGGGCAAGAGACTCTCTTTTTGCCCTCTGACCCCATCTTGTTTTCTCCTACAAGACATGGCTAGTCAGGCTCATAAGGAGGCCGAGAACCCAAGAATCAGCCTAGTGACATCCACCATTCACTCAGTTTCTAGGATGTGCTCGAATTTCATTTTATGATGTTAGTGTTCAATGTAAGGATATTCCTTTCAAATGCTCTGTAGTTCTGATTTTAATACAATTTTCAAAGTTTCCCTTATTACAAACACTAGGGGTTCTCAATTTTTCTTCCCTCTGTTTGTGAAATATCAGGCTGCGATGCCCTTGCTTTGATTCATAAGACCTTTCATAAGAAGGTCTTCAGAGACATGGTATTTTTGGCCTTTGCTGTCACCTGGTGATCTTTTCCTATTGTTCATAAACCTAATGAGTGGAGGGTCGGGTGGTCCATTCTGAAAATGATTAAAGGTGGCACTTTGCTCCAGAGTGGAGGTGTAATCTTATTAATCTGGTACCAGAGTATATCTTGCAGGCAGAGAAAAGAGAAATTTAATATTGGCCACCCTCACATAGAGTATCTAGACCATTTATTTGCTACTCACTGATCTGGGCTCCAGGACTATAGAAAGAAGCAACTTGGGCAGCCTCAGAAATTAGAGGCTGAACTCTGACAAATGAACACTCAGTTGCTTTATATTCAGCATGGTGATTGCCAACAGTGGTTTAAATGGTAGTGAGCCAATCAAGAGGGTCAGGTTCCAAGACTTTATTGACAGCAACGATACAGGGTTAAGTGTTCCTCACAGAGCACATATGCAGAGAAAGCTATTTATGGGAACAAGGAATCAGGTCCTTGCGGGCTCACAGCAAAATCCTGTGACCAATTTTCTCTGCTTAGAGTACAAGGGCTGTTCTGCTGAAAACATTGAGCAGAATAGGAAACTTCTTTGTCATATTTCTGACAGTAAATCATCATATTATTTCAGAAACTTGACAGACAGATATTGCTAATTAACTTTTCCAGAATCCTCCTTCCCACAGACCTTTGGCTTTCTAAGGGAGCATCAGATTTGTCATCTTTGGTGAGAATTCTGGAGAGTTAATAGGTTATGACCTTGCCATGTGTCAATTATGGGAATTTGTTATGTTTTAATTATGTAAACAGTGTTTTTTATAGGTATTAAGTATATATTTACAACATTTTCTTGAACATGATTTCACTTTTCTTTCTTTTTCTTTCTTCTTTTTTTTTTTTTTTTTAAAGAGAGTCCTGCTGGCCGGGCGCGGTGGCTCACGCCTGTAATCCCAGCACTTTGGGAGGCCGAGGCGGGCGGATCACGAGGTCAAGAGATCGAGACCATCCTGGCTAACACGGTGAAACCCTGTCGCTACTAAAAATACAAAAAAAATTAGCCGGGCGTTGTGGTGGGCGCCTGTAGTCCCAGCTACTCGGGAGGCTGAGGCAGGAGAATGGCGTGAACCCGGGAGGCGGAGCTTGCAGTGAGCCGAGATCGCGCCACTGCACTCTAGCCTGGTCGACAGAGCGAGACTCCGTCTCAAAAAAAAAAAAAAAAAAAAAAGAGAGTCCTGCTCTGTTGCCCAGGCTGGAGTGCAGTGGCACGATCATAGCTCACTGCAACCTCCAACTCCTCAGCTCAGGCAATCCTTTCAGCCTCCCAAGTAGTTGGGACTACAAGTGTGTGCCGCCATGCCTGGCTAATTTTTTAATTTTTAGTAGAGACAGGGTCTTGCTATATTGCCCAGGCTGGCCTCAAACCCCTGGGCTCAGGAGATACTCCTGCCTTAGCCTCCCAAAGTGCTGGGATTACAAGCGTGAGCCACCATGCTCAGCCTTTTTTTCTCTCTAGATAATAGAGTTGACATTCCTTCATAGTGGACTCCATTTACTCAGTGTGCCACCTTTTTATTTCTGAGGAAACATGAATTATCTATTAAATTAATTTTGTATGAATAGATGATGAATTAATGTACAAGCTTCTGAGAGCTATTTACTTTTGAATAGCAGTTTCTGTGAGACACAGTACTTTAACCAAAAGGAATGCATCTTCAATCAAATATTTGGTGTGAGGGAGTGCTCTGTGTATGGTGGTGGTGGGGAAGGTGGGGTTAGAGAGCGTATTTTATCGTTTCTGAAGCCATCACGTGTAGCTGGCTGCCCGACTGTGAATAAAGCCTTGTGCCCCATAGCAAGCATGTGGGACCAGACAAAATAGAGACAGGGAGGAACAGGCAATGAGGGGATCAGTGTGGGGAGCTCAGAAAAAAAGGGTTGCAAGAAGAATTTCTTCAGTCACGTCAGATACAGCAAAAAGTCCAAGGGATTAAGAATCAGTTCAGACTATGTGACTTGGCAAAATAGTTTAATTTGATGATTTGAAAGAGCAATTTTAATGGTTTGGAGAGCATGAAAGCCACATTTCTGATGTGTCCAGAGAGAATGAGTGGTGAGGTGATTTTGCTAGTAAAGAAGAGATCAAAATAAAGCAATATTTGAGGCAGTACTAGGGTAAGCATGAGAGAAAATGATGTTCCCAGCAGTCTTGCTGGTCTCATGGCCAGTCCATGGAAGAGCAGGGCTGGGATCCAACTCTCCTGACAGCAGCCTAGGGAGGATCTTCTGTGGAAGAGGAGCATCAACATATTTGGTGACAGAAGGAAAGGACCACTGGAGGATAGGGTGAGAATGCTGGAGAGGCAGTTGGTTTTTGAGAAAAAGAGAGATCTCTTCTTTTAAGGCTGGGAGGGAAGATCAAAAGGTTGATATAGTCAAGGGTGCTCTTTGCCCAAGGGAGGCAGATGGAGGAACTCTGTTGGGTTATCGTGCTCCCTGGAGAATCCATGTTGATGGTCAATGAAATTTCTCTTTCTCTCTCTCTCACCTGCCTCCCCCAACATGCACACATACTGCTTCTCCCACCCCCAAACTTGTTAACACGTAATAGTGCAATAGTGAACAATGGACAGACATTTAATAAGTCTTACTTGGGCTGATTCTTCCCCTTTTCAGGGAGTTAATCTTAAAATAATTACTATGACTAGCTATTGTGGATTTAATTGAGGAGAGAAAATTGTTTCCATTTTCACATTTACATCTCTTTTAAGTTCAAGTGTTTTTTTTTTTTTTTTTATTGATCATTCTTGGGTGTTTCTCACAGAGGGGGATTTGGCAGGGTCATAGGACAATAGTGGAGGGAAGGTCAGCAGATAAACAAGTGAACAAAGGTCTCTGGTTTTCCTAGGCAGAGGACTGTGCGGCCTTCCGCAGCGTTTGTGTCCCTGGGTACTTGAGATTAGGGAGTGGTGATGACTCTTAATGAGCATGCTGCCTTCAAGCATCTGTTTAACAAAGCACATCTTGCACCGCCCTTAATCCATTTAACTCTGAGTGGACACAGCACATGTTTCAGAGAGCACAGGGTTGGGGGTAAGGTCACAGATCAACAGGATCCCAAGGCAGAAGAATTTTTCTTAGTACAGAACAAAATGAAAAGTCTCCCATGTCTACTTCTTTCTACACAGACACGGCAACCATCCGATTTCTCAATCTTTTCCCCACCTTTCCCCCCTTTCTATTCCACAAAGCTGCCATTGTCATCCTGGCCCGTTCTCAATGAGCTGTTGGGCACACCTCCCAGACGGGGTGGTGGCCGGGCAGAGGGGCTCCTCACTTCCCAGTAGGGGCGGCCGGGCAGAGGCGCCCCTCACCTCCCGGATGGGGCGGCTGGCCGGGCGGGGGGCTGACCCCCTCACCTCCCTCCCGGAGGGGGCGGCTGGCTGGGCAGAGGGGCTCCTCACTTCCCAGTAGGGGCGGCCGGGCAGAGGCGCCCCTCACCTTCCGGACGGGGTGGCTGGCCGGGCGGGGGGCTGACCCCCCCACCTCCCTCCTGGACTGGGCGGCTGGCCGGGCGGGGGGCTGACCCCCCCACCTCCCTCCTGGACAGGGCGGCTGGCTGGGCAGAGGGGCTCCTCACTTCCCAGTAGGGGTGGCTGGGCAGAGGCGCCCCTCACCTCCCGGACGGGGCGGCTGGCCGGGTGGGGGGCTGACCCCCCCACCTCCCTCCCGGATGGGGTGGCTGCCGGGTGGAGATGCTCCTCACTTCCCAGACGGGGTGGCTGCCGGGCGGAGAGGCTCCTCACTTCTCAGACGGGGCGGCTGCCGGGCGGAGAGGCTCCTCACTTCTCATACTGGGTGGCTGCCGGGTGGAGGGTCTCCTCACTTCTCAGACGGGGCGGCCCGGCAGAGACGCTCCTCACCTCCCAGACGGGGTGGCGGGGCAGAGGCGCTCCCCACATCCCAGACGATGGGCGGCCGGGCAGAGACGCTCCTCACTTCCTAGATGTGATGGCGGCCGGGAAGAGGCGCTCCTCACTTCCCAGATGGGATGGCGGCCGGGCAGAGACGCTCCTCACTTTCCAGACTGGGCAGCCAGGCAGAGGGGCTCCTCACATCCCAGACGATGGGCGGCCAGGCAGAGACGCTCCTCACTTCCCAGACGGGGTGGTGGCTGGGCAGAGGCTGCAATCTCGGCACTTCTGGGAGGCCAAGGCAGGCGGCTGGGAGGTGGAGGTTGTAGCCAGCCGAGATCACGCCACTGCACTCCAGCCTGGGCGCCATTGAGCACTGAGTGAACCAGACTCCGTCTGCAATCCCGGCACCTCGGGAGGCCGAGGCTGGCTGATCACTCGCGGTTAGGAGCTGGAGACCAGCCCGGCCAACACAGCGAAACCCCGTCTCCACCAAAAAAATACGAAAACCAGTCAGGCGTGGCGGCGCGCGCCTGCAATTGCAGGCACTCCGCAGGCTGAGGCAGGAGAATCAGGCCAGGGAGGTTGCAGTGAGCCGAGATGGCAGCAGTATAGTCCAGCTTCTGCTCGGCATGAGAGGGAGACCATGGGGAGAGGGAGACCATGGGGAGAGGGAGAGGGAGAGGGAGCGCATTCCAGTTCAAGTGTTTTTTAAGGACTATTTTGATGCACTTCTTTACCTACATAGTATAGATTATGGCAGAGATAGCTACATTTCATGGAGCCACGAGGTCTCTATCCTCCCTCTCTTCTCTCCTCCTCCCACCCACTTGCCTGCCCTTCCTTTCTTCCTTTTCTCTTTCCCTCTTTCCTTTCTCCTTCCCTCACTTCCTCTCTTCCTCCCTCCTGCTTCTTTCCTTCCTTCCCAAACTGATTTCTAAACATCGAGTACATCCTAAGACTAGGATCCATAAAATAGCCTTAATAATTTTACCAGAACTAACTCCTAACCATTACAGGGTATCTCTTTAAGTAGAATAATACAAATAATAAAAAACAATCTACCAATGCTATTTTGAGTAGTGTCTGGGGGTTCAGCGGATAGCATGAGCATTCTGTAAATTTCCTTCCAATGTTATTTTGGTTTTGCCTGTTAGGAAGTGCTAGGGGAAAAATAATGGGTGCTTTACAACCACCATAAGAAAAGAGCCAGGATCCTTTCATTTCATGTTTATATGATGACAAGTCTGCATCCCTGCTCCATCTGCTTATTCCCATCTGCAGTATCAGGACAGGGAGCGAATAGCTAAAATGATAGTCTTCTTGGATTTGTATCACAGGATAAACCATAGATCCCAGAAATGAATCAGTAAGCTTGTGTTTATCCAAAGTGCAAACATCCAGAGAGCTCACATTAGCAGGTGTATTTCTAGAAGTGGGGGCCAGTGAGGAGCCACCTTCATAGTTGTCACCCAAGGCTTGGCATCATCCTGTGGTGCTGTCTGGATTATCAAGAGAGATTCTTTTTTGTTCAGTTTCAGTATTCAATTGATTTCATTTGATTTTGTAATTTGCTGAAAATGGATAGAGCCTTTCCCAGAATTAGCAGGGGTACTGAATTTCTAGCCATTTTCTATGAACAGGGGTTTACTGGACAAAGGGAAAGAAAATTCTTCTGTTTTTTTTTCCCCCTGAAGATGCAATGAGACTGAAGAGACAGAAAATCTCTTCTTTAAAGCTTGATGTGAGAGGAGGAAGGAATTGCCTTTACCTACCTTGCCTATCCACCTGAGTTCAATCACAAAAGGAAGTAGCACCCACCAAAGGGTTAATTTCTAAAACCTGACTGCTCCTAGGGAAGCCGACAGCAAGTAAAGCTACTTCCCTGGTCTAATTACCCACTGAAAGCTGGGGTGGGAGTCGAGTCTCGGCAGGAGGCACCTGCCCTACCTGCCTGAATAGTTAAGCTGCAACGTGCCTCGTTTTTAATCCTATACACAGCCCTTTCTTCTGTTCGTTGTTATTTTCCTTCCTCACCTCTGGACACTTCGGCACATTCGCTTGAAACATCGTCATGGGAGAACTCAGCTTTGACAGAAACCTCTCTGAAAATTTTTTTTGCCTGTTCTGGCTTGCACTTGAATAATTCTCCATCAACAGCACGACTGATTGAGTTGGCATCACAAACCCTTTTGTACGCTATTTTTTTCTTCAAGAAATATTAAAGTCTGAATAAAATTGAAATAGCTGCCTGGTAATGATCTCATTATATATAAATACAGAAGTGCTCACAGGGGAGATAATGACTCCAAGACTCAGGTATGCAGCGAATACCTATTATCTTCCAAGGAGTCAGCCCACATTCAGCACTCCTCCACAGCGCCCCGCAACATCCCTTTCAGTTTCAGGCTCAAGTCACAGAATACGAAGGGCTGATTGAAGCTGGGAATAGACTTTTTTCCCTCCCCCTTCATGACATATGTTAGGAGATGAAAGGAACCTGGGCTGTGTGTTTACTCTTCATTTGGGAGTTTCACATGTTCTGATTGATCGGAAAGACAAAAAGGCAGAAGGAGAGACATTTGGTGCTGGCTGAAAACCATATCCATTCTCAATGTGAAGTTTCCTTGTTTGGTGAGGATAATTGTGATGAGGCAGTTCTGGGTATAGACGCTACTAAAAGACTTTTAAAAATAACAGGCCCACCACCCAGTTTGAGTTCTTATGTAGCAAAAGAACAAACACAGATGGTGGCAGTAGGAATGGGGGCCGGGGTGGAAAAGGCCCTCCTAATGTGGGAGTTTACTAGTTATTAGCCCCAGTAATCTCTTCTGGCTGCCAGGACCTAAGCAGATGAGTTTAGCACATCACAGAGGACCACATGTAGGGTTTGATTCCTGATATGGACTAAGTGACTCTGGAAAAATTTTTACTCCCTGTGATTAGTATCAAAAGAAGATATTGGGTAGAGGAGAGGATAGACTATATTGTTCTACATGTTCTTGTTAGTTTCTAAAGGGGCATTTATTTAAGGGGGCATTGCAACCTGGGCAACATAGTGAGATGCTATCTCTACAAAAAAAAGAAATTAAAAAATTACCTGGGTGTGGTGACACATGCCTGTAGTTCCAGCTACTCAGGAGACTAAGGCAGGGGGATTGCTTGAGCCCAGGAGTTTGAGGCTGCAGTGAGCTATGACTGTGCTACTGCACTCCAGCCTGGGCAAGAGAGAAAGACCTTGTCTCAAAACAAAAACAGCAACAAACAACAACAACAAACAAAAGGGGCATTGCGATATACCACCTTGGACCAGGAAGAGAGGTGGAGTGGAGGATGAGTACTTGGCTCTTTCTATTTGCATGGGATCATAGGCTTATTATTTCCTTCTTATTTCCATATTGGGGACTACCAAAATACGAAATAATTTTATAAGCATAATTATTTGGCAAGAGGATGGGCTGGATGGTGGAAATATTTTGCCCATAGCTAAAAGTTTCATGCAATAAATGCGGTATGCTGTTGAACGATGATGATACATTCCTATTAGCTGGGACAGTTATGGCCATAACATTTAAAGAAGGTTTAGTCAGAATAGACAAGGGCTGGTGTGGCCAGAGGAAAGCCCCTGGTATTGGGTGGGACCATTTCCATGGTAGGGAGAATGTCCTTGGCCACAATTGGATTCATACTGTACACACGCTATTTGACACAATACTATGTTTTTCCTTACTTTATTAAGTACTGACACTTGTAATGCCTTAGCCCCAGGGAAAGAATCTTTTTCTCTCCTTCTAGTATTACATGTGCTGTTGGGATCTGGGAGAACCCTGTTTCTGTCACTTGTGCTCTAACTTCCTTGGGTGACAGCAATTGAAAATGGATTCAATTGTTTGCAGAAATGAAGTGTTGGAACCCACCTTTATATATATTCCCCCACTGCTTATAAGGGTATCTGAGAGAAGTCCCCAGTACAGTAATATAAGCAAAATACATGTTCCCTGTAAGACCCAGTGATGTCTCAGGGTGCCTCCATTTTTATGATAGTCATCATAGTAACCCACTACTCTTTGAGTGTTTGACATGTGCTAGGCTCTGTGCTACATGCCTTCCACACTTTATCTCATCTGAGCCTCGCCATTCTGTGAAGTGGATACTTTCATGCCATTTTATAGATGATGTCACAGATAGTGACTTGATGTCCTGTGGAGAATCATTGGTTTTTGGCTACAAATATTTGGAGGCTGTGGAGGCAGGAGGGGAAACGGTTTATATAGAAGTCTCTGAATAAATTCATTATCTCCTCAATACCTTCGCATTTATATAACTAGTTTTAATGGATACTTCAGTATTTAGCCTCTATTGTTTGGGATATCACAGAAACATGAGGCACAATCTCTGCCCATAAGATACCTCTAATCTAGTAGATGCATAGGAATAGAACATGAAAATACCACCGTGTGAAACAAACTTGCATTTGGCCTCTTGTGTATGATTAGCTAGTCTTTCTGGGCCTAAGCTGCTTTTTTTAAAAACTAGGTGTTTGGACTAGATTAGAGGTTAGCAAACTTTTTCTGTATAAAGGGCCAGATAGTAAATATTTTAGGCTTTGCAGGCCATATGGTCTCTGTCATAACCATTTAACTTTGCTATTATAGCATGAAAGCAGACAAATATATGTAACAAACAGGCATGGCTGTGTTCAAATTAAACTTTGTGTATAAAACAATTGAAAATAAAAATCAGAGATGCTGGAGAGGATGTGGAGAAATAGGAATGCTTTTACACTGTTGGTGGGAGTGTAAATTAGTTCAACCATTGTGGAAGACAGTGTGGCCATTCCTCAAGATCCAGAACTAGAAATACCATTTGACCCAGTGATCCCATTACTGGGTATGTACCCAAAGCATCATAAATCATGCTACTATAAAGACACATGGACACGTAAGTTTATTGTGGCACTATTCACAACAGCAAAGACTTGGAACGAACTCAAATGTCCATCAATGATAGACTGGATTAAGAAAATGTGGCACATATACACCATGGAATACTATGCAGCCATAAAAAAAGATGAGTTCATGTCCTTTGCAGGGACATGGATGAAGCTGGAAACCATCATTCTGAGCAAACTATCACAAGGATAGAAAACCAAACACCGCATATTCTCACTCATAGGTGGGAACTGAACAATGAGAACACTTGGACACAGGGCAGGGAACATCACACACTGGGGCCTGTTGGGGGATGGAGGGCTATGGGAGGGATAGCATTAGGAGAAATACCTAATGTAAATGATGAGTTGATGGGTGCAGCAAAACAACGTAGCGCATGTATACCTATGTAACAAACCTGCACGTTGTGCACATGTACCCTAGAACTTAAAGTATAATAAAAAAAAAGGTATAGCCCAATTGAGATATACTTTAAGTACAGAACACACACTGGATTTTGAAGACTTAGAATGATAAAATATAAATTATCTCATTAATAATGTTTTCATTCATTGCATGTGAAATAATATTTTAGATGTATTAGGTTAAATAAAATATTTTTAAAAATTAAAAATAAAAATCAGGTGGGCTGGATTTAGCCCATTGCTGATCAGGTGATGATGCCTATAGGCCTTTCTGGCTGGAAAATGCTATAATTTATTTCTCCGTATTCCACATTGATTCCAGCTTTGGAGTATGGGGACATTTCTTTGGCTTTTCTCTTCCTGAGGAGGAGTCTATAAGAAATGGCAATAGAAGTGGTCCTGGAGAGGCACCAGGAGGGATTCCCAGCAATGTTCTGATTGAAATCACAATGGGAGAAAGCCATTAAAAAAGGTGGGGAGAAAGGTCCCATTAATCAGAAATGGGCACTGCTGTTTTAGTTGGAGATCTGGCTATTAGCTCAGCAGGAAGACAAGGAAGACAAGATGGGGTAGGCTGGAAACATGGATTTCCCAGAGGCAGAATGCTAAAAAAATTCTTTTTAGAACAAAGTTGTTATATAAATCCTTATGTAAGTCTTAGAATCCAAGACATAGTCAATAATGAAATTTTGCTCGTATTAGTAAACACAGTCTAACATAACAATCTAACATAAGCATAATAATCTAACACAATGTAAAGAAATTTGATTTTTGTAGAATCTATCTTTTCCATTTGAAAACTCTATCATGTATTATTTCCATATATTTGAATAACTAGATTTTCCAAGACATTAGAATATATGCACAATTGTAGGACTCTTTCTGTTGCAAGTGACATAAAAACCCTGCTCAAACTGACTTAAAAAAAGTAATATATGGGCTTGGAATATAGAACACTGCAAGGGAATACTGGCTTTGGCTGGGAGGGTCTGATCCAGAATATCAAATGAGGTCATCAGGGCTTAGTTTCTTTGTCTCTTTCATTTGTGCCTTTCCCCGCCACTTCTGTTGGTTAAGCTTCATCTTCAGGCTGACTTCTCCCTGGGTAGCAGGATGCTATCACAAGACTCGACTCTTTATATGACCAAATATAGCTAAGGAGCAAGAGCTCTTTGTTCTCAAAAGCCCTAGCATAGTCTCCTCATGTCTCCTTGGCTCTGACTGGGTCATGTGGCCATTCCTAAACCAATCTCTGCAGCCTCAGCCAAGTTGGGCCCACCACATGGTCAAAATGGTGGAGGAGAGATTCCCCAAAGGAGGGCTGAATTGCAATTGCCAAAAAGAGGAAGATGATTGTTGAATGACAAACAGCAGATGTCCAGAGCAATGATACTTCATAATTTTCAAAACACTTTTATGAAGACTAACTCATTTGATTTTACAATGATTTCATGAGAATATCTTTGTCAGGTGTTATTATTTCCATTTTCAGATGAGAACACTAAGGCTCAAATGACGACTTCTTCGAATTTGCAGAGTTGGTGAAGGAGGTTGTGTTACCTTTTCTCTCTTAGTGATGTGATATCTGACCACTGTACAACAGAACCATTACCTCTCCTGTTTTGGACTAGATGTCTATTACTGTCATCTAAAATTCTGTTAGCATTTTGGGCAGCCATATCACACTGGCTTCTCCTGATTTTAAGGCACACACTAAAACCCCGCTAGTTTTTCACGTGATTTCTGGTAAAACATAATGTAGCTAAAATGGCATTTTGAACTTAAGTGCAGGGTTATGTTTATTTTTGTGATATTTCATATAAATTGTTTTCCGTTGCTCCAGCCTAGCAAGAACCTTTGAGTCATGTGGAATTCAAAATATTAACTATTTCTCTCAGATTTATGCCACCTTAAAATTTAACCAGCATTACTTATTTTGTCTTCCAAGTAATTGCTAAGAGGATTGAACAATAAAGATAGGTAATATTGATTAATTACTAATTTTAATCTGGAATGAAGCCTCTAGTGCTACGTCACAGGACTCTTTGGTTGTTCTGCAGCTTTATAACTGATATGGATGGAGGCTAAATTGATATATTGAAAATGCAAATCACTTCACAGATGGAGGATGTCTTCTCATTTGACCTCTTGTCTCACATTTCTAATATTGCAACATTTTGAGATGAAATGCCAAATTATTGGCCTAGAGTCAATGGTAACTATGATTCTGTAAAACCCCTGTATCATTTATCCTGGATACAGTCAGGAAAATTGTAGCTCCTCAGTTAATGTTAAATGCCTGCAATGACAATAATAATAATAAGATAATCACAATGGTGACAGAGCCTCGCAATCTCTGAACATTTGGTAGTAAAGTCCACAACATGTACTCCCCTAGGGGCTTAATTTTCTTTTTCAGATTAGAACAGTGAAATTCTATAACTCAAATGTAAGCTATACAAAGATTTGACTAGAAATATTATCTAGGACTTTTGATTGCCAGTCCAAGGATGCTCAGGCGGGAGAGTGGTGGGTGGGTATTAGAGTCACAGTCATCTGCTGGTAGGAACCAGAGTGAGGCTTTTAACCCCACATACTCCCATCACAGAACTTTAATTTGGGTTTCATTCAAATAGCTTCAGAGAAGGATGAGAGATTTTTATGCATACTAGAATCAGTTATTATTATAATTGATTTAAACAAGATTGAGAAACAATCATTGTAAAGCTTAATTTCTCTAAAAAGACTCCTTTTAGGATTGGTTACAGCCACAGGGCAGACAGGCATGCTGTTACCGCCTCTTTGGGAAGGTGTGGGGAGGGGGCCCTGTTGCTTTCCCCGAGAGGACCACTCCCAGCACTTTCTGTGAAATAGACGAAGGTGACCAGTCGTCTTCTTCCCACGATGACGCGAGCACAGCTATTCCTGGGTTCTATTTACTTCTCCTGTCTCTGCTCCCTCGCCCCCACACTTAGATCTTGTAGAAATGCTGCCACTACTTAGGTATTTCATAGAGAAATTTTGCTTTCAAACTGTAATGAATAGGTTTCAAAGAAAGTGAATGAAAGCTATTCTTTTCTTCCCTTTTCTATGAAGCGATTAGCCATGCAGTCTGGAAAACAGTTGCTATTTAAAAGTAAAAATATTTAGAGAGCAAACATCCTTCCTCTCTTTCCAACTACACTCAGAAAACAGGACAACAGCAGCTTTCTCCCCTCCTGTTCAGTGCCATGGCCCACCCCTCCTCTCCCAGTGTCTCCCTGTGCCCCCCTTTCTCATGCCACTCCTTCCTAGCTACGAGAAAAGATTATCAAGGTGATAATAAGCAAGAAAATGTTCCAGCCTTGTTTTAAGCCTCAGCCACATTGCACTGCTTAAACGAGGTTAAATGCCTTTGTGAACCTGTGTTTTCTAGCCCCTTGGCCATGCAGCCCTAAGCCAGGCTGATCCAGCCTTGTCTCGCCCCTCTCTGCAAGAGACTCGTGGGTACAGGATGATTGAGGGGGCCCCAGCCTCCCCAGCAGCTGCTGACTTGCGCTTGGAAATTCAATCCTCTCAAGGTAATTCCTCAGCTTATAAAAAACTTCTGGCAATGAATTCTGAATTTGATGCCTCCCACTCCAGGCAGGATAATGGCAGACTCGCTGACTTCCACAGACACTGAGCCTGGAATGGGAAGGGAGCGTCATAGTGGATGAAGCACTTTTAAAGGCAGGACTTTTGTGGCCTCATTAGGAGATTTCTAGCTATTTCTAGAACACCAGTCTCAATCTTCTCTCTTCTGAGGTCCTCTAGATCCCAAATGACTTAGGGTCTGTCTGGGCCACCCCTAGGCTGCAAGTGGTCAAGGCTTGTACATCAGAGAGAGCAAAACCGTGCTTTAGTCTTCTCTTGGGTGGACCTGCCTGAGTTGCTTAGAGTGACATCTTGGTGCTAAGTTTGGAGACCAAACTAATTGTGAAAAATATATGGAGTTACCATGTGAGATCTGCCACCGCCTACAAGCTGGTGGACATGGACATCATCGCAAAAGCAGATGGGCTACCAGGCTCAGAGAAATCCCTCTCTGTGCACAAAAGTTGCCTAGAGATTCTGAAATAATCATCTGCCTTTAAGATTCTTTGGATCATTATTCTCAAGTTGTAAGAATTTTCCCTTCTTTCTCTTCACCACCCCAAAGACTGTCCAGTCCCCAAAGGCAGCAAATCCCTGTGGTGGTTGCAGATGCTGCTGTGACAGTCCTCAGCTTCCTCTTGGGGATGGCTTTGCTATGTGAGGTTTGAATGTCCTTATTGTCCCCTAAAGCTTCAGCTCGAAGTCTCAGGATGTGTTTTGGTGAGTGCAAAACCCAATAGTCATTGAACCCTTGATAATCTTTTATGCCCTGTAGAAGTATGTTTTTATTCATCCGTTTCTTCAGGAGGTAAGAAATAAAGCTGTTCCATTCTAGGCATAAATTAGCATTTATAACAATGCAGTGCAAAAAAATGTAATTTAAATAGAACTGATTAGAATTTTGATAGGGCACCAAGGAACTTCTAAACAAATGCTGATCAGGTAATGAGTGGGACAAGTCATTTATTTTAGTGGTTCAGTTATCTGTTCAGTGATTGGGTCACAGTTTCCCAAACATATACGGTGACTGTTCATTAATTATGCACTTCTCACTCAGTAATTGTCCAATTTAACTAAAAACTGTGAGCTTATAGGCAAAGCCACAGAGGACAGCAGAGGGAAAAAGTAACAACCTAGATAAAAGTATATTTTCTTTTTGTAATAACATTTACTAACTCAAGGACTGGGCGAGAGGGAAGCTATTGTTAGACTTTGGCCTTGGTCTTGTCTTTATACAACAGACTAAATTGCTCCCCATTTGTTAAGCAGGGACATTTAAGCTCCAGAGTGCCGAGCTTTGCAAATGAGGCTACACGAGTTGGCATTCAGCCTGTCTTCGCAGGTATAGCCTCACCTTTGGATCAGTCTGCAACATGACGAACGCTATTAGTTGAATCACACGTTTTTCTTCAGGTGCATCATCCTGGAAAATGTTCTGAATCAGTCTGAAAGGTTAATATGCAGGATTTTTCTCCTTTGATAGGTTGGAGGTTTTTCTTTTATTAAGAAGAATGGAATGTTTCCTTGTTATTTCATGGTAGTCCAGCTCACATCTGGCACATTCTTGATATGGTGGCTCCTCCACTGTATCATTAGTCAATGTTCTGTTTTACTTATTGATCATCTTTACTGGTAATGAAAAATCAGTTTATCACCCATGTTGTCTCGATATAATCTGGATGTTAGTAGGATGTCACTTTCTGGAATGCAGATGAGAAATTAAGCCTAGGAAAGGTAATAATTTAAACAGGTAATAATTTGCTCAGGATGAAACATTGTTTGTAAAGGAAGAATCACCAGTCTGTTATAGTACTAGTGTTGTCCACCTCACCCCAGGTATTTTCAGGTGTTTTCTTGTATGAAGGACTTCCAGGCATGTAGCTCTACAACGAGAGTCCTGCTTTGAATGAGCACCTACTGTATGAGACAGGTGAGAAGAAAGGGCTAATGTAGTCCCATGGTCTGGTGGGCTAATGCTTGGCACAGTGATTTGTGTGAGTGACACTTGTCTTTATTTATGTTGCTGCCTGAAAAGAGAACACCTTCTGTCCTCCTGTCCTTTGGGTAATGGCTGAATGCAAAGCAAGCATCTAAGGCAGTACCCAGTGGAGGCATCTAATACATTGCTCGTCATTACTGAATTAATAAAGCTGGGGACTAGATAAGGCCCAAATGCAGGCAGTAGAGTGACAAGTGGGTGTACAGAATTTCCTTCCTGTTGGAAAACAACAGCAAATATCTCCCAGAGAGACTCTTTGTTGCCCAAACTTACTGTACCAATGGGGAAGAAAAAATGAAAGTTTGTCATTGCTGGAAGAATTTACAGTGTTCTAGCTTCGTGTTTGTAAAATGTGACCATCATTTGAACACCTATGTCTTCTAACATGTGTCAATCCATTTTACAGCTGAGTAAACTAAGGCAAAGGGGTTGGGGGGAAAGATTGCCATACTCACAAAATAATTCTGAGGCCCGGGAGAAATAAGGACCAACTGTCCACCTCAAAGCAAGTTTAAACTGCCTTTGCTCATGCATATCCCTGTGCCTCTCTTTTAAAATAAAGTGAAAAAGGAATGAGATATATTAGAGATTGCTGATATTATTTTCTACAGTGATGTTTTTGGTTTAATGAATTATGATATTTAGAATAGGCTAAGAGAATTTATTACCTTAAGACAAACCAATGGCAAATGGATAAAATATTTGGTTTGGGGTAATTTATTTCCTCTGCCTATGTTAACTCTTGAGCAATTAACTAGATTATTTCCCTAATGTGAACAATGACTATATTCATACTAAACAATTAATTGAACAATTGTTCCAGGGTAAGCACTTACTTTATTATTTTTTCCTTCTCCTCATGTCACCTCCTTTTCCACACAAGCCTGGCTCTCTCTGTAAGAGCAATTTCCACAGCATAATGACTATGTGAAGATTGTAAGATCTCAAAAAATCATAGCAAGGAACTATGGCTGCACATTTATTCTCAGCAGATCTCCACATATCTTTGGATTTTTATGTTGTGCTTACTTTACAATCACTGAGTTCCATGTTATAATGTCTCCATTATTTTGGTGGGCATATTAGAGCTGATTGTTTCTCTCAGCAGCCTTCAACCGCCCCCTGTGAGACCTCCACAGCTTACCTTATCATAATATTGGAAAGCAATTTCTCTTGACTGCTGTGAACCAACGCCGGAAATCCAAAATGCTGCTACAGTCATTAAGTGATTTCCAATTAGTTAATTGGTTTCACAGGCTGCTTCTCTCTAAACTGCACCTTAAATGAAAAGCAGAACCATCCATTTTTGAAAGAGGAAAAAGTCCTGGGGCCTTTGGTTTTTAAAATCCTAAAGCACAGCATTCTTTGGAAGAAACTTCAGTAAAAACACCAGTCCTACAGAAGAGAAAATGTTATTACTATTACCCTAGAAAAAGAATGGAATCACTCTTTTGGCTTTCCCACATTGTCCAGGGTTTATTTTGCCCACTTTAACATTAGATCAAAGGAAGACAGACAGATTATCACAGAACAGCACAGCACATGGAGACTTTCTTGATCAACACTAGTTCTTTTCTAGGGAAGCTTCCTGAGCCTCTGTGTTAGGTGCCCCAGGGCTGTTTAAGCTTGGCTGCTCTGGGATGCTATATTAAACCTCACTGAGCAGTAGGGGAGAGTGCTTGAGAATGGTTCTGCAAGAAGCTGCTTTTTGGAATGGGAATGGGAGGTGATTATGTCTATGGACTGACAAAGGGAATGGATTGAAGGAAGCATGAGAAGTTGGTCTAGAATATTTCTTGTCAACACACATGTTGTTAATGTTAATGGTGGGGCCATAAACACAAGTTGTGAACAATATTTGATTTACACAATGGGGCAAATAAAATAGGATAAACACCCAAGAGGGTAAATAGGATAATAACTGATTTACCCAGTAGGGTAAATGTTTAATCTGTTTTCCCTGATAGAGAAAACTTGGCTTTAATAGTAGATAAAATGCATACAAAAATAAATGCAAATTTTCCTCTCTATTAGACAAAGATGCAATCCATCAAATCAGAAACTGCGGAGTGTAGTAGCTAGAAGCATGGACTCTGGAGCTGGACTATCTGCGTGGACATCCTGATAGTCACTTTCCAGTTGTGAGATTTTGGGCACGTTTGCTCCAGCCTCCTGGGAAGTGGAGGACAAGGATGATACCATCCTCACAGGGTTGTTATGAGGAGTAAACTGGTGGTTACGGAGCTAGAGGTCATCATCCTAAGCAAATTAAAGCAGGAACAGAAAACCAAATACTGCATGTTCTCATAGATAAGTGGGAACTAAACATAGAGACACATGGACATAAACATGGGGACAACAGGCACTGCGGGCTACTGGAGGAGAAGGGAGGAATGGAAGGGGCTGTGGGTTGAAAAACCACCTACTGGGTACTATTCTCACTACCTGGGTGCAATATACCCATGTAACAAACCCACACATGTACCCCCTGTATCTAAAATAGAAGCTGAAATAAAACAAATCCCTTAGAACCAGAGCTGATACATTCTTAAATAAACCAAATTTTATAATATGGCATGTTTTGAAAGATTCACCTTTTGATCTCTCCTTTGAAGAAAACCTCTCATTTTATGGTTAATTATCCATGAGAACCAATTCTCCAAGGAGGGCAATAGATAAGATGCCGCCGGCCCCATCAGTTGGTCAGTCCATCTGTCAGTCACCTGTACTCCCTGCCATCAGCTCTTTAAGTCAATTTCATTCCTCCAAACTCACCCAGTGCCTGATCTTTTTGTTAAAGAGTAATGCTTATGTATAGAAGTAGATTAAATTGGAAAGGTAGAGGAGGCAGTGATTGGAATATTGGGTCAGAAAAAGGCAATGAGCTTCATTGTGTGTTCTTGTGTGTGTGTGTGTGTGTGTGTGTGTGTGTGTGTGTGTGTGTGTGTGGAGAGAGAGAGAGAGGAGACAGACACATAAACACACAGACACAACCCAGAGACACACATATGCATACACAGCCGGTAGGAACAGAAAAATCTTCCATGTGAGCAGGGACCATGCATGAGAGAATCAGTTCACTGGTGAGAAGGAAATCAGGGATGCGAGAGGGGTAAGGGAAGCAAAGAAAGGAGCTGAGGACGGAAAGCCCCATCCCTGGCTCTGGTGCCTTCGTGTCAGCTTTAGAAGCAGTTGGTTCATCATTTCAGCAGCCTGGAGTCCTTTAGTAATGACTTTATGGATTAAAATTTAAAACCAAATTAAATGTGTTTACAAAACAGCACCCACACTGAATTGATAACGAGCTGCCAAAGTTGGGCTTGTAATGATCTCAATCCAGAGCTCTGACATGCTGCACGTGCCGGTGATGGTCCGAGTGCTGTTCACGTGGGTAAAACTGCAGCCACCCTTTATCCTGTGTCATTCCCCCCTCCTGCCGCCCTCCCACCCCGGCCCCCGGCCTAAGTGTAGCACTTTTAGGTGATATGCTGGTAGGCGCGAGTAATGCATTTATTTATAGGCACATATTTGCTGGTCTTGAGAGTAGTAACTCTGTTAGAAATTTGTTAGCTTTTTTTGGTTTGTTTTTAAAATTTTTCTTTTTAGGTTTCCTTATGCAGCACATCCATTCTGGCTGAAACCATGTTTTGAGAATACTAAGTATAGGGAAATCTCGTAATTACATATGATTTTTGATATTGTGTACTTTGAAAGTGAAATGTTTTCAGGGATGATGGGTCCCTCTGCCTCCTTCCCCTGCAGCTCCTTCATTTCTAACCACCTTGTTATTTCAGAGAGGGAGAATCTTTCATTCCGGTTTTATGGAATAGAATGATTTTTCTACTCATATTTTGTTTTTAGAACAAGAACTGCTCTTTCAAGTTGTTAATCAGTATAAAGGAAAGGAGGCATCAAAGGGAATGCTGTTGTGTCCTTTCTAAAGGGAGCAATATGTTTTCTTGTAATGAAGTATATCGATAGATTTATTTCTATGGTCCATGAAGACAATTAGGACTCAATAAATATTAAATCAATCAGCAAATAACCTTTTCCTGCCCTCGAGGAACTTATGATCTACTGAAACAAGATGAATGGCACGCATCTTTATCTTTTTAACATCCTTTTGCCCTCTATTTATGGGAAACAAACTCTCAAGAATTCCCATCCAGGGATCCTGAAGAGGTTTGGCCTGTTATCCACTTAAAATCATTTATCAGCCAATGAGAAGATGCTTTGGAGTTATTACCTGAGCAGCAATATTGCATGTGAAATGGCTCCCTTAAAAAAGAGTTAATTTCTAAAAACAACACCAGAACTAAAGACTGTGTGGCTGATGGTGATGGCCGAATGGTCTGCAGTGTGTCTGCAGGGTAAGGAGAGGGGCGCGGGTACTCTGGGATAAGACTCTGTCATCTGTTAATCTCAAGACGTAAAACCACAATTCAATTACATGGGATTCCATGCTAATATTCCTCTTGTCAATGGCTTTTCTGTTTCAGAAGGTAGCAGAATCCCACCGTAGAGTCAATGTGTGTCTAAAGCCCGATTAACTGTATTGTGGTGCACATGGAATATTTAGTCTCTGGATATTATTTATGTTGAGACAGGAGCAGTCTTGGGGGACTGGAGATGCATTAAACCCCACACAATTAACAGACAATCTTTTCCTTCCAGAGAGGCCCTGTGTTGCTGTCTGGGCTCCGGTGGCCCTGGGTAAGCTCTTGGCTTCTTCCTGACCTGCAGTAAGCCTGCTCTTCCTGCTTACGATGCATTAGAAAGAAACAAAATGAGCTTGTTTGAATCGATATTGGGCATTAAGCAGCTTCTGGGCTTTATGTCAGGGTCTCTGGTAGGAGAGGTTATCTTCTGTTTCCACTGGGGTTTGGGTGGCAGGAAATTTAAGACAAAATGGGCTAGAAGTTTAATCCTGGGATGCATTTAGTCTTGTGACTGTTAGCTGGCTCTCAAGTTTTTACGAAGTGCCTTAGTCAACAGGAGGGAAGGCGATGTCCTCAGTTAACATCTCATCTTTTCCCACCGCTCTGCCTCTTTTAACCTTGCCCCTTTCACCTGGAATGTGCTTCCTTCTCCCTTGAGATGCCCAATCTCAGCTCATTCTTCAAGAGACAGCGAAAAATGCCACGTTGGTCTTCCTTGGTGCCTTCCTTCATTAACTCTGTAACCACCCACCTCCCCACAAAAAAAACATACCCAGGAAGCATCATAGTATTAAAAAAAGCCGACTTTTTTGGACTAGATAGGTCTGAGTTTACCTTCTAGACCTTACAGTTAGTAGGTGTGCTCACCTGATAAGGCTACCTGTCCACTTTTAGCTTTGCTTTTCCTTAACTGTAAAATGGGGATGATGCCACTAGGGTTTTTAGGAGAATTAAATGATGTATTAGTCTGTTTTCATGCTGTTGATAAAGACATACCTGAGACTCATTTATAAAGAAAAAGAGGTTTAATGGATTCACAGTTCCACGTGGCTGGGAAAGCCTCACAACCATGGCAGACATGGCCTCATGTCTTACGTGGCGGCAAGAAAGAAAGAAAGAGAGCCAAGCAAAAGGGGAAACCTCTTATAAAACCATCAGATCTGGTGAGACTTATTCACTGCCATGAGAACAGTATGGGGGAAACTGCCCCCATGATTCAGTTATCTCCCACTGGGTCCTTCCCACGATGTGTGGGAATTATGGGAGTACAATTCAAGATGAGATTGGGTGGGGACACAGCAAAACCATATCGAATGATGTCACCAAGTACAGGGCCTGGCAGAGAATACTCTATAGATGTTATTCCTTCAGTTTTCCCTAGTTCATTCAGCTAACCGTAATTCTTAATCTTTTTGGGGTCATGGATCTGTTTGAGAATCTGATGAGAACTATGGTTTCTTCTCTCAGAAAAAAACATACATGTAAATACATATAAAAATTTTCAGACCGGGCGCGGTGGCTCATGCCTGTAATCCCAGCACTTTGGGAGGCCGAGGCGGGCGGATCACAAGGTCAGGAGTTCGAGACCATCCTGCCGAGCATGGTGAAACCCCGTCTCTACTAAAAATACAAAAAAATTAGCCAGGCGTGGTGGCGGGCACCAGTAGTCCCAGTTACTCGGGAGGCTGAGGCAAGAGAATGGCGTGAACCCAGGAGGCAGAGCTTGCAGTGAGCCAAGATCACGCCAATGCACTCCAGCCTGGGCGACAGAGTGAGACTCCATCTCAAAAAAAAAAAAAAATGTTCAGACAATTCTAGGAACTTCAGGGATCACTAGATCCCTATAGTCCCAATAAGAATCCATTAGGGGTGGTTTTGATCCCTAAGGGGTTAATCACCCCCACTTCCTTCCAATAGCCAATTTATGCAAAACACCTGAAAAGGGACCTGCCACTTAGGAGGGGCTGAACAAATACTAGTCAATCTGCCAGTTTCTAAATTACAATTAGAACTCACCCCATACCTGGAGAAAATCTAGCTCTAATTTTTCCTTATATTTAGTTTTGAGAAGCTGTCGTGTGCAAGTGACAGAAATACCTCTGAGCAGAGAGTCTAGTCCTTGACTGACATGTCTTCCAGCTGGCCTGCCATACCTTGTTTGAACAAATTTGGCCTTTTCAAAAAAATATTCCCTTTCTTGTCGTACTCTACCCTGCAGTCCTGTGTGTGCTGCTACCCAGCCAGGATTTGTGTTCTGCTGACATCTCTCTCTCCGCTCCCTGTATGGAATTTATAGCAATTATCCTTTGGTTGGTCCCAGTGTCTGTATTTTGGCAGGCCGCCCTGTCTTCCATGTGATAACTGCTTTGCAGACAGTGCAGCCGAGGCTCTGCCAAAGCCTAATGTCACCCTTTGTCAGATGCTGTCTGGGTCCAAGGGTCACCGACACCTGCCCCTCCCCTCCTCATGTCTGCTGGTGCAGGTTCCCCTTGCACTATATTTAAAAGCACACAATGCTGTGTGGGGCTGGCTGTGATCCAGTTCATTTGAACAAAGTTAGCAGTGAACCTGGATAATTCAGGCACCTCGAAATGTTTTTTATGGCCCGCACTACCTGGATTGGTTTGTCTGGCTGTGTACTGCAAGTAAATGAACTGGATAATCGCCGTATTTCTATTCCACTCCGTGCTGTGTAGCCTGTGCCTCTGGAAACAAAAGTTTTCTCTAAAACAAAGTCATTTCTCAAGAACAATTATGCCCCCTGGGGGTGAATATCTTTGTCAATGTGTGCCAAAGTATGACTAAACAAATTGGCTCAAAAAGTAGGTTTTCCCCATTTGACTTTCATTTGATAGTTTCATCAAAGATCAATGAGGACAACAGAAACCTCTAAAAACAAAAACCAAACCAAAGTTTTCTCCCCACTTCCCCTAAGTCCTTCTTATTGATGTGCTCCAAGCCAACTGTATGTTTCAGGCTTTATTTTGTTATTCTATGGCTGCATTTATTTTATTTTAATTAAAAATGTAAAATTTGTATATATTTGGGGGTACATGTGTAGATTTCTTACATGCATATATTGCATAGTGGTGAAGTCTGGGCTTTTCGTGTATCCATCGCCTGAATAGTGAACACTGTGTTCATTACTCAAATAGGTAAGATTTCAACCCTCACCCCCTTCCCACCCTCCCACCTTTTGTAGTCTCCAGTGTCTACTATTCCACTGTGTATACCCATTGCATATTCATTCTTATAAGTGAGAACATACATTATTTTACTGTCTGTTTCTGAGTTATTACACTTAGGATAATGGCTTCCAGTTCCATCCATGCTGCTACAAAAGACATGATTTCAGTCTTTTTTATGGCTACGTAATATTCCATGGTATATATGTTTTCTTTACCCAGTCCTCTGTTGATGAAGACTTAGGGTGATTCTGTCTTTCCTATCGTGAATGGTGCTGCAATAGGCATACAAGTGCAGGTATCTTTTTGATGTAATGATTTCTTTCCCTTTGGATATATACCCAGTAGTGGATTACTGGATCAAATGGTAGTTCTATTTTTAGTTCTTTGAGAAATCTTCATAAGGTCTTTATGGCTGCACTTTAGGCATCTGCATCAGTGCATTTAAAGATGCTGTGGAGCACTGCTTTTCAAACTTTAATGTGCATTCAGATGAACTGGTAATCTTGTTAAAATGCAGATTCTGATTCTGTGGATATGGGGTGGGACCTGAGAGCCTGCATTTCTAGCCAGCTCCCAGGTGATGCCATTGTTACTGGTTCATGGGCAAATCTTAGAGAAGTGAGACTATAGCTTTCTTCCGCAAGATACCTGCACACAGCCATCAAGCCTGTCCCAACACATGCCAGCCTATGTGACCTCTTTAGGTTCTCTACCTGGCCTGCTGTTTGTCATAACCCAATTCTGTTTTCTTACAGCAAATCTTAGTGAAAAGGCTCTGGTCTTGAGAGAAGAGCCATCAAATTTTAATGAAATCAAGGCGGTATATACCTAGACACAAGATATTATCCACAAAGACACCTCTTTACCTGCAAGCCCTCATTGGCTTCTCACTAGTTATCTAAACTTCTAAGTAGAAAATCGTTCATTACTCAAATTTAGAACAGCCTAGAAAAGTACAATGAATGTTAATTTTCAAAGTCTTGAGTATTGAGGTAGCAATTTTTGGAGCTTTAGTTCAAGACAAGAACATCTCTGCTCATATCTATTCATTCTTTTTGCCACTCCTATTAAATGTCATTCTTTTTTGTTTGTTCGATTTATGTTTCTTAGAAAACCACCTGAACTGTTTTCTGGAATGAATTGGGTGTATATTAGCAAATTATTTATGTAAACATTTATTCTTTCAACACTGAGTGTCCACTATGTATAAAAAATTGTGGTAGTGACTTTGCTTCTAAGTTAATAAAGCAAACCATTAACCTCTGTGGGTTTTCATTTCACATCTGAATAATGAAGGGCTGGACTGGATGATCCTGAGCTGTCTGAGACTGTGTCATTCTAAGAACTGGGAGAAGCTGAAGCAATAACATTCTGCCTGTTTGTGGCTTTTTACTGTCCAACACAAAGGCTTTTCTTAGCTTTTTCTTTTCCACAGTGAAGCAGAGAAGGCACGAGCTTTCTGTTTGTGTGTTTCATGGCCATGTGGCGATAAATAAGGAAGCAGTGCTTCCCTATGGTAACGTGGCTTTTTTTTTTTCTTGAGTAGAAAAGTATTCCTATTAAAAAAAATCCTACACAGTATTTCTATATGTAAAAGTGAGCCTATCACGTGGGCCTTCCCTTGCCCCCCAGGGTGGTTCCAAAGACACCCTAGATCTCTGTGGAAGACAGATGGAAAACCACTGTCCTTAAGTAAGTTCTCTAAGAGCCAGACTCCAAACTGCTCCATGCTGTTTCTGTGTAAATAGTGCTGGGGGTGGGAAATCTAATTTAGGAAATAAATGTTTCAGGGCATGGAAATCTGAGTACGTCTAGGGACATGAGGAATGAGGAGTACAGAGGGGCCATTTCCTTTTGAGGACAGTAAGGGAAACAGGTAGGGCCTGGCACCTGTGCACAAAGCTGAACAGAGCAGGCCTTTAACACCTCACAGTTCTTCCCGTGCAAGGGATGGATTTTATTTTCATAAGGGAGACGCTGACCTCTGGGCTGGGCTTGAAGCAAGAATGAAGGGTGGAGAGAGAGCAGGAGAGAGGGAGAAGGAGACAGAGAGAGAGAGAGAGAGAGAGGAGAGGAGAGAGAGAGAGAGAGAATGGGAGAAATGTACCCAGTCTTTACTCCCTGGAGAGAGAGAGAGAGAGAGAGAGAGAATGGGAGAAATGTACCTAGTCTTTACTCCCTGCAGAGAGAGAGAGAGAGAGAGAGAGAGAGAGAGAGAGAATGGGAGAAATGTACCCAGTCTTTACTCCCTGGGTCTGGTGGGCAGGAAATTAGGCAGAGCTGCTGGGAGCCTATGATGGATGGTGCGGAGGGGCCTCTCCTGTCCTTGTACTGCATCCGTTCCGTTCACATTGGGTTGGCTTTGGAAGTCCCAATCTGCAAACTACAGGGGCTGGGTAAAGACTCTAAATCAAGTATTTCTGTCTTTACTGACCCTGTTGTCTGTGAAATGCTTAAGCACTGAGTGAAAAGAGGAGTCCTAGTTTTTACTTAAGCCAGTGGAGCATAAGCCATGTTATGGCCTTTAGGCAAATGGCTTTTTACTATATATATATACACACACACACACACACACACACACACACACACACACACACACAGAGACACACTTCCTCCCCCCCACACCCTTTTCTTACAGTATGACTAAAAGCGAAGTGTTCCTTTTCTGCTGTTGTGAAGGCTGCTGTCTACTTGAGTTGCTTCTGTAGCAAGAACAGTCAGTGTCATTAATTTTTTCCCTGTACTGTGTGGGCTGGGAACATGAAACTGACTTGATTGATCACATTGCCACTTCAAAACAGGAGGCTTCAGAGGCAGGTGGGTGAGTGGGTTGGTGAAATACTTCAGAGAGTTAATGCATTTGTGTAGTTATCAGCAGTACCACCCTTTGGTAGATGGATGACAGTTTGGATCAGCTTGAGTGTGAGGGGCTGGGGTAAAAATCAAGATGGAAAGAGAGAAGTGAGGTGAAACTAAAGGGAGAAAATGACTGTGCCTCAGCCCCACTAAAGCTGTGATTATGACCTGGACAGTGGGTGTTCCCTTGAAAGGAGAGCATGGGCAGATTTGTGCATGACTGGAGGGTGAGCCAGGGTAGGGATGGAGCTGGAAATCATATCTTATAAGGAAGAGATCACAGAACAAGCCTCTTTAATGGCAAAAAAGAAATTTCTACTTTTGTGTGTGTCCTCTTTATTGTATCAGTTCTTGAAAGGCTGTTGCAGTGAAGGGATTTGGGATTCTGTGTGGCTTCCAAGGAAGAATTGGAGCCTATTTTGGCTCCATTGAAAGAGGACTGTTTAAACCGAAAGGGCAGCTTCTTATAAGGGTGAATTTCTCCTCATGCCACAGTTCAAGCCAATGCTTTAAGGGATATGCATGGACTGGGATGTATTTGGCCTGCACGACCTCTAGAGGCCTTTAGAAGACTGTCAAAGATTCCATGACATTTCATAAATGTCCTCCCCATCTCCCATAACAACTCAAGGACAATTTCTGGCCTTCCTGAAACTATATATCCTACCCTGGACAGAATCTAGTTTTCTGTGAAAGTGGAGTCTTAATACAATAGCCTGTTTTCCCTTTAAGAAATAAGAAAATTGGCCAGACATGGTGGCTGACACCTGTAATGCCAGCACTTTGGGAGGCCAAGCCAGGCGGATCACCAGAGGTCAGGAGTTCGAGACCAGCCTGGCCAACATGGTGAAACCCGATCTCTACTAAAAATACAAAAAATTAGCTGGGCATGGTGGTGTGAACTTGTAGTCCCAGCTGCCTGGAAGGCTGAGACAGAAGAATCACTTGAACCCAAGAGGCGGAAGTTGCAGTGAACTGGGATTGTGCCACTGCACTCCAGCCTCCAGCCTCCAGCCTGGGCAACAGAGACAGAGAGACCCTGTCTCAAAACAAAACAAAAACAACCCCCTTCCCCCAAACACAAAACCCAAACAAACAAGAAATAAGAAAATTAAAAATCTTAGTTTCATGTAGTTGTAGTATAGGAGAAAGAACAAAGAGCTCAGAATCTAGATTGAGGTCCTAGCTCAAACATTTATTTGCTGCATGATATTGGGCAAAGCCTCAGTTTTTAAATTAATAAAATGGGCCTAATGTTATTACCCTTACAAGGCTGCTATAATCATTAACTGAGATAATATATGTGCCTGAGACAGGGCCTGGTACAGAGTAGTCACTCAATAAACGGAAGTTATCCTCTTTAATCTCCCAGACAATTAAAAATAATACAGCCAGGTAATGAAGCAGCTTAGGGACAAGGTTGGCTTATAAACATAAATAACCTCCATATTAGTTTTCTGGGTTTTTCTGTAAAAAATCACCACGAACTTGGTGGCTTAAAACAACACAAATATATTCTCTCACAGCTCTGGAGAACAGAAGCCTGACAGTAGGTGTCGGTAGGGCTGCATTCCCTCCCAAGAGTTGGGGAGAAAAATCCCTTCTCACCTCTTCCAGCTTCTGGTGGCCCCAGGTGTTTCTCAGCATTTGGCTGCACAACTCCCATATCTGCTTCCATTTTCACATGGCCTTGTCCATGGTGTCTGTCTTCTCTTCTTTGTCTCTTATGAGAATACTTGTCACTGGCTGGGTGCAGTGGCTCATGCCTGTAGTCCCAGCACTTTGGGAGGCTGAGGCAGGTGGGTCATCTGAGGCCAGGAGTTTGAGACAGCCTGGCCAACATGGTGAAACCCCATCTCTACTGAAAGTACAAAAATTAGCGGGACGTGGTGGCAGGCACCTGCAATCCCTGCTACTTGGGAGGCTGAGGAACAAGAATCGCTTGAGCCTAGGAGGCGGAGGTTGCAGTGAGGCAAGATCGTGCCACAGCACTCCAGCCTGGGAGACATAGTGAGACTCTGTCTCAAAGGAAAAAGGAAGAAAATCTTGTCATTGAATTTAGGGCCCACCTGGTTAATCCAGGGTGGTCTCATCTCAAGATCTTTAACTTAATTACATCTGCAAAGATAATTTTTCTAAATGAGTTTATGTTCACAGGTACTCAGGATTAGTTCCTGGCCATGTTTTTTTGGGGATCACCATTTAACACACTATACCATCTGTGAAGGGAATCTAGTGACAAATTATTGTCCTGGAGATGCCCTTCAATAGCCTTTCACTGTGCAGACACTGTGCAATAGACTCTGGTGAAATAGAAAAGGTGGTATTTAGGTTGGGGCAAGATACAAGCCATTGGCCTCTTCTTGGTGAGATTTCCCCTTCACACTGTATTTGTACTGTCTTTCTCCTTTCACTGAGTGTCTGGCTGCCCCTTCCACATTCTTCCCAACCCATTTAGGTTGAGTTAGACATAAGAAAAATGTCCACTGGAAGATTTGGATGAGGAAAGGGGGTGAGGGTGAAATGGTGTTGTGGTTCTGCTTTATATCCTTAGCTACCTGTTTACGTGGGACCAAACTGGAAACAATAATCTTTTAAATGATGGTTATCATTCCAAAGTTCTCCACCTCAACAGGCTACTTTGTATTGACTGTGATTCTCTATGGAATACAGTTTTTAAATTATTATTTATTATTATTTTTATTTTTAGACAGAGTGTCACTCTGTTGCTCAGGCTGAAGTGCAGTGGCACGATCTTGGCTCACTGCAACCTCCGCCTTCCAGGTTCAAGCAATTCTCATGCCTCAGCCTCCCAAGTAGCTGGGATTACAGATGTGCACCACCACGCCTGGATAATTTTTGTATTTTTAGTAGAGATGGGGTATTGCCATGTTGGCCAGCCTGGTCTCGGACTCCTGGCCTCAAGTGATCTGCCCCCCTCAGCATCCCAAAGTGCTGGGATTACAGGCATGAGCCACCATGCCTGGCCTGAGCCACCGTGCCTGGTGCAGAATGCAATATGGTCTTGAATTCAATTGCAAATGTAGCCAGAGGTCCCACTTGGAATTTAAGCTGTGTGCAACATGGGTTCAGACAAGTCTGGACAAGGCTACTAAACTGGAGTGGTGGGGGACCAAGGGAGGGCTTCTGACAGCCCTTAGTGCTGCTTGGCATGAAGGACCCAGGAGCATTCTAGGAGAAAATTCACCCCACTGGGAAGAAGGAGACAGCATGACCCTCCAACCCTAAAACTTCAGAGGGGAGGTGGGATTCTGACGCATGTTGTCTCATTCTCAAATCTGCCTGTGGTCCATTCCTGGGTCTTAAGGAGAAAGTGAACTGGAAGTTAAAGCTGAAAGAGTGGTTTGACTACCACTCTGTCAAGTACTGTGGCATAGTAATGCAGTTTTTATATTGCTTTCCCAGAGAATAATGGAAAATCAGGTGGAACAAGAGAAGCCTGGGAATTACCGGGCTCAGCTCTGGCAATGCCCAGCTGGATACCTCACTATCCACTGGGAGGTGGCAGCATTTGGCAGAAGTGGTTCTAGCCAGTGGAAATGACAGCTCTGCTCAGCAAGGGTGGCAGTACAAGTGGGACAGGCAGTTTGCCACAGAAACAACAGTGATGCCCAGCAGATACTACTGGGTAGCAGACCAGACTTCCCTGGGAGAAATTTCAACATTCATTTAACAAATATTTGCTGGTTACCCACCATATGCCAGGTAATAGCAATACAATGCCAGGGGGACACAAATGGTGGGCAAAACCCATTGTGGTCTCTACTTTGTGAAAATGTTCAGATACTGGGGCTTGCATGAGCAGACAGAAGCAAAGAGGAATAGAATTAAGCATTTTTTTAAAAAAAATAACCTCATCTCATTCCAGTCTAATGAAATTTGGAAAATGGGATGCCATGTATTATAGAGCTTGCAGTCATGCTCAAGCTTAGATTTTAGCCCTGAGGTTTGCAAAGAATTCTTCCACACCTAATTAATTTTAAAAATTAATTGACAAAATTATATGTTTATCATGTACAGCATATTGTTTTGAAATACGTATACATTGTGAAAGGGCTAAATCAAGCTAATTACCATATGCATTACTTCACATACTTATTTTTTGTAGTGAGAACACTTAAACTCTACTCTCAGCAATTTTCAAGAATGCAATAAATTGTTATTAACTCTAGTCAACGTCTAGTACCATAGATCTCTTGAACTTATTCCTCCTATCTAACTGAAATTTTGCATCCTTTGACCAACATCTACCCCAACCCCTAGTAACCACTATTCTACTCTGCTTCTATGAGTTTAACTCTTTTAGATTCCACGTATAAGTGAGATCATGTGGTATTTGTCTTTCTGTGGCTGGTTTAGTTCACTTAACATAATGTCCTCCAGGTTTATCCATATTGTCACAAATGATATAATTTTCTTCTTTTTAAAGGCTGAATAGTATTGTGTATATATCCCATTGTGTATATATTGTGTATATATCCCTGGTTTTCTTTATCTGTTCATCTTGTTGATGGACACCTAGGTTGATTCCATATCTTGGCTATTGTGAATAGTGCTGCAGTGAACTTGGGAGTGCAGGTTATCTCTTTGACATACTGATTTCATTTCCTTTGGATACATACTCAGTAGTGGGATTGCTGCGTTATATTGCAGTTCTATTTTTAATCTCACCTGAACACCTTTCTGCAGTCAAACGCTCTACCGCTGAGCTATGTGTGCCCCCTCTCACCTGAACACCTTTCTAAGATAACAGGCCATAGGCTGCTCAGCCTTTTCACTTAGGGTGAATGCTGGTCATGGATCCAAGACCCAGAGGAGGGATGGATGGTGGGTAGAGTGGAGAGATGAAGTAGCAGAGTGCCGGATGCCAGTCTGAGGGTAGTTCTGACTAGAATTTGGATCTTATTTTGTGACTGTGCTTGCCTCAGAGCAGTGTTAGTGTGTGTATGTGTTTCCCCCCTGCTTCTTCTAGGCTTAAGCTAGTTACTCCACCATTTCCTGGAGTCCAGTGTTTGTCAAACTCCAATAATGTGTACACAAATGTACTGGAAATCTTGCTAAAATGCAGACACTGATTCACTGTGTCTGTGGAGGGGCCTGGGAGTCTGCATTGCTAATGAGCTCCCAGGTGATGCTGAAGCAGCTGGTCTATGGACTACACTTGGAGTGGACAGGTTTTAGTCCGTGAGAACACTGCCTGCAGAAAGCCTCTCGAGCCATTTCTAGTTTGATGATGACTTTGGAGCACTGCCTGCCTCTCTTTTTGCCAAGATTCAAGGAGAGTGTTTCCTTATCATTTTTTTCTAAAGCCTATTATTTATGAATACTATATATATTTTTTCTCCAAAGATGAGGTCTACCTGCACTCCATAAAGCCCATATTTGGGCTTCTTATATCAATACATAACTTTTCTCAGAGTGGTGCTAACACTGCTGGTGGTGAAGCCCTAAGTACAAACCTGTTTTAGGAAAGAAATTCATCTTGTTAGAGGGAGCCGAGCTACTTACAAGGCAGATAACGTTCTGCAGCTTGCTGAATTGATGGAGAGAGGCACTGGGATTCAGACTCACCTATTTTTCATTCTTTGAATGAAGTCTATCTTCTGAATTACATGAGCCATGTGAAGCAGGGAAAGAGAGCAATGGTTCTGGAAACAAAAACAGAGTTCTTATCTTTTAATACAGAAGAGAATGCCTCAGGATATTATTATTTGTGATTTATGGGGTGTATAGCAATATGACCAGTGTCTCACCACAGCAGACACAGGACTCTGACCCTCTGCCTTTGATGAACTCTTGTAGCTTCCCAGGGGCAATTTTCCACCGTAGAATAGCTGCTGCATCACAAAATTCTGGCTTAAAAAATCATACTGAATGAGTTACTAGGAAACTTGATTTCTATTTCCAGTTCTACCACTGACTTATTCTATGACTTTGTCCAAATTCTTTAGATCTTTTCACCTACTAGTAAGGTTAATCACACTTGCTGTGAATATTTGCCTGTGAGATATCTTGAGATATGTTTATTAGCTAAATTTTCTCAAATATTTGTGAAAACTCAACTTTCTTCCTGAAGATATATCAGATTTCACTGACAAGATCAAACTATGTAAATGAATAAAATCAACTAAACAAACAAAACAATGAACAGGATCATAGAGGCCTTTATAAGTCAGGAGTAGATGGCAAGGCCAATCTCCCTCCTTCCCTCACCCCCTCCTCCTTTCATTTCTTCCTTCCTAATTTTCTAAAACTTTATTTTGAAATAATTTTGGACTTATAGAAAAGTTGCAAAGATAGTACAAATAATTCTGGTATAACCTCCATCCAGATTGCCTAAATGTTAACATTTTGCTGGTATTCAGACATTCGTTTTCTCTTTCTTTCTCTTTGTGTGTGTGTATCCATACCTATCTCTCTATGTCTATATGTTTTTTCTGACCTAATTGAAAGTAAGTAAAAGACAAGATAGATGCCCCTTTATGCCTAAATATTCACCGTTCTCTTATATAACCATAGTAAAGTCATACAAATCAATAAACTACATTGACAATAGTACTAATTCTATTATTTATTCAAATTTTGTTAATTATCTTAATAATCTTTTTATAGCAAGAGAGGCTGGGCATGGTAGCTCACGCCTGTAATCCCAGCACTTTGGGAGGCCAAGGGCGGCAGATCACTTGAGGTCAGGAGTTTGAGACCAGCCTGGGTGACGTGGTGAAACCCTGTCTCTACAAAAAATACAAAAATTAGCTGAGGGTGGTGGTGCATGCCTATAGTTCCAGCTACTAGAGAGGCTGAGTGAGAGTATTGCTTGAACCTGGAAGGTGGAGGTCGCAGTGAGCAGAGATCATGCCGCTGCACTACAGCCTGGGCAACAGAGGGAGACTGTGTCTCAAAAAAAAAAAAAAACAAAAACTTTATAGTAAGAGAAAAACTATTCTTTGGTTTAGGATCCAGCCCAGGCTCATGTGTTATATACAATTGTCCTGCTTCTGTGTCTGCTTAACCTGGAGCATTAACCCAGTTTTTCTCTTTTTCATAGAGAAGGTAAATTCCTGAGCTTAAGAGAGTCCATGAAAAGTTGAATGGATAAAAGTTATTTTATTTTAACAAACAACCATAAAAGGCAGCTAGGAAGTCCCAAAGTTGAATTATGAGAATATTAAAGTTGTTTTTTAAAGTTATGAAAATAGGGCAATTATAATAAAAATTTTAAAAATACAGAAATGAATCACATAAAAATGAAAGTCCTCCCTCTAATCCCACTTTTACTCAACGCTGTTAAAAATTTTTGTATTTTTTTCAGATCCTTTTCTATGCTCATAAAATACATAATTTATAACTTGTGCTCTTTTTAAGCCAAAATGCAATCAGACTGTACATATTGTTCTATAACTTTCTTTTTTAAAAAAGTTACTTTGTCATTTGCATCTTTCCTTATCAATTTATGCAAGTATATGAGGGTCGACTTTTGTCATCTCTAGTGGGGAAGCCCTGACCTGAGCCCAAAGTCTTCCATTTTGCTTTTGGTAGTAGCTTTGACTTACTAATAAGTTTGGAAGTGTCCTTGTTCACTGGGAGAGAACATTCCTTTTTCACACCTAGTTGTCCAAGTACACACGGAAAGTTTGGGAAGCAAACTCCCTCTTTGAATTATTTGGCCCTTTCTGACCTTTTCTTTCATGGTATCCACAGATCCCTCCCTTAATTTATGGCCCCTTCATGGAGGACCTCATTAGGGTGACTGCAGCCTGGGAAGGCTTGATCATAACTTGGATAATATAGTTTTGAGGTTGAACTATTTCAAAGGTAAAAACAAAGTATGAAAAAATGTTTAAAATAACACTCTCAACTCATTAAAATCTGTCTCTTTTGCATTGCAGCTAGAGTACAAGACGACATGACTGGTGATTTTATATATATATATATATATATATATATATAAAATACCCATATACACACAAGCACACACACATGCATTTTGTTTTTTCTTTTTTTGAGACGGAGTCTCGCTCTTTAGCCCAGGCTGGAGTGCAGTGGCATGATCTCGGCTCACTGCAAGCTCCGCCTCCCGGGTTCACGCCATTCTCCTGCCTCAGCCTCCTGAGTAGCTGGGACTACAGGCGCCCGCCACCACGCCCAGCTAATTTTTTGTGTTTTTATTAGAGACGGGGTTTCACCGTGTTAGCCAGGATGGTCTCGATCTCCTGACCTCGTAATCCACCCGCCTCGGCCTCCCAAAGTGCTGGGATTACAGGCGTGAGCCACCGCGCCCGGCCTCACACATGCATTTTGTAAAGTTTCTGTGAGCACATATCTGGGAACCATCCCCATGGGTGTTAATTTGTAACTGTTTGGATACTCTTTTATCTGTATCCTAGATTAGAAGTGCAGCTGTTTTCTCCAGTCTTAGACACACTTGCCTGATCTTGGAATGACTTTAGGGGGTTTCTTGCAACTGTTTTGCTGAGATCTTTAAGAAAATCAGTCTTAAAGATTGGTTTAGGCGATTTGTCGTTTGGTTCTTGACTGGATATTTTCTGGACCTCTCTGACCTTTGACTTTATTTATCCTTTGCTTACACTGACCTTATAGTGCCTTTAAACCCAAGAGTGCAACGAGGCAGTGATGATCCAAAGTTTTTGTGAGCTTGATGGCTGTATTAGTGGTTTTCCCATTTTGCTTCTCTCCTGCAGCCTTTAGCCCTGAAAGCATTTTGGAACAGGGTCTGTTTTCCTATAACTGCCTTCTTGAACTTGTTGGGCAAAATCAGAGCAGTGATTGAGTCCTCAACACCCTTATGGCACTGCAGAGTAATAACATTTATCACAGTTCTTGTTTAAGCCCTTTAGAGATGACATTTCACAGTGTAATTTTGCTTCACAGATTTTTCCCTTGTGAGTTTTGACTTTCAGGGCAGAATTCTCTCTTATGGCTTCACCTTTTTCCTATTTTGTGTATCTGTGAGAAGTTGCACAAATAAGGCTCCTCTCAGCATAGCAAATGGAATCAGGTCACGCTCCCAAGTGACCTTCACCTCCAGATTCCTGATTGTTTCTTCCTTATTTGTCGTGAGCAGGCCCAAATTGCCTCACCTCTAGCTGCCCTTTCCACTTTATGAAACAAGCAACTAACAGCAACACAGCTCTAAAAATTCCCGGATGACCTGAATTTTGCTCTTTTTATTATCCCTTAAGAAATGTCTCAGTAATTGAAATCTAGAGTAGCAGAGTTTTGTGATCTTTTCATTTAGCATTTTACTTATATTTGGTTTATGTATATTGTGCCTTTAAACTCAAGAGTGGTCAAAGTGTGCCTGAGGGACCTGGAGGACTGAAACCAAGAATATCGTCATTTATTCGAAGGACAGAAGTTAAACAAGGGTTTTAGCACCCCCACTTATTCGGGAGTTAAGAGGAAAAGGAGCAGGAGGATGCTGGAGAATTTTAGTAGGTAGCAGCAGGGAGAGGCGAGACATATATGCAGAGATTTATACTGCATGCTACATTTTATTTATTTATGGGGACATGGGTATCTGTTTTTTTCCCTCTACAGTAATTTATCAGTGAGTTCATCGTGATTTAGTAGTGCACAGAGGACACCCACTGCTAATTCCCCTTTATTTCGTATATTTCTTTTACCTTAACTCATACAGCTTCAGCATTGCTACTTCCTTTATCATCCATCTGTATTTCATTGCAAGTCCAACTCTTTTTGATCTACAGCGCAAGCCCTCATTTTCCCACCTCTTTGTCCTCTCTTCACAGATTGCGTTCCTCAGTATTGACATTTCAGTCATTTGATTTATCCTAACAGGTTCCCCAGTGCCAACCAGATCATAATTCCCTTTCTGGTAGCATCACTTCAAGACCTTCCTGGTTATTTCCCTTGGCTCCTAGTATTTGTGGATCAGCACCTAAGAGATTTACTGATGATTTGTCTCCTCTTTTAGCTTTCTGTTTGCTTAGATCCAAATCACAGGTGGTAACTTGGGAGGCCCGAGGATATCTGGAATTGTGTAAAATGTGAGCTTTGTTCTGCTTGGTAGGGAGTGCTGGAATGTTCTATCTCAAGCATTTTCACAGAAGGGACAACTCTGGAATTGCTTCAAACAGAAGGATCTGCCCATGAGCATTCTGCTAGTCTTTGTAAATCAAATGCCATCTACCAAATTTCCCTGAGAGCTTCTGGATGGGGAAGAACTGGATTATCAGTTTTCAAAGTGGATTATCTTTTAAAAAGAGGAAAACACCTGTAAGAAACTCATATTAATTTTGGTCAGAAAAGAGTAAAATACTCCTTTTTTGTGCTATTTGTTATTATTTTTTTACCAGTACTATATTTGTGGTGTCTGACCACACACACATACATAGACAGATATATACATATATAATAGACAGACATAGGAGGGAGAAAGAGAAAAATATTTCTCTGTTTTGAATTCTCATGATGTTGACATTAAAATACTGAATGCTACATTATGACGAGACCTTCAGTTGTCCTGATTTGCATTCGTGACATGTATTTCACATCTATTTCTCGTGTCAGACAAGAGAAAACTGCATAGATTTTTCTCTCCCAGTTCCTTTACCTTTCTTTAATCAGTTCCTGTGATTCTATGTACAGAGAGATTTTGAAACTTATGTATGATATATTGGGGATTGGCTATATTAGGTAAAGTAGCACTCTTGCATTGTTTTTAAATTGAGTGTAATCTAGGAACTTGTCCATTGTTTAAAATTATACTATATTGCCATGAAGGATGCTCATAACTCCATTCTGCTTTACTCTGTAAGGCGTGTGGGGCTGAGGTCTTTCAGGGATGTACTATGCTTACTGCCTGGGCTATTAATTGATCCTGGCTCACCTCATGATGGAGGATAAAAAATTTTCTAACTGTGGATAAGAAATGCCTACCAAGAAGCTGTTTTTTGGCTTTGTTCATTGCCAAGGAAATAATGAAGATAAGAACACTGTGGTGTCTTGTCTTTACCACCTTTCCTTCATCTACAAAATAAGAGTTTAATGAGTCTCCTAGTCCTAAAACCAAATTTGAAATGGACTTCTATTGCAGCTGGAGGGATTTGGTTAGCTATGAGGAAGAATTTCCTGACTCTGAGGATGTCAAATTGCATGAATGGTTTTATAGCCACATTCTCAACAGACCGTTAAAAGTTTTTTTTTTAAAATCTCTTCCAGATACCTGAAGGCAGAGGGCGACCCTTTGACGTCTCAGGGCCATATATCAGTTCCCTAACAGTGAAGCCCACAACAAGTAATACTAGTTTGTAATTTCTGATAATGACACATGGATTTCTGCCTAATATTAATGATCCAGTAATTAAAAATTTTCCTAAAATTTTATGAAATGAATCCAAACTTATAGGTAGGATGACTACGTAAATAATAGCAAAGCAGTGACCAAAAATGCTGAGAGAAAAAAAGCATGGGGAACAAAACCTAACAAAGAATATTTGTTTATTATCAGAGATAAATAATATAAAATCAAATTAATTTACTTGTTTTTGAAATTCATTTTTGAAAAAGAACAAAAATTACACACACAAAAAAGAAGCAGTAGAATTAACACCTCATTTTTGAATGACAGTCACCATGGTGTCTCTCTCTTTGAGGGCTCAAAAGGAAAACATAGTATTAATATTATTTTTCAAGATATTAGAGGATGAAGTCAGTAGGAAAATATAATCTGTATGCCCAAAAGGTCTATATTGCTTATCAAGTTTGAAAATAACACATGTATGCTTATTGGGGGGAATTGCCAAAAAGGAGAGTGCAACAGAGGAATCAACATTTTTCACTGATCTCCAACATTTAGAATGATTTTACTAGGTTTAACCAATCCTTACCAATTGAATTTATGTAATGCCGTGAAGAATTTAGTAATCCTCTTATAATAGTATGTACTATCTGAAATCAGGAATATGCTGTAGGCATTGACTAAAAATGTATGGGAAGCATGGAAGACAACACTTAAAACAGATTCCTTACTACATAGCCATAAAAAAGAATGAAATCATGTCCTTTTCAGCAATGAGGATGCAGCTGGAGGCCATTATCCTAAACGAATCAACACAGGAACAGAAAACCAAATAGCGCATGTTCTCGCTCAGAAGCGGGAGCTCAACATTGGGTGCTCATGGACATAAAAATGGCAACAATAGACACTGGGGACTAATGGATGGGGGAGGCAGAGAGGGTGCAAGGTTGAAAAACTAGCTGTTGGGTGCTATGCTTACTGCCTTGGCAACTGGATCATTTGTATCCCAAACCTCAGCATCACATGCTATACCCATGTAACAAACCTGCACATACACTCCCAGAATCTAAAATAAAAGTTGAAATTACATAAAAAACAAAAACAAAAAACAAAACAGATCCCTAAGTATTGAGCTATGGCTTCTCTTCAAAACAGCTTCTCACAGATTTTTTTTTTTTTTAAAGCTGAGAAAGAAGTACTGATTTACTATTTATATAAGGGGCGTAATTTATCTGCAACTGATTAAAATGATCAAGTATGTAGTGACAGGCCTTTATATTCCAGGCAATGCTTCCTTTGTGTTTTTCAGGCAAGAATTTCTGACATGACATGGGAAAAGCTGAAGAAGTCAGTCTTTGGGGTGTGTTTTCATCTAGGAGGTGGCTTGAGATGGATTCATGGCAAATCACAATAAATTATTTATCAGATAATAAGTGTGATAATTGTTCTTATTTATCATCAGTATAACTTGCCTTGTTCTCCTGTCATACTTTCAATCAAACCTTCCCCAAAGATTTGCTGGTTAAAATATACAGCCAAAAGATCGTTCCAACAATTTTTACTCATAATGGCATACTGATTATCTCCTAATTGAAAAATGTAAACAAGGGGCTCTGTAAGTAATGTGAGTGACCCTTGCATTTCTAACACAATAAGGAGAGTCACTCTGTACCTCATTCATCCTGCCATGGGAAACAGTACAATTCTCAGTAATTTTAATGTTCTCCTGAATTAATTGGAAATAACTTCTTTGTTTTCCATGGAGAAGGAAAAAAAAACTCCACATGCCCAAATTTGCTGAAAAAGTAGAGATGTAAAATACTACTCACTATCTACTGTCCCGCTGGCAGCTAATCCATTGAAGCTTAATTGTAATTATCCACCAGGTCTGGGCCCGGAGAGGAATACCGATTACCGTTATGTATGTTTCCATGGGCAAGACTGTGTATTGAGCCTGTTGCGAAGTTTCAAGCAAATTTATTTCTACCGGCAGCTGTAATGGATCATTGGTCATGGACTATTTCTGGACTCGGTGCAATGGGAGAAAATAATTCCAACTTATTTGTGCAGAATTCCTTAAAAGATTGCCAATGTTGCTAAAGTAGATGGGTAGATACCTAGACACCTCCTGCTTTTGTGTTGGGGTACCTGTGATCCAGATGTCCTGGGTTATTTTCTCACTGTTTACCTCTCCACCTAGAAATCCATACTCAGCTAGACAGCCATGTGTTTCCCAAACTTTTAAAATGGGAACAGTGGTTCCCATGAAAATCAAAGTTTTTATTTTTTGAGACAGAATCACTCAGGCTGGAGTGCAGTGGCGCAATCTCAGCTCACTGCAACCTTTGCCTCCCAGGCTCAAGTGATCCTCCCACCTCAGCCTCCCGAGTAGGTGGGCGCCCACAACCACGTCCAGCTAATTTGTCTGTTTTTTGGTTTTTTTTTTTTTTGTATTTTTAGTAGAGTCGGGGTCTCACCATGTTGCCCAGGTTGGCCTCGAACTCCTGAGCTCAAGCGATTGGCCCACCTTGGCCTCCCAAAGTGCTGGGATTACAGGTGTGAGCCACCACACCAGCCGTCTGTATACTTCTCCCTCCCACTCTCCCACTCGCCATCTTTCCCTTCCGCCCTTCCTCCTTCCCCCGCTCCTCCATTTTTTCCCCTCTCACCTGTTTTTGATGTCCCCCAAGGTCATAGCTCAGATTGGACCCTCTTCTAATGCTTCATTTCTCACTGATGGGCATCCTATCATCTGGCTCACAGTTTCTTTTTTTCTTTTCTTTTCTTTCTTTTTTTTTTTTTTTGAGACGGAGTCTCGCTCTGTCGCCCAGGCTGGAGTGCAGTGGCGCGATCTCGGCTCACTTCAAGCTCCGCCTCCCGGGTTCACGCCATTCTCCGGCCTCAGCCTCCGAGTAGCTGGGACTACAGGCGCCCGCCACCTCGCCCGGCTATTTCGTATTTTTAGTAGAGACGGGGTTTCACTGTGTTAGCCAGGATGGTCTAGATCACCTGACCTCGTGATCCGCCCGCCTCGGCCTCCCAAAGTGGCTCAATTACAGGCTTGAGCCACCGTGCCCGGCCTCATAGTTTCTTTAGAGCATGTTGCTTCCATGTGGTCTATGAACCACTACTTGGCACTTCTCTTGCCTAACCTGCCCTTTCCCTTCCAGGTAAGACTGCTTATCCTGTGTGATCTGGGAATTTTTCACACATCTGGGTTGGATCACCCTCTTTCCAAAGTTGCCTAGCACCCTTCACAGCTCTGTTCCACAGGGGTCCTACTGCTGACCTAGGGTTTGCCCTTCTAGGCCAGTTTGCTCTGCGTGGGTTACCTTGATTCCAGGCTCCTTTGCCTTGTAGCATGTTTTCATGTCTCTGCACAGGTCATTTCAGACCCTTTGTATTGTTTCCCTTCCCCCAACCTTGCCTTTATCCTTGGACCCTATTCAATTTCCTCCCTTTTAATGTTCCACAGGGGAGAGCTGGATTTGGTTCTACTACCTCAACTCAGTGTAAGAGCCTTGATCCTTTTGCTTTACCGCATAGTGGAGTTTAGACAGTGTCAGTGTCAACCTTTATAGTGGAGGCCACTTTCTTACTCTCAGTAGCCTGGTCAATGGGCCTATTTTTCAAAAGATCTTGATAGTTATCGCTGTGATTTTATCAGTTCATTGAGAAGCTGGCCAGCCCCATCTAGGAAATAGAGGTTTTTGGTGAAGTGGGTGGTGGTCATATATTCTTGAGGAATGCCATGTAGATCATTTCTTGAATGCTGTTTTGGCCTTAGTATTGATTGAAGTTTAGTGACTCTAATCTTGTGTACAAGGCAAGGAGTATCTCTGGTGATCAAATGTTTTGAATCCCAAATCAGGACACATGGATGAACAACAAGACAGCATATTTGAATTCTTGAAAAATCTAGGATGTTGTATTAGTTATTTATTGCTGTGTAACAAATTACCTCGAAACTTAGTGGCTTAATACAACAGACATTTTTTATCTCCCACAGTTTTTGTGGGTCATGAATTTGGGAGCAGTTGTAGGTGGTATGGGCTCTGGGTTGTTCACAGGGTTGCAGTCAAAATGTTGGCTGGGGCTGCCATTTTCTAAAGACTTGACTTACTGCTTCCAAGAAGACTCACTGACACGGTATAGGCAGAAGGACTCTGCTCATCACCACATAGATCTCTCCATTGGGCTGCTTGAGTGTTCTCACAGCAGGGTAGCTGGCTTTCCCCAGAGCCAGAGATTCAAAACGGCAAGATAGGAGCTGTAATGTATTTTATGACCTAGCTTTGACAGTCACACTCCAATATCCTGCTGATTACATAAGCCAGCCCTATTTATTGTGGGAGGGGACTCCCATAGGGCAGGAATGCCAGGAGCATGGGATCACTGGGAACCATCTAGGGGGCTGGCTACCACAAATGTGTAGACTCATTTATTGTGCTTCACCCTATCCTCTTATCTTTCTAACTGTGCTTGGAAGGTGGTGGAGAGTATTGTGCCTCGCTCAGCTCAGCTGGAAGAGACACCAGGGCATGTTATATCTTTGTAGCACTCAAATCAGGAGACAAAGGGTTCCCAACAGCTATCACAGTTAAAACAAACACAGTTAAATTCATTTTCTCTTTTGTTCTTTATTCCACTGAACTTTCCCAACATGTGTTTCCCAGTGTACTAGTCCCATGAAGTGCTCTACCAAACTTTTTTTTTGTAATCAAACTCTAAGGTTCACAATTTCCATAGCTTGATTGATGGTTCTGACTATCCTTGCAATAGAGATCCTTGTTTCACTTTGTTTAACCCCGCATTTTTCAAATTTATTTGTCCGCTATATTTTAAAATTTTGTCATACCTAATAACATCCTTTAAGCAAATTGTTCTTTAAAACATACATTCTGAAACACTGATTTAGATATCCATAACCAATATTATTCCAGAACAGGTTAAGGTGGTTATAATATTAAAAGTAGCCCATTGAACATATCTGGAATCACAGTCGAGTGTGCCCACTAGACTGAAGTCCTTGATGGGCAATCTTATAACCTCGATACCTAACTCAGTACATAAACTGTGTGTTTGCTGGGGAACCCTCAATCGACCATCCTCTCTACTATGCTCCTAATAGCATGCACTTTGATGTTTCCCTACCCCTGTATGAAATCTCTATTGAAAACTGCTCCTCCAAGTCTTTCAAAGAGCGTTAACCTTCTTTCCCCGGGAGAAGGAAATTTTCTCCACCTACATATAAACTCCAAGAGGCATTGCACTGCTGAGATTAAGCATCTCTTAGCTGGTGTATTTTATGGCTGAATTGTTTGTCTTGGTATGTAAGCCTCTGGGGCATAACCATTTCTTCTTATGAGTCTGGTACAGCACTCAGCACACTGTCAGCACTCAACCCAAAATAAATCATCATAATAATAGTCATAAACATAAATCAAGGGAGCACAATTCAACTTATTTATGGCCTTATAGGAGAAGCACAATAGAAAAAGTGCAGTTATTTTCCATCATATTATCCTATATCATTTCCAAGCAAAATGTCATATTGTCCACTAGTGTGTAACCAGGTAATGAAGGATTTTGGCGTAACCTGCAAATTCCACAAGGCCACAATTAAATGATGTGAGGCTAGAAGCTCATGTTTCCTAAGATTCTATAATTAAAATCTGAATTTCTAGGGCTTATTAAGATAATATTTAACATATAATTATCTTGACATTTTTAAAAGGAAAAGTGTTTAAGACAAATTATGTAGTAATATTTAATCACAAAAATCTAGTTCTGCTCATTTCTTCAAGGTCTGCTCTCTGATTTTCAAGGTGAAAGTTTAATGCTTAGTAAAGATTTTAATCTAATGTTTAATCTAATGAATAATAGTTGATTAGTTAGTGGGTTATCCCACCCATATAACATACTTTTATGTGCAGAGTACTTTTATCACTTTGAGATTGGGGCCACTTTAAAATTTGGGTTTGTTATTCCATATGACTATCAAACTGTAGTGGCCACATTTTCCTCTTTTTTTTTTTTAACTTGAGGAATTTGGAGAACACACCCACACACACTGCCCCCCACCATATATGTGAAAATAACAATCCCGAATATATCTACCACCCATAAAAAACCCACTTGAACATTTTTATAACTTGTTTTTCAGGCTTTTTCCTGGATATATATTTTAAAAACACATAACATATGACTACATTTTTCTTTTTTGAAAAAATTAAAACATTTTGGATAGAGTGGAAATTCTCTTCAACTACCGTCTAAATCTTGTCCTCCCTCCACCCCCTTCTTAGTGGTACTCACAATCATGAGTTTGTTTGTATTTTTCTGGATGATTGTTTCTGATCTAGCATACATGTGTTTGCATCTTAATAAAATGTATAGTATTGTATTGTAATATGAAAAGCATTATTTTTACATGATATTTTATGTATTTTATGCAAATAACTTTAAAAACAAAACAATCTATGATGACACAGACACACATACACACGTTCATTCCTTTTACCTACTATATAATATTCTATCTCTTGAATATAAAACATCTTATTTAATAATTCCACTATTAACTATTACAAACAACTTCAAAATAAACATCTTTGCATGTGCTAGAGCTTTTTAAAAATATCTATGGAGGAGGGGGGAGGGATAGCATTAGGAGATATACCTAATGTTAAATGATGAGTTAATGGGTGCAGCACACCAACATGGCACATGTATACATATGTAACAAACCTGCACATTGTGCACATGTACCCTAAAACTTAAAGTATAATAATAAAAAAAATAAGATATCTAGAAGGATGTAAGATAGGTTATAGGTATAAACATTTTTTATTTTAACAGGCAGTGCAAAATGAATGTTCTAAGTTACACAGCTACTCGGGATGAATAGGTTCCTCTCTCTACAAAACCTTGTCAGTACATGGTATTTTCAAATGATAACAGTTCTTTCTATCTGGTACAAAATATCATTAGTGATTTCATTTGTATTTCCCTGGTTATTAGTGTGGGTGAGCTTATTTTCTTTCTTTTTTTTGAGGCAGAGTCTCGCTCTATTGGCCAGGCTGGAGTGCAGTGGCACGATCTCAGCTCACTGCAAACTCCCGTCTTCCAGGCTCAAGCAATTCTCCTGCCTCAGCCTCCCAAGTAGCTGGGATTACAGGTGTGTGCCACCACACCCAGCTAATTTTTGTATTTTTAGTAGAGACGGGGTTTCACCATGCTGGCCAGGCTGGTCTCAAACTCCCAACCTCAGGCGAACCGCCCATCTCGGCCTCTCAAAGTGCTGGAATTACAGGCGTGAGCCACCAGGGTGAGCTTATTTTCTTCTTCTTTTTTTTTTTTTTGGGCCATTTGTATTTTCTTTTGAATGAATTATTTCTTTATATCCTTCGCTTATTTTCCTATTGGATTATCTTTTTCTCATTAATTTCTAGGAGTTTTTCATATATTCTGGATACAAACATTTTGTCTTTCTTATTTGTTTCAAATATCTTTCACAATCTGGTTCTTGTCTTTAAATTTTGTGTAGTGTCTTTTGTTGAAAAGTAATTACAAGTTTTCAGATAATCAAATTTATTTATATTTTCTTTCATGGTTTTTACTTTTTCTAATTTTACAAAAACGAATTCGGTTCCTTTCTCTCCTTTAGTTAGAATGAGTTTGCAGTAATTCTGGATCTTAGTGATCAGATGGGAAATCAACGTAGAGTAGAAACTCAGTCAGTCAATAAACCAGTCCTAAGGGGCTTAATCCATGGAAAATTGCAGAAAATATCTTATACATGTACCCCATTTTAACAAAGTGAAGGTACCATTTTCTCTTTCATCCATGATTTTATGCCTTAGCTTATTATATTTAGCAGTTGGATTCTCCTCCTTTGATTTTTAACATCATCTAATTAGACATTTGGCAATCTCCATTGAATGACTTTCTCATTCTGTCACTAAAATTTTAACAGCAGTTGTTAAGTGAAACAAGGAAAAGCTGTGTTCACCAAGACGTACTTCAAATGCAAGGGAAAATGGGTTTCAGTAGTGGAATCAACATGGTTATGTTATGTGAGAAAGATCTCCCTTCTACTTTATGTATACCTGGTTACCCCTATTTTCACAGTAGATTTCGTATGTTCAAAGCAAACTTTCAACACATTTATCCTTTTCCACTTTATTGATATATGTTCAGAGTAAGATATCAAGAAGTGAGATGATTAGAAGTTTGACAAGATCTAAAGTAAATGCTGCCTGAGTTTTCAGCAATGTAGGTGGAGCTCTGAATCTCAGTGAGATAGACTCCTGGTGTGCCACTGTACCATGGGAACAGTATCCAGATTTGTCATACATGCTAATTGAAGAACATGTGTTGAGTGGTGACAACCTCTTGTTTTGGTGACTTTGGGCTTATTTTAGATATCTTTGGATTGACAGGGTGGCACTGAAAATATCCTTTTCAAGGAAAATTTAAATATAATTATATAGCCAATATTATATAGGATGTTCTTTATCATTGAAGAACTTTCAGATGCCTTCTATTATTTATTCCTCACAACAATTCTGATCAATATTATTTTTAAATAATAGCTTTATTGAGATATATAATCCACTTATCATACAATTCACCTATTAAAGGTGTTCAATTCTGCATTGTCTTTGTCAGTTTGGGCTGCTATAACAAAATAGTGTAGACTGGGTGGCTTAAATAACAGACATTTATTTCATTTATTTCTCATGGTTATAGAGGCTGGGAAGTCCAAGATCAAGGTGCTGGAATATTCGGTGAGGGCCCTCTTCCTGACTTACAGGTGGTAGCCCTCTCTCTGTATCCTCACATGGCAGAAAGAGTGTGAGCTCAGGTCTCTTCCTCTTTTTAGAAAGACACTAATCCCATCATGGGGGCTGTACCCTCTCAACCTCATTACCTAATTACCTCCCCCAAATACCATCACATTATATGTTAGAGCTTCAACACATGAATTTGAGAGGACACAAACATTAAGTCCATAACAAGTGGTTTCTAGTACAATCACAGAGTTGTGAAACCATTACCACAGTCAATTTTAGAATATTTTACTCACTCCTCCAAAAATTTCCCACCACCTCCATCCCTCTCCTGCTCCCCACAGCCCTCAGCCCTGGATAACCATTGATCAACTTTCTGTGTCTATAGATTTGCTTTTTCTGAACATTTAGTATGAATGGAATCATTCAATATACGATCTTAAATGACTTAGTTCTTTCATTTAGTATAATTTTCCATGGTTCATCCATATTGTATTGCAGACTTTATTAATGTTGAATAACATTCCATTTTAGAGACATACCACATTTTGTTTATCCATTCATCAGGTGATAGAAATTTGGGCGTTTCCCACTCTGATAGATATTAACACCTTCATTTGATAAAGAAGAAAACAGTCTCAAATAACTCAGACAATCTATCAAGAAGAGCTCAAGTGATCTATCCTCAAGTGATCTACTCACACAGCCACTCAGTGGTAGAACTACAGACATTAAATCTAGTGCATGTTTTATAATTTAAGAATATCTCTTTTCATATTCTTTTACTTTCTCCTTGCTTCCTCTTAAAATTAAGGACATACCAACATATATTAGATTGCTGCAAAAGTAATTGTGGTTTTTGCCATTGAAAGTAATGGTCAAAACCACAATTACTTTTGCACCAACTTAATATATTTGGAAATATTGCTGTTAACTTTTTTTTTTTGAAGCTAAGTCATTTTCTTTAATCCTCCTGGTAGAGACTAAGCTCTTGGGCATCATAAGTATAATGAGATTTGCACACATTGAAAACCCCAACACCAAAATTCTCCAAGCACATATACTTCAGAATTCCACTCATCATTACGCTAACCTGTTAACTTTTGATAGTTTGATAATTGATGACAGTGAACAAATTCCTAGATGACATATTTGTTATGATTTGAAAGCATGGAGGAGTAAAATGTCGTGAAATCTCTTCTAGTTCCAAATTTACCAGGACATAGTGAGCTCTGTTTTCTTATTCTATATGTTAAACGTGGAAGAGCATCTCAAATGTAAAAACAAACTTGAGGCTGGGCGCGGTGGCTCACGCCTGTAATCCCAGCGCTTTGGGAGGCCGAGGTGGGCGGATCACGAGGTCAGGAGATCGAGACCATCTTGGCTAATATGGTGAAACCCTGTCTGTACTAAAAATACAAAAAATTAGCTAGGCGCGGTGGCGGGTGCCTGTAATCCCAGCTACTCAGGAGGCTGAGGCAGGAGAACGGTGTGAACCCGGGAGGCGGAGCTTGCAGTGAGCAAAGATTGCGCCACTGCACTCCAGCCTGGGCGATAGAGCGAGACTCTGCCTGAAACAAACAAACAAACAAAAACAAAAAACAAACGATGTTAAATGGTGAACAATAAAGTTTGTAATTTCATAACTTGTTTTTAGGTTACTTCATATCTGGTATTGAGCATAGTTATAATGGAATTATTGAAATTGAATCTGAACAATGCAACAAAAACCTCTCATATAGAAAGAAAACACCAATTAATTTAAACATTTTTTCTTGGGACTTACTCATCAACATGCAATGCCAAACACATTATTCATGTTCCGATGAATTGGCCCAAACTCTATATTCAGCAGTATTACTCGAAACTAACAACTTTTGTTACTGGTTGTAGGGTAAGTAGGCAAAGCTGGATAGATAGTATTTTTATTTATTTATTTATTTTCTGAGACGAAGTCTTGCTCTGTCACCCAGACTGGAGTACAGTGGCATGATCTTGGCTCACTGCAACCTCCGCCTCCTGGGTTCAAGCGATTCTCCTGCCTCAGCCTCCTGAGTAGCTGGGATTACAGGTGCCCGCCACCGCGCCTGGCCAATTTTTGTATTTTTAGTAGAGATGGGGGTTTCACCATGTTGGTCAGGCTGGTCTCGAACTCCTGACCTTGTGATCCACCACCCCTCCCCGCCTCCCCCCGCCCTTGGCCTCCCAAAGTGCTGGGATTAGAGGTTTGAGCCACCGCACCTGGCCTGATAAATAGTTTTACATTTGGGATGAACTTTACATATCAGCTAATTTTCAAGCCTCCTATTTTAAAGTTGGAGGAATTGAGTCCTAAGAGATTAAAATCTTATTTAAAATCACAATGTGAAGGTCAGTCTCCTCATGCTCCATCTGACTAATAACTATCCTTAAGATTCAGCAGATGCCTCTGGCAGGACACGTTCCTGACATCCTTCTCCAAAGCCCCTTTGATTTTACAAAATTTCCGAGGACATTATAATTACTTGTTATGTGAGCTTGGCTGACTGTGAGCCTGACTGTGTCCTACTTCATTATGTATTTCCAGCATCTGGCACAAATCTAGGTACCCAATGGGTGCCCTATAAATCTTTGTCGAATGAATTAAGTCTGTATTTCTTTGACACTCTATCCAATGTTCTTTCATGCTTCTCTCTCTCATAGTTTAGCCTAGAGGTTTTCTAACTGTATTTTTAGTAATGGGACAGTTTCCTCCCCAGTAACATCTTACAGAAAGCCCCAGTGTATAAGACAGATATTAGAAGAACTGGCTTGGTTGAGGCAGAATTCAGGAAGCCCAAGGCTCCACATTTTAGTACCCCTCTGGGGCTGGGGGAAGGGGACATCTCAGAGGGGTGCTGACTCCTAAGATCACAGCTGAAAATTCCCCATTTCAGATCTTAAAACCAGAATTAATGTCCTAAATAGGAATAGCTATTGTATATTCATCAGTCAATGTCCTGTTTGAGAAAGGTCATCATCAGTTAGTTAATATAAGACCCTGCATCTTGCAGGAAGCTATGTGTTCATTCAGTACTCTCAAAAGTGATGTAGTGAGTACCTGCAATGTACCAAGCTCTATTTTAATAATGGAGTGAGCAAAACAGATCAAAATATTTTCCTTCATGGAGCTTGCATCCTGATAGGGAAAATAGACAATAAGAAATTATATAGTACATTTGATGGTGATAAGCGCTATGGAGAAAAATAAAAAATGAAAGAGTGACTGTGTGTATGTGTGTGTGTGTGTGTGTGTGTGTGTGTGTGTGTGTAGTGTATGGTGAGGGATGTTGCAGTTTTTAAATGGGGTAGTTTTTAATGGAAGGCCTCAGTGAGAAAGTGACATTTCCATATAGTCCTGAAGGAGATGAGGAAATGAGCTAGAGCCTCTCTGGGAACAATAAATTAAAAGAGAGTTTCTCTTTTCAATCTTGTTTACATGAGATTACTTAGATTATGGGGAGCCATAGAAGAACTTTGATCAAGGAAAAGATTTGGTTGGATTTCCTCACTTCAGATCTCATAAATAGGCAATGGATAGGAAAGCACTTTCATTATGAATGATCTAAAATAGTTTACCTGTTATCATGGAATGCAATTTTGTTTGGCCAATTATGTTGACTCACATGTATGCTGATTTGAGATGTAAGTGAACTGCCTTCCCAACACTCTCTTTATTCCTGTGCAGAAGGGAAGAGTTAAGAACCTTCTTTCTTTAGAGGTCTTTTAAAATAGGCTAGAGTTGCATCTGGGGTAGTTTAGGAGAGACCTTGCCTGAAGGCGGATAAATCTCTCAAGTCTCATTACTGCCCAAAGAGTCTTTGCAATAGACTGAGCCTCTCCAGGTGATCTCAAATTCTCTCTATTAACCAGGAGAAAGTTCTTTGGCACTGTCATCCTTTCAGTTTTCCCTGCATCAGAAGCAGAGAAAATACTGGGGCATCACAGACCTGAGAGGGTGTGGGAGAACTGTTCTCCATCATTTAGACTGTAAGCAGCCTCATTAGGGCAATGCCGAAGGAAACGAGTCCTGAGAGGTTGCTGTGTGATTCCTATGACCACATTTGCTACAGACCCTATTTTCTAAAATGCCTCACTAGTTTCTTTCAAGGGAGGTTGTTATCTGCTTTTCTAAACAACTTGCTTTGTAGCCAAGTCACTTGTGGAGAGGACGAGTTATGAGGCTTCTGAACCAGGCTGGTGATAGGAATAGCAGAACGGAGACCAAGGGCCTTTAAGCGCTGTTTGCACATTAAATTTTGTTTGGAGCCCAATCCTGGTCCCATAGAGTATAGTATTTATGTTTTATTTAATGAATTCTTGACACTGAAAAATGGTTGCTATACAGCTTTCTAGTGGGAGGCTAGGGAGGGTGAGTCAGAACGATAGTGCAGAGGGGAGCTTGGAGTGGAGGAGATGTACCTGCCCTATCATTACCAGGTTTATATTTTTATGTTGTTTTTACCTGTTTAAATGCCATGCCCCGTGGCTCTTCTAAGGACTAGCCCTTGGTAGATATATGGTAAGTGCTTGGTTACTATTGTGGGGTTGTTGGTTAGTAGTCTTGGTATGGGACAATGTAAGGAGATAGGGGATAAAAACTTTTGATGCATCATCAAAAAAGGACTCCATGCCTATACAAATACACCACACTTCATGCAAGAGGTGAATTCTGTTCATTTGTTAAGATATTCCAGATGATACCTTTATTAAGGGAACCCAATAACGAATTATGTGTGAAGTAGAGTTTCTTTCTAATGAAGATCTTTTGTGAAATTGGACTTTCATAGAATAGATTGCATGAAAGGAGGAAACAATGGTAAGACACCCTGGGAGATGTCACTGCAGCTCAGCTTAGGCATGTTAAAAACACCTAGCATTAGTTACCAGAGAGATCAGGGTGAATCTTGCATAAGCTCGATAAGTCACTTAACTTCTGAGTCTTCAATTGATTAATGTGTAGAAATTGACATAATGATTCTTCCCACACTGGGTTGTTGTGACATAAGGTCTCTGGCCATGTGGTGAAGACTCAATAAATGTTATTTCTTCCCATTCTTTCTCCTATTTCAATGAATTAGCATACCACTGTAGGCTAAACTGAAAGTGTCATCTTGGTTTATCAGAGAAATTGGCCAGTTATGGAGAAGACACCATTGCTCAAGCCCTTTTAGTGCTTTCCTTGGGCTTTGATATCTTGTCCTCAAGTCTGAAGACACCTGAGATAATTTTCTGACTCTGTCCCCTGCAATGACCTAAAGGACTTCCCCTACTTGGAACCTGGTCATCTCTCAGTGCCTTAGAAGTGACGCCACCTTGTAGCTCATCACATTTACCAATATGTCAACCTGTATTGGATTCTGGGTTTCCCTGCATGCCAAAATTCAACATTTTATGCTCAGTCAGTTCCCTCAGATTTTGGAAAAAGCATCAGGCAACCAATACAGATTTTATAGAAGCTGGCAAATAAGAGAAAAGAAAACCTTTTCTGAGGTTTATATGCTTACTGTATCTATTTTCCCATAAGCCAAATAAAAATGCCATTATTTCTATGGCATTGGAGTTGACCATCTCTAAGGAACTCCAACAAATGGTGGACACTTGTAATAAAACACAGGAAACTGGCCCAGATATTACAAAACAACATGGTGTTTGTCATTCTGATACTCTTTGAAGTTGAGTGGGGTTGTACTGCTTGGTGCCTCCTTGTAGAGGAGAGGTACCCATTTATTGTTATATCCCTGGACCATTTCCTTACAGAAAGAAAGGATGAGTTGCCAGTGTAAAGATAGTTATTCATCCAAGTTATTGAAGTTTCTGTGTGTTCTCAAAATGTTCTTGCTCTCTTGTGGAGAATCTAAGGGGAGCAGTGGGTTTCAGCATTTGCCAAGTAGTGGTATTATTGATCTCCCTAGGAACCACCTTGGCTATTAGTGTAAAGTTGGTGGCTGTCTGTGGAACATATCAGTGTGCCAAACATCTGAGAATACACTGTATTTGTTTTTCTTTATTGGGGCAGGTGAGAGCAGAGTGATTTCATTATTTTTTGGGAGCTACAATGATCTGGTAGGCGGAGTCTCCATTGCACTTGCTTTCATGTTTTCCAGTGTGGTTTCTTCAGTGGTCAGTGTACCAGGTTGCTATATTTCTCAGTATCTGTCTAAAAGGGCTGCAGAGGAGTTCCAATTCCTCCTGCTCCAATAATCCTGTGACTTCATTTTGTGAGCAATGACTGATTGCTGAACTCTTGTTCTTGAACTTGTATCCCCAAATTAGCCTTTTCCTTCCAAAAAGTTAGCTGGGAAGGTTAAACACTAACTTCAGTGAAACCACTAACACTGCTGTATGATTGTTCAAACCATTTTTGGAAATGATTCCCTTTGGAAACTTCCTTTTGGAAACTGCCTTCAGAGGCAAAACACTAGCCACAAAGAAAATAGTTTTCTGATATCATAGATTTCAAAATCTAAGAACAGCAACATTGCTCTCTCTGAAAATCAACACTGTTTGAATATATAAACTGCAGTTTGTTAAAAAAAATCAGCCTCATTACTTTATGGTCACAGCCGGGAAGGATGGAAAAGCATAATTATAATAACAGCCTAAGCGCAGCTACAGACGACAGCTTGTGCTAGGAAGGACAATCCTGAGTTTCGGCTTTCCCTACATCATCAGCCATATGTCCTTTCTCATCATTATGTCACTCATTGGTACTTGCTTCTTTTCCTCCTTGATTTAAAAAAAAAATTTTTTTTCTGTTAGAGCTTTCTTTCATAATCCCAGAATTAGCCATCTCACTTGTTTATGGGATGGTTTTACATTCCCAGTTTCAGGCAAATTCACTGGTGGCTCAAAACCTTCTATTTGTTGTTCTCTCCCTTTCAGCCATGACCATCTTTACTTCTTGCTCCCTAAGCTCTGTTTGATATTCCTACCGTTGGAAAATGACAACCACTTTTGCCTTCCCATGGTACTCATCCAGTTTGTCCCAACTCTCTGTAGTGTTGTATTTGAAATCTGAACTCATAGTAAGAAAGGGCATGCATAACAGGGTGCAGATATTTTAATAGCCTTTTACACGTCATATGTGGGTGTATATATGTATGTATCCTCTTTTCTGGGTTCTTATCTTTTTAATATATTTCTCACCAGTCAAGTTTCTACTAATTACTAAGGCTATATAAAAGCCTCCTTTAGCAGGAAAATATTTTTATAGAGCAGCATTTAGGAGCTTGGTAGCATGCAGAATTTGGAAGAAAAAGGAAACTCAAAGTCAGGAAGACTGATAAGTGACCCAGTCGACCCAAGTCCCTGGACACTGCACTTACTTTTTGCTTCAATAAAGTCTGCTTCAAAGCAATCTCAATCCTTCATCAAAGAGATTTCCAGAGCACTCCCAATGGGTTAACATAAATCTTACTGTTCTCACTCTTTTTTTTCCTTCCAAGTTGCCTTTTTAAAAAAAATCAGTCCTTGTGTCTCTATTTCTTTAAATCTTTTATCCTCGGGCTGCTACCACTAGCTGTATGGATTACATATCAGCAGTTAAGAATATTCCACAAAGTCCTGGCTTGTTCTCACCCTGCAGTGCTTACAGTCACCGATTGCGATGAAAGGAATTTGAAAGGCACAGCCAGGCAATCCTGAACCGGCTCAGCACATTCCCTCTCTGCAGCTTATCGCGCTGTGGATGTTCTTTTGACCGGCCATCAATCATGTTTGAAAGTTTCCCGTGATTCCTGAGATATGAACCCCTTTGATAGAAGTTAACAATACAGCACATGCAGCACGGGCTAAGGAAAATACTTTTGAATTCAGGTTAAAAAAATGCTTTGTTGCAGCTCAGATTTTTATACTTTCTTAGGGTCTTGTTTCTCTTGGACAGCCTCAGGGACCCCCTGTCAGGTAAGCCAAGTTCGAGCACCCACCAATGCTTAAGTGGCTGCCATAACCAGAGACAAAAGGGGCTTGGAGGGAGATGAAGAGGAATAAAGAGGTACAGAGAAAGAGATGGAACAGGGAGAGGAGAGAGGATAAGAAAATAAGATGAGCATATCACATTGAAGGCAGAAATGATCAGGAAGGAGCCAAGTCTTAGAGGAGGTGCAGGTGCAGAGAAAGCTTACAGTGTGGAGGGAGAGGGGCATCTAGAAGCAGGAGAGTCCCACACCCGGAGATCTGTGTGCTTCACATTTAGAAATGGTAAAGGAGCCATTTTGGAAAATGTTCTTGGGAGCTGGAGGTTTATTCATTCCTTGTACCCCGCCATGTGTGATTTTCTTTTTTAAACTTAGACTTTGCTTTAAAATTTTCGAATTTTTATGCCTGGCTCAGGGTACCAGGGTAGATAACTGTTTTGCTGCTGGGAGTTAAGCTCTGAGCTCTGGGGGCTAATATTTAAACATCGCTGAAGCCCGAGGAACCCTCATAGCAATCAGGCAGGCTTCATTTTCGGTTGCTTCTTGCTGAAAGAGAAGAGGCGAGCCATTGGCAAAATTATGGGGCCCTGGGTCCCCATATCACCATGCATTATTTTGAGAGTACAGGGCAGTGATTGCTCAGTGCTATGGGAAAGCTGTTCATCAACTGAACAACATAACAAATAAGTGCCACCCGCATCCCTCTGTTGAGGATTGAAGATTGGAATTAAAATGTCACCCTTTCTTTTATCTTTAGCTGCAATTTGGAGGAGCTTTCCTGGAGGGTTGATTTGCTCCTTCTTTCATAGGGCTGGAATAATTCCATAAAAACCCTTTTGCTCACTCAAGTGAAATACCCTACCAAGTGAGTGGCATTTGGCAAACGTGCTCCCTTTTCTTGATTATTCTGGTCTATTGATCTGTGTCTCTGGAGAAATTCTGGAAAATTTCATGAAGTCTTTTGGAGTTTAAAATATTATCTCCCCAGTGATTAACTCAAACCAGAGACTAATAAGATGAATTCCTGCCTTCATTGGCAGTCCCGGTTCTTCCTTCTTGCCCATCAATCCTTCAGGTCTCAAAGAACTCAGAAATAAGGAAGTTTATTCATCACTAGTGGGTAGCAAGATAATGGAACAATTCAGATTGACCAGCCAGAAATAAATGCCTTCACAGAAAAAGTAGAAGGTACCCAGTTGGTTGTAGGAAAAAAAGAATTTTACATGGAAACTGTGGAGAGATAAACCTTATTCTGTTAAAAAACACAAAATTATATTTATCCCATCTCGGGTAAATTCCATGAAGCTTGGATACAAATAATCTGCCACTGGGAAAGAGGAATGAAATAGAAGTGTCTTTCTCTGTACTTTATTTTGGAAACATCACAATTGGCTTTTAAGTTCTTGGAGCACACGAGGAAAGAGCACCAGTCAGATTTTCCAGAGAGTCAACTTTCTCCTGGAGAGAAGATAGCAGAAAAATGAATGATGGGCTACTTCTAATTTATAATGATTGTTTCATCTCTCTCAGATATTACTTTAGTTCTTGGATGAACGGTTCTTTTCTCCTGAATCGTGATTACTTTTTAAAGATGAAAAAGATCAGAGAGGCTTTATAGTCCATTTCTAGTTATTACAAGTTTGCAACTTAGGTACTACTTTGGATACTAGTTTAAAATTGCTTGAATAATGAAAGTTCTAGTGAGCTTTAAATTTGTTTTAATTTTTTTTCTTTGCTCTATGGCTAAAATAACAAGCAAACACTGATCAACAACTCTGGTTAGTTCATATATCTTTTTAAGTTTGTTTGTGCTGAAGTCCAGACTTTACATCTCCTCAGCTATTTTGAACAACACTAGGGGCTTGCTTTAGTAGAAGAAACCAAATAGCCAATATGAGAAATGCTGCTAATGTGTGTCTGTCCATCTTACATAACAAGAAACATACAGTGCTTAGCTGTCTTATGATGATGAAGTGAATCATCCCTATATGCTTGCTCTTGCATGAGGCACTTATGAAAATTATGCTGTAGTTTTTAAGTATTCTGAAGTTCTGACCACTTTCATTCATATGTATATAAAAAAAGCTTGGAATGTTTTCCAGAAGAAATGGTGATGTTTTCATGCTGCTATTTTTAGAAAAATAATTTGGTCTTAAGCAAAAAGCAAGGGTAAAATCCATGTATTAATCACCTCCATTGCCTTTGTCCCAAATTTAAGATAATTGCTCTTCCTTTTGCACCAGTATCTTCTTTAACCCATGCTTCTTTCCCTTAGTGAGGAAATGTTGAAAATAAGTTTAAAAGGCAGAATGTATAAGAGCTGAATATAGAGGCAAGATATATACATGCTTTAGGGGCAGATACAATATCACACCTTTTTTTTAAAGCATTTATCCCACCCTCAGGCTGTTTTGCTCTGCCAAATACTTAGGATATAGCTTGATAATCATATGAGTTTATTAATGGAATAAATGAGTGAGAAGATGGGGTTTGTGGTAAATCTAGACTAACACAGTTCCCAAAGTGTGGCTCTATGTAACACTACTCTAGATAAGTATTGCACAAAATATTCTGAGTAGAAGAAAATAGACTGAGCTATATTACAGACAATAGTTTTAGGAGAGTCAATATGCACGTTTGTATATTAAGGACTGAAAAAAATCCTGTAGGAAAGAAACTTGATAAAGTTGAGTAACTCAAGTTTCCTCAAATCTATTTGACCATGGAATTATCTTTTCTCCCTTTTAATAACATTCTTCCTCTTAATGTCCCACAGAAGCAGTACTCTAATTAACACCCTAGATCAAGACAGATAGATTGAATTAAGACGGAAAATCTTATCTTCCTTGAGCATTAAATTCAAAGTGTATTTATTAAACATGCATAGCGTCTTCACGTGTCACAGGAAGTCCAGTTAGTGAGAAAAGGGGGACAATAACATAAAAGCCTTCGTTTCCCTGTAGTTCAGAAAAAAACAGTCAAAACAAAAATCTTCGGCCGGGTGCAATGGCTCATGCCTGTTATCCCAGCACTTTGGGAGGTCGAGGCAAGTGGATCACCTGAGGTCAGGAGTTTGAGACCAGCCTGGCCAACATGGTGAAACCCCGTCTCTATTAAAAATACAAAAAATTAGCTGGGAGTGGTGGTGGGTGCCAGTAATCCCAGCTACTCGGGAGGCTGAGGCAGGAGAATCGCTTGAACCGGGAGGCAGAGGTTGCAGTGAACCGAGATCATGCCACTGCACTCCAGCCTGGGCAACAAGAGTGAAACTCCATCTCAAAAACAAATGAACAAACAAACAAACAAACAAACATCTTGATAACATATTTCTTAGGGATGAATCAGATACCACTTAAAGATATAAATATCTTTATGGGAAGCAATGGTTAGGTTTGCCTAAAATGTTTGCTATTGTAGAGTAACTGGTTTAATAGAGTCTTACAGAAAGAAACTGTACACTCTTCTGAAATGAATAACAATTTAGTATGGGCAAGCTGTATAGACTGGTGGTTTTTCTGTGTCTTTGATGTTTTGCATTTTTCTCAAGTAAGAGTGGACTGGAAAACAAACAAACGAATTGCTGAATATTTTCTATGTTTGTAAGGATTGTGAAGGACTTCACCACGAAGAGGCCAGTGTATGGTTTTCCAGGCAAGCTTTCTTGTGACTTGTTCTGTTGTATCATTAGAGTCCTTGTTTGAGACAAACAGCGTCCATCATTTCTTCACCATTCAAACCTGTAGGAGGAAGACGGCACTGACGTGAGACAAGCTTCCACATGGCAGTCACCTTCCCTTTATTTCTGCTTTCCCTTCTTTTTGGGTAATGAATCGGGGTGTCATTAGCTGCCTGCCTTGTGTTCATCACTGTCAGTACTGGCAGGGTAACAGATAACGGCAGAGATTCAAGGCCACCCAGGGAATGAAGCCTGACAGGACCTCATTTATCACTCCCCTTTTAGGGGGTCTCTGTAGTAGAGCCAGCATCAATGCTGTAATCGAAGCTCACCAGGTCGCACAGGGGCCAGGCAGGACTGCTCTGCCAAAAAGCAACTTGAGCTGTCAAATCTGCTTTGTAAATGAAGTGTTTTTCTAGAGACAGTGTGTTTATAATTGTCATCCTGTATGTAGTCCCTCAATATCCAAGATCGGCTTTCCATGTGGTCCCTCTCATTTCTTTCAGACAAATGAAACTTACATCATGTAGAGTATGCCAGAAAATGGATTTCTTTGACCTTGGGCATACCTCAACAGACTCTACATCTGGGGTTTATCTTTTTACCCTAAAGGATTTGAGTTTCATCTCCTTGAGCAGCTCAATATTAAGGCTAAGTAGGAATAGCCTGCCCCTTTCTTTTCCTTTTCCCTGGGTGAGTCCATTCTCATGGTTAACCCTCATTCATAAATGATGTCCAATTCTACATCACCAGCCAGCTTAGTTCTCCATTCTGTACTCCAGAACGATGTGGCCAGATTTCTATTTGAATATGCCACAGGCACCTTAAGCTCATCGTATCTCAGACAGGAAATATCATCTTTATTCCAAACCTGCTTCTCATCTGTATTCTCAATCTCAAGAATGCACCACCTTCCTGCAAGAAAATGAGGGGCATTTTAGATTCTTTGTTGATGTTTACCCTTCTCTAAAATCTAATCAGAACTGCATTCTGATGGAACCAACTCTTAAATATCACTAGTAATCATCCCATCTCGTCTATCTCCGTGTTTCATGTGAACTTTTTCAGTAGCCTCTAAATGCTGTCCCCGCCTTTCCATCTCCGTACTAGAGAGAGTTCTCCAACATACAGAGCTGATCAAGTCACTTTACTATTCAACATTGATCAATGACTACCCGTTGCCTATTGGAAGGGATCCAAACCCCTTTTTGTGGCACTCCAGGCTCTTGATAATCTGGCCTTTATCTATCTGATCATTTTCTTCTTCTGGACTTTCCACCTTCAACTTTATAATCTGTCAATACTGAATTCTGCATGTCCTAGAATAAGCCAGTCCTTTTAATATCTGTATCTTTTGATATGCTGTTTCCTCTTCCAGGAATGTCCTATTAACACATGCCCACTTACAACCCTATTTGTTATTTAAGTCTCAGTGAAGTGACTGTGTCATCTGTGAAGACTTCTCTAACTCCCTTCCAGTCATTTACTTTTTGTTATAAGATTATTTTTCATGCCTACCTTTTCACTATAATACAAATTACATTTGTTAAATGCCTTAAAATTGTCAGGCCCTAGATTAGATTCTTTACATATTTGTATTTAATCCTCAAGTCAGCCTATAAGGTAGATACCATTGGACCAATTATACAGATGATGAGACTGAAATTCAGAGTGATTGAATAGTTTCCACAAAGTTATACAACTAGTACAAGGTGGGAATGGGCTTTAGTTGCAAGTGTATGCAATTCCAAGCTACTGTCTTTCCACTGTTTTAAGCCGTATCTGTTCAAGTCTTGAGAATAAGCACTGTGTGTTTTTGTTTTCATTTTCCCAGTGCTGAACAGTGTTTGGCACATAGTAGACATTCAAGAAATAGTTAGTGGATAAATGAAGCTCGTAGAAGATTCCATCTGTTTGTATCCACAAGATATGTTATACACATAATCTCTATTTTTCACAACACTCCTAAATTATAGGCATTGGTTTTCTCATTTTTACAGTTGTGAACCTGAAGGTTGAGCAGTAAAATGACTTTTCTCAGGTTGTGTATGAGGCAGAATCAGTGCTTTCTCACTCTGTAGTCCATGCTCTTCTCAGAGTGCCATGCTGGCTGTCAATGAATGAATTCTCTAATGACAATGACAGAACATCAAGGAAGGGATATAGAGAGATTAAGCATATGGTTCAAGTCCAAATTTTTTACTGTGTCCTTCAAGGCTTTCTGTGGTTTCATTATATTCTTTCTATCCAGCTTTTTCCAACACAACTTCGTGACCTCCATTCCCCCTTCTCTTCAGTCAGGCTGGCCTCTTCACATTTCCTCTTACATATCATGCCTACTGTTCCTGCTCTCTGATTTTACTCACACTCTTTCCGCTGCCTGAAGTGCCCTCCTCCACTGCTGCTCCCAGCTGAGCCCATACATCTCTCAAGGACAAGCTCAAGTTCCGTCTCCTCTGTGAACTATTCCCCATAGCTCTATCCTGCTTGCCCTGACCGAACATAATGTTGTCTGTACCTTATATTGTGGTCTTGGTTACATAATTTTATTGCATTGCTCTATACTATCTTGCATCCTGTAATTACTTCAGCACCCAAGTTTTATTCCCAGGAATATTGCAAACTCCTTCACAGGAGGGACTGTGCTATATATTTCTTTTATATTTCACACAGTGCACAGCACAATTCTAGGTGGACACTCAATAAATATTTATTGAATTAAATTGAATATGGCACAGACTACATTTAAGCCTTCGTAAAATTCCTTTTCATAAATTATATGGGTCTAGACAAGAGGATTATTGGAGGGAACCACTTGAATATATTCAGTCTGGGCAAATACACACAAGATTGCAGGACTATAATGCAGGTTCTTGGACAAAGAGAAATGCTAAACTGGGATTTGGACCCAAGGGTGGAGAGAGGAAGACTCTGCCAGATCAGAGAGGAGTGGGAGTAGTAGCTGCAGCAAGGGCAGAGACTGAGAATTTATAAACCTGAGATATGCCTCCAGAGCAGAGAGTTTGCAAAAAAGTTTTGTTTTTTAAACTTATTAACAAGTTTAAAAATTTGACAATGTGTTCTTATGTAGTTAGGAGATTTGCTGGATAACTATCTTGCTAGGTCAGCAAAATAAGGCTGCTCTCAATAAGTTCTGCGCAGGTGGAATACAGTGTTTTCAGAGTTTTATTTGTAAAACACATTTCTATGGCCTTTTCTTTCTGTTCCCCTCTCCCAACTCTGTTTCCCTCCCTCCCTCTGTCACTCACACACACACGCACACACACACACACACACACACTCACACATATACATATTCTTTCAATTGAAGTCTTCCCTGAATATTTGCAATGATAATATTCCCTCTTAAGCAACTAGATTCTTGATTTTGTAATTTTGTGCTCCCATCTTGGATGTACATGTTTGGGTCTATGAGGGACCCTTATGTGTAGAACTTGACCCTAAATTTATCATTCCAACACAAAATTAACCATCCACAGCAGTTAATGTATATCCGGGAATATTTCAATATTTTTATTTAAAAAACTATCTGAACATCTTTCCCTTTGGCCTCATTCCTGGGGCTGCAGCCTCTGCATTATTGCCAGGAACACTTTCCTAAACATTTTGAAGAGGAAAGGAACTTAGTATTCCAGAAGCCTAAATAGAGATTACATGGCAACTCAGGGGACTATCTTGTTCCTTTCCTTGTTTTCCAATAAGAGATGAATTATAAAACATTTTCATCCATTTGATTGCAACGGAAAACCCTTAAAAATCTCCAGGGAAAAACATGCCACCATCTCACTAGAAAACAGTTTTGGTGTCCCGTAAATGCTATTAAATACCAAGAAAATGGTCTCCACGAGGAAATGTTTTTCCTCCTCTTTCTCTCTTTTCTCTCCCTTCTTTTCTTCGTTCTTGGTGCTTGTGAAGCGGTGATTTATTTCCAGTTGAATGCTTTCTTCCGACTGACTCATCTCAGCTGACCCGTCTCAGAGCCAGGCACCTTTACCTCGCCGCTAAGCGTGACCACGTGACACAATTCTGGCCAATGACTACAAGCAGAGAATGAGTCTGCAATATGGGTGAGTCTTCTATAAAAGCTTCCTTTGGGAGGCTGAGGCAGGTGGATCATGAGGTCAGGAGTCCAAGACCTGCCTGACCAACATGGTGAAACCCTGTCTCTGCTAAAAATACAAAAATTAGCCGGGTGTGGTGGCAGGTGCCTGCAATCCCAGCTACTCAGGAGGCTGAGGCAGGAGAATTGCTTGAACCTGGGAGGCGGAGGTTGCAGTGAGCCGAGATCGCACCATTGCACTCCAGCTGGGGCGACAGTGTGAGACTCCGTCTCAAAGAAAAGAAAAAAAGCTTCTTAAAAGAGAATAGGTTTAGCTCACCTACCCTTTTGGCCTTTTGCCCAATCCCCTTCTTTTTCCCTGGGACGCTGAGGTGGGACTGGGGGATACAGCAGCCATCTGGCAATCAGGAGGTTGGAAGTGTGGAGAAAGAGGTCTATATGCTAAGGATGGCAGAGCCCAAAAGCTGGAAAGGCTGGGTGCTGATGGCTTCACTGAGGCACTGTCAGGCCAGCACTTTCCATCCTTAGTTGTGTGAGGCAAACAAATCCCATAATTGTTTAATCATTGTCAGGTTTTGTATTAAGAACAGTGAAGCACAATCCTACTGATTTTAATGGTCTTCTACTCATTGTTGGTTGCTGTCATTGAAAATTTCATCTAAGTAGCTCATTAGAAAAAAAAAAACAAGGGATAAATTTTTATTACCATGTCATTTAGAAACTGTACACAATAATAGATGTCATTGTATGTCTTCCTTTCCCTGTTAAAATTGTTTTATTCATTTAGGCTATGTAGAGATGTGATTGCATGGTCAAAGGTGATGCTGACAGGAATATTGTTCTCCTTGTCTACTTCTAACCCATGCAATCACCATGGCTCACTGCTGGTCCTAATCTTTGCTACAGACTGTAGATTTCACTAACACCTGCAATGACACTAAGGTTTGCACAACATCTAGATTGATTTCTGTATCCTGCCTGTTTGTGTCTATTTATTTTCATCTTCTAAAATTGAGTTATTTCTTTTTTAAACTCCTGGATTATCATCAATTCTTCATTCCAGAGCTGGATATTCTACATAAACTGGGTTGGGTTAATTCCCATAATATTGGGCTAAAGGTATTTTCTAGGGGCCACTGTTCCATGCTAATCTTCTGGGAAAAAGGCAAGGCTTTTAGACTATCTCAGAGGCAGGCCCACAGACAGGCCTAGTTTACTTTGAGATGGCATGACCCATGCCATTCTTAGCCTGAGCCACAGGAGAGAAGAGAGAAGATGAAAATCCTGGACAACACTGATCTCTGTGCATCCTACTCTTTCTCCCTCTGTATTTTTCTCAAACGTGGTCTTGCCTTTTCCATTTGTAAATTTTTTATCTCCATAAGACAAATTAAAGATTAAATTACACTAAGTAGACATTATTTTCATTATTACAGTTATTATTATTTATACGAATCATCTGTGTACATAAAGTGAAACCTATCTTCCACAAAAAGATATTTTCAAAGCAAAATGAAGACCCAACCCCCTGTATTGACTTAAAAAACATCAGTACTGCTTTTGTACATTAGTATTAGCTGCCTTTGCCCTAAATGTGGCATGATGTCTAAGTTGTATTTGTTCTCCTCATTAGCCACTTCGAGAGAGTCAAACTACAGAGAATGAGGGAATCATTAGCTTTACCTTCATCTAATGAAATTTGGCTGAATGAAACAGGTGGGAACATTGGTAAAAAGAGGCTGGTATTTGACCACTTGGACTTTAGAAGTGCCTGGAATGAAGAGGCCATTCTCTGGTCCATCAATCTCTTGGCAGTTGCAGTTGTATTTGGAAGAGCTTCTGGTAAAAGATTGGTAGAATAATTGATCAGTTGAAAGGTAGTTAATGACATTCACTTAGGAAATTGGCCCCACACTTACCTAGTCAGCCGTATGGTGCCCACCCCTAGTTCTTCCTGGTACTGCTAGGAAAAGCAATGCCAGGTGTTGTGGTTAGGTAGACTAGTGAACCCCTAAGATGTCCCCATCCTATCCCCCAAATCCTGTAATCCCTGTAATATGTTGCCTCACTTGGCAAAAAGGAATTTTGTAGATGTGATTAAAATAAGAATCTTGAGATGGGAAGATTTTCCTGGATCATCTGGGTCGGCCCAATGTAATCACAAGGGCCTCCTCTCTAGAAGAGGGAGGCAGGATTGTCAGAGTGAGAGAGAAATTAGAAGATGTTACACTATTGGCTTTGAAGATGGAAGAAGAGCCGAGCCAAGGAACATAAGTGGCTTCTAGAAACTGGAGAAGACAACAGTTCTCTCCTGGAGCTTCTAGAAGGAACACAGCCCTACCTACACTTTGATTTTAGCCAAGAGAAACTCATGTTGGACTTCTGACTTCCAGAACCATAAGATAATACATTTGTGTTGTTTCAAGCCATTAAGTATGTAATAACTTGTTACAACAGAAATTGGAAACTAATACACTAGCTTTGCTTGCTTTTCTACTTAAGCTCTTTATTCCATACAACTCCCACCACCTCTCTCTTCTCCCAACTCCACCCTGTGCCATGAGGCCATGTTAGTCCTGTTAATTCCTTGGAATTTTAGACAATAAAATAGGATAGGCACTTAAATTCCTGTTCCTTTGTGTAATTGCTCTCAGGTGCCTTAGGAAATACAGTCATTTTCACACATGAAACTGGCACTGCTGAGCTTGTTTAGTCACATCCCTCATCACCTTGAACCTGGATTATTGTAGCAACCTTCTCTGTGTTCTCTACTATACGGTAAAAATATTACTTGTATTTTATTGCTCTAACTAGACAAAACTGATCTTTGAATACAACACTTTTATCACGGCAGTCTCTTATCAAGAATCAATACTCGCTCTCCATTTGCTAAGAAACAGAGTCTTCTTTTTAGCCTTCATAATATGATTCTGCTCTGGCTTTCCAACTTAAGCTTGGACATTCTGTTTGGTTGGGTTACTCTATCTCGCATCTCCCATACTGTAACAATTCTTTGTCCCACCTGGAAGGATCGTCTCTTATCTTTTTTCCCTTCCACTTCCCCTCTCTTCCCTTCCCCTTCCCTACTTTTCCCTTCCCCTCCCCTCTTCTCCTTTCTTTCTTTCTTTCTTTCTTTCTTTTCTTTCTTTCTTTTTCTTTCTTTGTTTCTTTCTGTCTTCTTTTTTCTTTCTTTCTTTCTTTCATCTTTCTCTCTCTTTCTTTTTTTTCCTTCCTTCCTTCCTTCTTCTTTCCTCCCTCCCTCCTTCCCTCCCTCCCCCATCCCTCCCTTCCTTTCCATCTTTCTTTCTTTTCTATCTTCATTGTCATTCTGTACATTTAAAAGTCTAGAATGAGTTACCAGACATTCCTGGCTCTTTTTATTTCCGGTGACTTTCCCTTACTTGTCCACTGAACTGTAGTTGGTATCTCCTACGTGATTTTATTTGTGAATTGAATATTATACTCTTGCAGTCTGTATTAGCCCATTCTCACATTGCTATAAAGAACTATGTGAGACTGGGTAATTTATAAATAAAAGAGGTTTAATTGTCTCACAGTTCTGAGGGCTATACAGGAAGCATGGCTGAGAAGGCCTCAGGAAACTTACAGTCATGGTGGAAGGTGAAGGGGAAGCCAGCACATCCTACATGGCTGCAGCAGGAGGAAGAGAGAGGGAAGGGGGAGGTGCTACACACTTTCAAACAACCAGATCTCATGAGAACTCTATGATGAGAACAGCAAGGGGGAGGCCCACCCCCATGATTCAGTCACCTCCCACCAGGCCCCTCCTCCAACACTGGGAATTACAATTAACATGAGATTTGTCGGGGGACACAGAGTCAAACCATATTATAGTCCTTTTTTTTTTTTCCTGTGATTTAGGGCAGAGCACACTCTAATAATGCAAACTGATTTATACTTAGCTAACAACATTCTCTACTGTCTTCTGCACCTCTCCCCAACTAACACATGACCAGTGCCACAGATTCTCCAGAGAGCTAGTTGTGCATGGGGGTGGTGGGTTAGAAGCTGCTAATAGGACCAGATAGGAAACCTGGATGAAATTAGCATAGTGTTCTATTCATCTGAGCAAACTATCTCTGGAAGTGGTTGGCAAAACTGGGATTTTATTTGGCTGGTTGATTGACTAAATAGTCTTTTTAGAATGCTTCCATAGACTTCTGCATCACATCACCTGTAAGTATGTAAACTGCATTATTATTTCATCATCATCATCATCATTATTATATAAAGCTTCTAGTGTTTTCTTAAAACTGTAACCCAGATGTCAGGCCTGAAATTTCCAACTTGCTGGGAGTTGTCTTTAATATTTAAGTAAAATTTGGTGTAAGTCTCCATTTCAGTGGGAAAGTCAGTGTTTCTTCCATTATCTCTGAAACTCTAGGGAAGTGAGATTTTTGGTAATACTTATGGCTGGGAGTTCTTACTTTGGCTTCATTTATAAATTTCCAGTCTGCATTTTGCCCTCTTGAATGCCATTTCTTTTCCTGCATGATGTTATTCCACTGAATTCGCCCATCTCCAATGTCCTTTCTCCTCAAAGTCCCAACAATTTAGGATGCAGTGTACTGCAGACCTTACTGAATATTTGGGGCAGGGGGTGACCTGGGGGGTCAGAGGATCTGTGTTCATTGCTTCTTTTAAAAGCCTATTAGACATTCCTGTTTGGCATTTCAGACAGATCTGCCTTAAAAATTACTGGCTAACTCTTCTTCTTAGATGCTAGTCTTCTCCCATGCTAGAGGCACACTCTCTCTCCTTTAACTACTCTTTTCCTTCTAGATTATGATTCCTGTCCATTTTTGAGGTAGAGCCATGCAGATATTCCTTTGTTTTGTCTTAGATGGTTCAAGTCAGGCCTTGCAGGCTTCAAGTTTATAATCAAACATGTCTACTTATGTGTGTTGCTAAGCAAAGATGGTTTTCTCCTTGAGAAAAATTCTATTAGTAATGCAATTTTTTTTTTCATTTTACTATGAGCAGAGAACATAAATCAGAATTACTTATGAAAGCTATAAAATGTTTCCACTCCATATATTTGGGTGTTGAGATTGTGGGTGACTTTTTTTTAGGACTCTTTTATCTTCAAAACTTTCTGTAATAATTATGTGGTTACTTTGCAACTAGAAAAAAGTAAATAAAGCACACTAATCAAAACAAATACAAATAAAGGGAAATTATTAAAAATTGACAAATATATAGGTACTTGTTATTTATATTTTGATATATCAATGTGTCCTTTACTTTTAGAATCAAAGTTCATAAAGGAGGTCAATTTTTAAGTAAGTTCTTGGCTCTCTGATAAATGTGAAGTGATGTATACTTGATTCACTCACCTGACCTATTGGCACTGATTCAAGATATTAAACCATTTTATGGGGAAATTTGATGGGTACAAGTTATTGTCCCATTATCTGTGTAAGATACAGAATAAATCACCCTTCAGTTAGGCCCATGGGAATAAGGCCTGTAGAGAAAGAATAGCTTTGAAGAATAGGAACTAAAGTGATATAAAATGGACACCAAAAGTATTCAAGATACACAAATATTAGAAAAAGATATGATGAAATACAGTAAGATAATGACAATAAAACATGAGTCTTTTTGGCCAATTTTTTTTCTACTTCCTCATTTCTGCTGTCACTTTGCTAAATCAACAATTCAGTTTGGACCAGCTGCTCTAGTGATAAAGCTTTAAATAAGCATGTAGAAATAAGCGAGACAAATGATGGAGTTATCCTTTACCATAATATATTTTCACAATGCCTGACAGTCCCCCATTTAATCAAGAGATTGGCAGGACAGGGAACAAGTTGGTAATTTACAGATGAGATGTAATAAAAATGTTATAATTCATGGATGAGACACCCAAACTACATTATGTATTATGAGTTTAACTTGACTTATAACTCTTTCTAGAATTTAAACTGTCATATCCGACCATATGCGTTGACTTTTATAGTGATTTAATGAGTTGTTTGGTGAAAATAAATGTTGACAAAGTTACAAAATTTTCTGACTCTATTCTTGTTTTTTTTGGTTGTTGTTCTCCTTTGGATACTAGAGCTGGCTGTTTTACAATAACCCAAGAGTTTCTCTTCCCTCAAAATCCATGGCTGAAATCTTAGTCTTTGCATGGATTTTGCTCATTTTTCATGCTTGACCTTGGTAGATGGATCATCACAAAAAGAACCTAAGAGAACATATTGATTAACCTCTGGTGGCAGCAAGATAATGTATAAAGCTTGGAAATATGGGACCGAAACCTCTTATATCTGAAGTGTCAGTGGATTCTCCAGAAAAGCGTTTCATCTTCAGGATGTGGTTTGGCTTCAGCTTAGTTTTACTGAGGGGCCATTTTCCAGCAATTCAGACAGCTGGTCATGATGCTGGAGTTGGAGGGTGAAGGATTACCTTGTAAAGACAAGCTCAATTCCTATGGAAGCTCACAGGAGATACTCAGCTACTGTGACTGATGCTGTTAATACTGAAAGAAATGAAATAATGCCAAGTTGTAGTAATAGTAGCATAGCAAAGAATCTTGTCAAATGAGCTGTAATTTGAGCAGGCACACATTTTACACTCATTAGGAAAAGTAAGGAACAACTAATTGGCTTATCATGTACCCTCTAATTGGTTCAGCTAACTTTCAGTTATGGCATAAGGGAATAAATGGGGGAATCCTGTTTTGGTATTTGGCTAGGCCAGAGAGACCTCATGAAATTTCCCTACATGATAAAAATGATGAGATGCACCACCATTTAGCAAACATAATAAGGAAATAACCCGTAATCTATTAAGAGCTGCCTAACCATCCTGGCTGTGTGGTCAATGAACCGGCAAGAACGTAAAACTCCCTGGGAACAAAATGATCTGATGCGTAGGAGGGAATGACCTCCTTTAGGGCACCTAGTGGCCTGGAGAATGATTTACTCTCTTGTCCTACAAGAAGCCGTTTACCTCACAGGGGTGACATTTTTTTTCACCCATGAGTTTCACCCCAGCTTCTACTGTTATCTGCATATGTAAAGGGATGTGGAAATTTGAGAGAATTACCTAGGCCATATAAACTCCCTAAAACATGTTTTCTTCAATTACCTGAATACTTCAGTCAAATGGTTTTTTGGCCTAAGTGATAATTTCCTTAATTTGCATTTCACTTTGGATATGTGGCCTAGGAGGGAAAAGTATTAAAGCTGCCAAAGGAAAAGGCTTCAAAAATGTTTTAGAGACAACCCATAATGCTATGTTAAAAGAAAATTTGCTTGTGATATGCAGCCCAGTGATAATTGATCCATTTTTATCCTTTAACATTTATTATTTAAGCTCAGGCTTTAATATTTAAATCCATAAACATGGCTTATTATCTGAATGCTAAAAAAAGACATTATTTAACATTAGAACCTGACTCCTCACCAACTCCATTACTAATACCTTGTCCAAGGTATCATCATCTTACACCTGATTTATTGCAAGAGCCTCGATACTCATCTCCCACTTTCACTCTGTATCTGGATGTGGTGCTTCTATTTTCTACGTAGTGGCCAGAGTCGTCCTGTTAAAACATAAGTTAATTTTACCATTTTCCTTCTAAAAACTATCCAATGGCTTCCCATCTCACTCAGAGCAAAGACCATGGTCCTCACCACGGCTAAAGGCTCTGCAAGCTTGGCCCCCAGCAAGCTCTCTGCCTTCTTCTTGAACCTTTGTCACTGCTCTAACCACATTGGCTTCCTGGTCATTTCCTCACCACATGGAGCACTGTCTCCCCACGTGACCTTCGTATTTGCTGTTTCTCCTGCCTGGAATGCTCTTGCCCCACTATCTACGTGGCTCAATGGATCAGTTCCTCCAGAATCTCTGCTCACATGGCCACTTATCAGACAAGGCTTCTGTGACCACTGTATGAAAGAGATGGTATGCTCAACGCCATCTGTATTTCTTCCCTTCCTTTCTCTAATTCTTCTGCATAGAAGTTGTCATGCCTGATATTCCTCTCTTGATTTATTTATTGCCAGGCTCTCCCAGCCTCTAAACATATGTATGAGGGCAGATACTTTGTATAATATTTTTATTTCTCACGGCAGATTGGCTTTTCTAAGATGGGCATGAGAAGATCTCCCAACCCACATTGTCTAATTAGAATGTGACAGTGACACATTTCCCACTGAGAGATGTGAGGGGTCTATGCTTCTTTCTCTTGAATCTTGGCAGGTCTGTGACTATTGGCAGTAGTGATGGTATGTGATTTCCAAGGATAAATCATAAAAGCAATATAGTTTCTTCCTGGTTCTCTTGGGACTCTCAGTCTGGAAACCCAGTCACCATGCTGTGAGGAAATCCAGGCTACACAAAGAGGCAATGTTTAATTGCCACAGCTGAGGCCCTAGTTGACAGCCAGCATCAATGGCTAAACATGGGATTGCAGAAGGCTTTGCAATGACTCCAGGCCCCTGTCATCATCTGACTGCAACTATTTCAGAGACCCTGACAGACAACTGCTTAGATAAGCTTAGGCAGTCAAAATATGAGTCATAATAATAAAATGATTGCTATCTTTTAAGCCACTACATTTTGGGATATTCATTTGGCAACAATCGATATCCAGAACATGGCTATATTCTCTAAAGCCTAGACTAGTGCCTGAAAGATACTGTGTTAGGCCATTTTTGCATTGCTATAAAGAAATAACTGAGGCTGGATAGGTTATAAAGAAAAGAGGTTTAATTGGCTTGTGGTTCTGCAGGCTGTACAGGAAGCATGGTGCTGGCATCTGCTTCTGGTGAGGGCCTCAGGAAGCTTTCAATCATCGCAGAAGGTGAAGACGAAGCAGGTGTATCATATGGCAGAGGGAGCAAGAGAGAGAATGGAGAGATCCCAGATTCTTTTAAACAACCAGATCTTGCATAAACTAACTGAGCGAGAACTCACTTATCACTGAGGGATTTGTGCTAAGCCATTCATAAGGGATCTGCTCCCATGACCCAAACACCTCTTACCAGGCCCCACCTCCATCACGGGAGGTCACATTTCAACATGAGATTTGGAGGGGACAGACATCAAAACCCTATCACATGCTTCCTCAATAAATATTTTCTGAATAGTCAAATGATGCAAAACCCTGGAAGTAAAAATATACTGGTTTCTGGATGGAAAAGACTTCTTCCAGTCTTCCTTCATTAAAAGGCAATACTTGATTAATTGATTTACATATTATACAACACCTTGTGTATTTAAAATTTTCATGTTAGCAGTTCCCTTTGAATTTTTAAATATATATATGGACTACTCACAAGATATGAGTAAAGGAAGGTGAATTTAGGCTTACAACTTTTGTTCTTATTTTAGATCATTCCATTATATATAAACATCTTCAACAGAGAGAATAATATTAAGTCTAGAAAAAGGCTTTGATGTGGGAGGTTGAGGTTCTAGTATTAACTGTTGATTGCCTTCATCCTTGCTGTATTTCTTCCCAGTAGTAATTGCTAATCAATCATGACTCAGAGAGAATAGAAAAGTTCTAGCCTTGTTTACGTTTTACACTATTACTACAGTAGCATTTTAGACAAAAGCAAAAAGCAAAGCAAAACAAAACAAAACAAAAAATCAACAACAAAAAACCAATTTTCAATGTCACCATAAGTCACATGAAGTAAAATTGTTTGAAAATGGGCTTTTTTTTCTCAGTAAGAAAGACCTATTACACCTGGAGCTGTACTGTTTTCCTCTTCACTACCTCATGTCAAAGCAGTGGGCTGTTCTAGGACACAACCCTTACAAGTGTCATCTGCCTCTAACCTTAAAAGTCAACTAACCTGATTCAGTGATTTGGCTTTAGACACAGCGAAGCTGAGTTTTCATTTTGGGCCAGTTTCTGAGAGGTCTGAGAATGGCATTTTTTTTCTTCCTTTTTTGATTTAGAGTTGCTTGTCTCTTGGCAGGCCTCTGTATCATGAGAGGCAGCTTTGCTGTTGCCCATTCGGCTGTTCAAGCATGTAACTTAAGTCTTGTGGAGATGTTCGGTAGCAGGCCAGGGCTGAATGCAGTCCTTTTTATTTGAAAACATGCAGGAACAACATAGGAAATGGCCGCCTCATTTAAGATGTCATCCTGAAATGTGTACATTGCTGGCTCCAAAAGGAAACCCAAGCATTGAAGGAAACCTCAGGGTAGGGAAACCATTTGAAAACGAATGCTTTTCAAATCCTCTGCCACTCTCTAGCCTTCAGCCTTGGGGAGAGTGGAGTCCCTTCAGGCTAGGGCTCTATACCTGTTCTGTGCCCTCTAGTCTCTCTTTAATTTTGATGATTTTCTGTTATTCTTAGGGGCTGACAGCAAGTTTGTGAAACAGCATGCATGACTAAAGTCACATTAGAAATTTAGTGTGGGCTTGAGGCAGAACACAAGGAACAGTCATGTGAGGCCTGGCATACAGAGACTATGGAGCTATGGCACTGGACACTTCATGCCCATGCCCATCTGGGCTGTATATCATGTGAGCTCCAGTGGAGCTATCCTGGCTGCCTCTGTGTGGAGCAGGGACAAACTTTTCTCACCAAGCTCTGCATTGTTTCTGTTTGAAGTCTTGATTCTTTTTGTTTTCAGATACTGTATTAGGGTGCTGCAGAGGGATGGAACCAATAGGATATATGTACATTTAAAACGGAGTTTATGTGGTACAAAGATGGCCGAATAGGAACAGCTCTGGTCTGCAGCTCCTAGCGAGATCAACGCAGAAGGCGGGTGATTTCTGCATTTCCAACTGAGGTGCCTGGCTCATCTCACTGGGACTGGTTAGACAAAGGGTGCAGCACACGGAGGGCAAGCAGAAGCAGGGTGGGGCGTCACCTAACCTGGGAAGTGTAAGTGGTAAGGGAACTCCCTCCCGTAGCCAAGGGAAGCCTTGAGGGACTGTGCTGTGAGGAACTGTGCATTCCGGCCTAGGTATTAGGCTTTTCTCATGGTCTTCACAACCCACAGGCCAGGAGATTCCCTGGGGTGCCTACAACATCAGGGCCCTGGGTTTCAAGCACAAAACTGGGCAGCCGTTTGGGCAGACACTGAGCTAGCTGCAGGAGTTTTTTTTTGTTTGTTTGTTTGTTTGTTTGTTTTTTATAGATGGAGTTTGCCCTGTTTCCCAGGCTGGAGTGCAATGGCACGATCTCGGCTCACTAGGGGTTTTTTTTTTTTTTTTTTTTTCATACCCCAGTGGCGCCTGGAACGCCAGTGAGGCAGAACCATTCATTCCCCGGGAAAGAGGGCTGAAGCCAGATAGCCAAGTGGTCTAGCTCAGTGGATCCCACTCCCACGGAGCTCAGCAAGCTAAGATCCACTGGCTTGAAATTCTTGCTGCCAGGACAGCAGTCTGAAGTCAACCTGGGATGCACGAGCTTAGTGGGGGGAGGGGCGTCCACCATTACTGAGGCTTGAGTAGGCAGTTTTCCCCTCAGAGTGTAAACAAAGTCCTGGGGGAAGTTCAAACTGGGCCGAGCCCACTGCAGCTTGGCAAAGCCACTGTAGCTAGACTGCCTCTCTAGATTCCTTCTCTCTGGGCAGGACATCTCTGAAAGAAAGGCAGCAGCCCCAGCCAGGGGCTTGTACATATAACTCCCATCTCCCTGGGACAGAGCATGTTGGGGAAGGGGTGGCTGTGGGCACAGCTTCAGCAGACTTAAACGTTCCTGCCTGCTGGCTCTGAAGAGAGCAATGGATCTCCCAGCACAGCGCTTGAGCTCTGCCAAGGGACAGACTGCCTCCTCAAGTGGGTCCCTGACCCCCGTGCCTCTTGACTGAGAGACACTTCCCAGCAGGGGTTGACAGACACTGCTGGCAGGTCTGTTGGAGCTCTGAGTGGCAACTGGCAAGTGCCCTTCTGGGAAGAAGCTTCCAGAGGAAGGAACAGGAAGCAATCTTTGGTGTTCTGCCCCTTCTGCTGGTGATACCCAGGCAAACAGGATCTGGAGTGGACCCCCAGCGAACTCCAGCAGACCTACAGCAGAGGGGCCTGATTGTTAGAAGGAAAACTAACAAACAGAAAGGAATAGCATCAACATCAACAAAAACCCACAGAAACCCCATCTGAAGGTTACCAATACCAAAGACCAAAGGTAGATAAATCCTCAAAGATGAGGAAAAACCATTGCAAAAAGCCTGAAAATTCCCAAAACCAGAATGCCTCTTCTCCTTTGAAGGATCACAACTCCTCACCAGCAAGGGAACAAAACTGGATAGAGAATGAGTTTGATGAATTGGCAGAAGTAGCCTTCAGACGGTGGGTAATAACAAACTCCTCCAAGCTAAAGGAGCATGTTCTAGCCCAATTCAAGGAAGCTAAGAACCTTGAAAAAAGGTTAGAGGAATTGCTAACTAGAATAACCCTTTTAGACAAGAACAAAAATAACCTGATGGAGCTGAAAAACACAGCACAAGAACTTCATGAAGCATACGAAAGTATCAATAACGGAATTGATCAAGCAGAAGAAAGGATATCAGAGATTGAAAATCAACTTAATGAAATAAAGTGAGAAGACAAGATTAGAGAAAAAAGAATGAAAAGAAATGAACAGAGCCTCCAAGAAATATGGGTCTATGTGAAAAGACCAAACCTACATTTGATTGGTGTACCTGAAAGTGACAGAGAGAATGGAACCAAGTTGGAAAACACTCTTCAGGATATTATCCAGGAGAACTTCCCCAGCCTAGCAAGACAGACCAACATTCAAATTCAGGAAATACAGAGAACACAACAAAGATTCACCTCGAGAAGGTCAACCACAAGACACATAATCGTCAGATTCACCAAGGTTGAAATGAAAGAAAAAAATGTTAAGAGCAGCCAAGAGAGCAAGGTCGGGTTACCCACAAAGGGAAGCCCATCAGACTAACAGTGGATCTCTCTGCAGAAACCCTACAAGCCAGAAGAGAGTGGGGGCCAATATTCAACATTCTTAAAGAAAAGAATTTTCAACCCAGAATTTCTTGTCCAGCCAAACTAAGCTTCATAAGTGAAGAAGAAATAAAATCCTTTACAGACAAGCAAATGCTGAGAGATTTTGTCACCACAAGGCCTGCCTTACAAGAACTCCTGAAGGAAGCACTAAATATGGAAAGGAAAAACTGGTACCAGTCACTGCAAAAACATACCAAATTGTAAAGACCATCGACATTATGAAGAAACTGCATCAACTAACAGGCAAAATAACCAGCTAACATAATAATGACAGGATCAAATTGACACATAACTATATTAACCTTAAATGTAAATGGGCTAAATGCCCCAATTGAAAGACACTGACTAGCAAATTGGATAAAGAGTCAAGACCCATCAGTGTGCTGAATTCAGAAGACCCACCTCACGTGCAAAGACACACATAGGCTTAAAATAAAGGGATGGAGGAATATTTACCAAGCAAATGGAAAGCAAAAAAAAGCAGGGGTTTCAATCCTAGTGTCTGATAAAACAGGCTTTAAACCAACAAAGATCAAAAAAGACAAAGAAGGACATTACATAATGGTAAAGAGATCAACACAACAAGAAGAGCTAACTCTCCTAAATATACATGCACCTAATGCAGGAGCACCCACATTCATAAAGCAAGTTCTTAGAGACTTACAAAGAGACTTAGACTCCCACACAGTAACAATGGGAGATTTTAACACCCCAGTGTCAATATTAGACAGATCAACAAGACAGAAAATTAACAAGGATAGTAAAGACTTGAACTCAGCTCTGGACCAAGCAGACCTAATAGACATCTACAGAACTCTCCATCCCAGATCAACAGAATATACACTCTTCTCAGCAACACATCACACTTATTATAAAATTGACCACATAATTGGAAGTATAACACTCCTCAGCAAATGCAAAAGAATGGAAATCATAACAAACAGTCTCTCAGACCACAGTGCAATTAAATTAGAACCCAGGATTGAGAAACTCACTCAAAATCTCACAACTACATGGAAACTGAACAACCTGCTCCTGAGTGACTACTGGGTAAATAACGAAATCAAGGCAGAAATAAATAAGTTCTTTGAAACCAATGAGAACAAAGACACAATGTGCCGGAATCTCTGGGACACAGTTAAGCCAGTGTTTAGATGGAAATTTATATACTACATGCCCATAGAAGAAAGCGGGAAAGATCTAAAATCAACATCCTAAAATCACAATTAAAAGAACTAGAGAAGCAAGAGCAAACAAATTCAAAGGCTAGCAGAAGACAAGAAATAACTAAGATCAGAGCAGAACTGAAGGAGATAGAGACATGAAAAACCCCTCAAAAAATCAATGAATCCAGGAGGTGATTTTTTGAAAAGATTAACAAAATAGACGGCTAACCAGACTAATAAAGAAGAAAAGAGAGGAGAATCAAATAAACACAATAAAAAATGACAAAGGGGATATCACCACTGATCCCACAGAAATACAAACTACCATCAGAGAATGCTATAAACACCTCTACACAAATAAACTAGAAAATCTAGAAGAAATGTGTAAATTCCTGGACAGATACACCCTCCCAAGACTAAACCAAGAAAAAATTGAATCCCTGAATGGACGAATAACAAGTTATGAAATTGAGGCAGTAATTAATAGCCTACCAACCACAAAAAGCCCAGGACCAGATGGATTCACAGCCAAATTCTATCAGAGGTACAAAGAGGAGCTGGTACCATTCCTTCTGAAACTATTCCAAACAATAGAAAAAGAGGGACTCCTCCCTAACTCACTTTATGAGGCCAGCATCATCCTAATACCAAAACCTGGCAGAGACACAAAAGAAAGGAAAATTTCAGGCCAATATCCCTGATGAACATTGCTGTGAAAATCCTCAGTAAAATACTGGCAAACCGAATCCAGCAGCACATCAAAAAGCTTATCCACGATGATCAAGCAGGCCTCATCCCTGGGATACAAGGCTGGTTGAACATATGCAAATCAATAAATGTAATCCATGACATAAACAGAACCAATGAAAAAAAAAAACACATGATTATCTGAATAGATGCAGAAAAGGCCTTTGATAAAATTCAACACCCCTCCATGCTAAAAACTCTCAATAAACTATGTATTGATGGAACATATCTCAAAATAATAACAGCTATTTCTGACAAACCCACAGCCAGTATGATACTGAATGGGCAAAAGCTGGAAGCATTACCTTTGAAACCCAGCACAAGACAAGGATGCCCTCTCTCACCACTCCTATTCAACATATTGTTGGAAGTTCTGGCCAGAGCAATCAGGCAGGAGAAAGAAATAAAGCCTATTCAAATAGAAAGAGAGGAAGTCAAATTTTCTCTGTTTGCAGATGACATGATTGTATATTTAGAAAACCCCATCGTTTCAGCCCAAAATCTCCTGAAGCTGATAAGCAAATTCAGCAAAGTCTCAGGATACAAAATCAGTGTTCAAAAATCACAAGCATTCCTATATACCAATAATAGACAAACAGAGCCACATCATGAGTGAACTTCCATTCATAATTGCTACAAAGAGAATAAAATACCTAGGGATACAACTTACAAGGGTTGTGAAGGACCTCTTCAAGGAGAACTACAAACCACTGCTTGAGGAAATAAGAGGACACAAACAAATGGAAAAACATTTCATGCTCATGGATAGGAAGAATCAACATCGTGAAAATGGCCATACTGGCCAAAGTAATTTATAGATTCAACACTATCCCCATCAAGCCACCATTGACTTTCTTCATAGAATTAGAAAAAACTACTTTAAATTTTATATGGAGCCAAAAAAGAGCCCATATAGCCAAGACAATCCTAAACAAAAAGAACAAAGTTGAAGGCATCACGCTACCTGACTTCAAACTATACTGCAAGGCTACAGTAACCAAAACAGCATGGTACTCGTACCAAAAAAGATATATAGACCAATAGAACAGAACAGAGGCCTCAGAAATAATGCCACACATCTACAACCATCTGATCTTTGACAAACCTGACTAAAACAAGCAATGGGGGAAAGGATTCCCTATTTAATAAATGGTGTTGGGAAAACAGACTAGCCATACACAAAAAACTGCAACTGGACCCCTTCCTTACACCTTATACAAAAATTAACTCAAGATGGATTAAAGACTTAAACACAAGACCTAAAACCATAAAAACCCTAGAAGAAAACCTAGGCAATACCATTCAGGACATAGGCATGGGCAAGGACTTCATGACTAAAACACCAAAAGCAATGGCAACAAAGGCCAAAATTGACAAATGGGATCTAATTAAACTAAAGAGCTTCTGCGCGGCAAAAGAAACTGTCATCAGAACGAACAGGCAACCTACAGAATGGGAGAAAATTTTTGCAATCTATCCATTTGACAGAGGGCTATTGTCCAGAATCTACAGGGAACTGAAACAAATGTAGAAGAAAAAAAAAACAACAAACAACTCCATCAAAAAGTGGGCATGAACAGACACTTCTCAAAAGAAGACATTTATGCAGCCAACAAACATTTGAAAAAAAGCTCATCATCATTGGTCATTAGAGAAATGCAAGTCAAAACCACAATGAGATACCATCTCACGCCAGTTAGAATGGCGATCATTAAAAAGTCAGGAAACAACAGATGCTGGAGAGGATGTGGAGAAATAGGAATGCTTTTACACTGTTAGTGGGAGTGTAAATTAGTTCAACCATTGTGGAAGACAGTGTGGTGATTCCTCAAGGATCTAGAACCAGAAATACCATTTGACCCAGCAATCCCGTTACTGGGTATGTAAATTATTCTACTGTAAAGACAAATGAACACATATGTTTATTGCAGCACTATTCACAATAGCAAAGACTTGGAACCAACCCAAATGCCCATCAGGGATAGACTGGATAAAGAAAATGTGGCACATATACACCATGGAATACTATGCAGCCATACAAAAGGTTCATGTCCTCTGCAGGGACATGGATGAAGCTGGAAACCATCATTCTCAGCAAACTAACTCAGGTACAGAAAACCAAACACTGCATTTTCTCACTCATAAGTGAGAGCTGAACAATGAGAACACATGGATACAGGGAGGGTAACATCACCCACCAGGGTCTTTTGGGGGACGGGGGCTAGGGGAGGGATAGTATTAGGAGAAATACCTAATGTAGATGACGAGTTGATAGGTGCAGCAAACCACCATGGTACGTGTATACCTATGTAACAAACCTGCACATTCTGCACATGTATCCCAGAACTTAAAGTATAATAATAGTAAAAAAGGGAGTTTATTAGGGAGAAATTGCTTGCACAATTATAAGGTGAAGTCCCCCGATAGGCTGTCTGCAAGCTGAGGAAAGAGAGAAGCCAGTAGTCCCTCAGTCCAAGTCTGAAAGCCTCAAAACCAGGGAAGCTGACAGTGCAGCCTTCGTCTGTGGCCGAAGGCCTGAGAGCCTTTGGGAAGCCGCTGGTGCAAGTCCCAGGGTTCAAAGATGGAAGAACCTGGGGTCTGATGTTCAAGGGCACGAGGAGCGGAGGCAAGCGTCTCGCATGGGAAGAAGAAAAAGAGCCAGAAGATTCAGCAAGCAAACTTATCCCACCTTCTTCCACCTGCTTTGTTCTAGCTGCACTGGCTGCTGATTGGATGGTGCCCACTCACACTAAAGGTCACTCACACTAACAGTGGTTTTCCTCTCCCTGAGGCATTGAAGGATATCTCAGGGTGGGGAAAGCATCTACAACCAATGCTTTTCCAGCAATTCAAATGTCAATCTCCTCTGGCAACACTCTCACAGACACACTCAGAAACAATACTCCACCAGCCATCCAGGCATCTTTCAATGCGATCAAGTTGACATCTAATATTAACCATCACAGCTACTATGTTTGGGGATGGTTTGTATTGCAGCAATAAATATTGCCATTCCCAGTGTTGTCTTTCAGAGGAAAACATATTTAACTATTTGTATTTTTGGTATCTTCTGATAGATACTGACAAATATGAAGACATTTTCTATTTTGTAGTTTATTAATTATAGACATTGCCTATTGATTTTTGTCCCATGATAGGTAAATGCTGTTAAAATTTTATTTTAGAGTGTGGTGGCCCATGCCTGTAATCCCAGCACTTTGGGAGGCCAAGGTGGGTGGATCACCTGATGTCAGGAGTTTGAGACCAGCCTGGCCAACTTGGGGAAACCCCGTCTCTACTAAAAATACAAAAACTAGCCCAGCGTGGTGGCAGGTGCCTGTAATCCCAGCTACTTGGGAGGCTGAGCCAGGAGAATCACTTGAACCTGGGAGGCGGAGTTTGCAGTGAGCCGAGATCATGCCACTGCACTCCAGCCTGGGCAACAGAGGGAGATTCCGTCTCAATAATAATAATAAAATTTTATTTGGATCAAAATTTTTTGAGACAAGGAGAACAACATAGCTTATGGCAGAGCACTGCATGATGCCATTGCTTCCTACCCTCAATTTCTGCTCCCCAAAGTCAATTCCTTTCAATTATTTTAGCTGTTATTGTGGAATTTACCTTTGCATTTGTCAGTAGTATACTCAGATTAAATTGTTTTGATCTTCATGTTTCAGACATCGTCCACTGACTTCTCATTACAGAAGATACATTTTAGCTTTCTTAAATCAACACACTGTACCACCACCACTCCCTCCCTGCTACACATACTTTCATTTCTTCATACTCTCAGTAGAATTACCACAATCTGGGAGGTATATCACTGTCTGGCATCTCCATTACTATGATGATACAAATATTCACATATGGGCTAGATATGTACTTTAGTTACCTTTCCTTTCTTGAACAACCCTTTTTTTTTCTAGAGTTAATAATTGTTACAACTTTTCTTTTGCTTAGCTTTCCGTGTAACCATTAGCAAATACTTCAGTCTGAAACTGAAGTGTTTGTGAATGTAACTAAATGTATATTCACATTGAAGTAAGTGAATGCAACTTCTGTCTACCATAAAATACATGAGATAATTTATCAGTTCTACTTTTTTTTTTTTTTTTTGAGACATCTTTCCTAGAGACCTCTGTCCTTCTGCTCAAATCTGGACAGGATACTGATGGCTACATGGCTGTTGCCCTGGGGCTTTCTTGTCTTAGAAATATCTTTCTCTTCTCTTCCATGTTAGATCCACTGTGTATTAGTTGTCTATTGCTTTGTAACGTATCACTTCAAAACGTAGCAGCTTCAACTGACAAACATTTATTTTTTCACAGTTTCTGTGGGTCATATCCAGGAACAGCTTAGCTGGATGGTTCTTGTTCAGGTTTCTCACAAGGCTGAAATGATCTGAAGCTGGACTGGCACTGGAGAATCGGTTTCTAAGCTCAGATTAGAAGCTCTGGGCAGGAGGACTCAGTTCTCACCAAACAGACATCTCTATAGCACTGCTCACATCATGGCCATTGGCTTCTGCCAGAGTTAGTGACTGAAGAGAGATAAAGAGTAGAAGGGAGCAAGATGGAATCCAATGCCAGAAGGAATAGCTTGTTACTTCTGCTATCTTCCACTGTCCACACAGACCCTGTACAATACCAGAGGGGACTGTACAAGGCTGCGAAGCCCAGGAGGAGGGGCTCATTTAGGGCCGTCTTGAAGACTGACCACCACACCTTCTGTCTTGGATTCCATGTTTTCTTTCCTTGGTTGACTCTTTTCTTTCAATGGATTACATCTTCTAGGAGCATCTTGAAAAAAGGCTTTCCTGGGAAGTAATCTGTTTTAGATGTTGCCTTCGTGCATATGTCTTTATCCTCAATCTTGAATGATGATTTGAGTTTAGAATTCTAGGTGGATAGCATTTTTCTTCAGCATTTTGAAGGCATTTCATTTCTCCATTATTGTGTAATTCTTAGAGTTATTATTCTCAAGTCTAATGCCATTCTGCATCTCCATTGTTTTTGTGCTCTTGAAGCTTTTAGGATCTTCTCTTTATCCCTTGTTTGCTGGAGTTTCATATCTATGTGTTTTTTTGCTTTTTCACATATTTATATATTTTCCTGGAAACGTGATAGACTCTTTTAACTTGGAAACTCAGGCTCCTCAATTCTGTGAAGATTTAATTTTTGTTTATCTGGTAATTTTCCCAGTTAACTCTTTCTGGGGTTGTATTTGTCGCAAGTTTAACTGGTATCAATTCTCTGATCTTCTAAGTACTATTTTTTTCTATTTTCTATTCATTTTTCTTTGATCTACTTTCTGAAAGACTTCCTCAGCTTTATCTTACAAAACTTTAATTAATTTTTAAATTTCGGCTTTTATGTTTTTAATATCCAAGAAGCCCTTTGTTGTTGATGAATGTTCTTTTTTTTCTTAAAAAACAAAAAACAAACAAAAAAACCACATTGTCCTTTCATTGGTTTTTTTAATAATTTTGTCTGTTTTTTTTTCCCCATTGGATGCTTTCTGAGGATGTATGTTTTAGTCATTCTGGACTGTCTATTAGCACACAAAAGTGCAACAGCTGCAGCTATTGGAACTGTGTGTGCAGAGGTGAGGCTTGCTAAGACGTGGGCTTTAATTTTGGGTAATTGGTTGGGGCTGTTTCATTGATGGATATCCCAACTCTCAGTATTTATAGGTTTTTTTCTTTTCCCCCTTCTTGGCTTGTTTCTGTTTCCTCAGAGAAGAATTACTCAACCTCTCACTTAGGGTGTGTGTGTTGGGGCGTGGGTAACAAACGAAGAGGCCAGGATTCTAGGAGCTGAGTAAGGCAAGAGGGATGAGGGATCTCATTGAACCTTGTGCTAAATTCCTCCCAGTTTCCTGTTTTAGTAGGGTATTCCTCAGCTCTGCCGGCTTCCCTGAATCTGGAGATTGTCAGGGTTCAGCCTCTCAGTAAATTGCCAGCACAGAGAGACAGTCACCTGACAGTGCTACTCGAAAGAGGAACTGGGGGAAGGGTTTCACTGCTTCATAGAGGGATTTTCTTCAAAGCTTCTCTGTCTCAGGGGTGCCCTTCTTCTAGACTTCATCGCTGTCTTCTACAGCCTTCGTGCTGCCTTCTGTTGGGGAACATTTACCTCGTCTGTTCTGCACATAGAGAGATGTTTATTAGAACAGCAGTTCTCAGAGTGTGGCCCAGGGATCTCTGAGGGATGGAAGGTCAAAATATTTTTTCTAAAAACACTAGATATTATTTGCTCTTTTCACTCTCATTCTCCTGTAAGTGTGCAGGGGGAATTTTCCAGAGGCAACATGACATGTGATATCACAACAGATCGAATGCAGAAGCAGCTGTGATAATCCAGCTGTCTTCTGTTAAGGCAGGCATTACAGATACTCTGTAAAAATGAACAACAAGGACACTCTTCTCATTATACTTTTTGGTTTGGAAGAAATTATTATGTTTCATACAATATGTTATTCACGTTAACATCTACTGGGTTTAGTAATAGTATTTAAATAAATAAATACTAAAAAGTATCAGTTTTATAGTAGATATTTAAATATATAACTAGCATGAACAAAAGCTCTTTGAGGTCTCCAATTATTTTTAATAGTGTAAAAGGGCCTTGAGACCAAAAAGTCTGAGAGCACTGCGTTGAAAACAATGCTTCTGGATTCTTTTTTCTCGTCTTGACTCCCCCCCAGGCAACAAGGAGTGACATACTTAATTGGGGAGAGCTGGGAAGGAACTGGGCAGGCATAGCTCAGCCCTTTCTGCTCACCTTTCTTTGAGGAAATCCCAAGATCTTAAACTGAAGTTTCGCCTGTCTGAAGCAGAGTATGTGCTCTCTTTAGCTCTCGGCCCTGTGTAGGCTTAGAGCCTGCTGGCTCTATTCTGTGGTAAGACTTGAAATGGCTCAGTATTGCTTGCAGTTATATTAGGTAAATCTGCCCAAATCTGAAGTCAGCAAATTTATCCAATTCAGGCAGAATAAGCTATGCTTTCTAATATCGACTTTATCAGCAATCAAGGAGATGTTTAACTTAAAAAGTTTAATTTTGAAATAATTTTAGACCTACAATTTGCACGAATAATACAGAGAATTTCTGTATGTTCTCCCCCAGCTTTCTTTAATGTTAACTTTTTACATAACCACAGAACAAAGATAGAAAGCAGGTGATTCATAATACATTACAATTAGCTAATCCATGGAACCGTATTTGAATTTCATTACTTTTTCCACAAATGTTTTTCTAGTCCAGTGTCCAATGTAGGATTCCAGATTAAAGGTGACATTTGATCTTCCGTTGTCTGGCATCCGTGTCTATGTCATAGTACTCCACTGAGGAAAAAGGAGGGTGTTAGTTATCAGTCTCATTTGGCTCCCAGGACCTCCAAATCTTGTATCTTTCTGGGATTCTATGATGTGAAAGAGTTGGCTCCTATTGTCTTCTTACCTCTCTCCTCCAGCATGATAGTTTCCAGCCTTCTCTCTTTGACTAACTCAGTTACCAGGGGTCCACCTCCTTTTCATCTTCCAGAATTTTGTGGATTCTTCTCTTTTGTTGTTGTCTGCTGTCTTGTTTGCTGTGATTTGCTTTCTGAGAGACTTTTTGTGTGTGTGTGTGTGAGACAGAGTCTTGCTCTGTTGCCCAGGCTGGAGTGCAGTGGTGTGATCTCGGCTCACTGCAACCTCCACCTCCCAGGTTCAAGCGATTCTCATGGCTCAGCCTCCTGAGTAGCTGGAATTACATGTGCATACCACCACACCTGGCTAAATTTTGTATTTTTAGTAGACGGGGTGTTTCACCATGTTGGCCGGGCTGGTCTGGAACTCCTGACCTCAAGTGATCTGCCTGCCTTGGCCTCCCAAAGTGCTGGGATTACAGGTATGAGCCACTGTGCCTGGCCGAGACTTCCATTTTTCTCTCCCCAGTCTAGGGCCAGTGGTCAAGCCCCGTTCATGCTCTGAGAACTTGAGAGTTAATGTATTTATTTATTCCTTTAATATTAATATTGGATAAATTTCAGAAAAAAAGCAGAGATAAATGAATAGGTTTAATCTCCTTGTTTAATTACGAATCTGGCTCCTGATGTATAATCCCCAATTTGTACATTATTTTTGCTTTTCAATTGAAAACCTTATTTAAATAGATTTAATGATTACTGTACTTAAATGAAGCTTCCTAATTGCTCTTAAGTCAAATAAAGGCTATGAAAACATTGGGTAGCTTTTTCACAAATTTTACAGATATGTTGATTTATTGTAATCAAACACATCTAGGCCCTGATTAGAATGCTTTTTGTAGCTTACCTTGCACTTCTTAGCTTGGAATCAAAAGCCATGTCCAGGGATTTGCTTTATCCTTTAGGCTTGGCTGGTATCCTGGTGCCTCCAGCTACTCACTTCTCAGAGATCAACTGTGGGTCTCTCCTCCTCTCCTCCTCTTTCAATTTCTAAAGGAAGGATTGCTGGAAGGAAGAAACCCTATCTTATCTCTGGTTCCCAGCTCCCAACTTTCTTCTATCATTTTCTCACACTCAACTGAAAAGGAAGCGTGAGGTTATAGCGGTGCAATACTTTTCTTAAAGTATTCGATTATCCTTAATTACTTTTCCTTGAATTAAATATGAATTAAAAAAGTCTAAACAGTTTATAGTGTTTATAAGAAGAGTAAAATATTCTCTTTCCATCTCTTATTTTTAAAAATTACCTTAGCATATATCTATTCCTTGTCTTTATACTTTTGCTTTGTAGTTAGTTAGTTTCACATCTATAAATAATGTGTTACATTACTTGTTGTGGATTTTAAAATGGCATCCATAATTTGCTCTTGGGATGGAGGGGAGGAGTGGGAATGGGAGTGGAGAAGGGGCTCTAGGGGACAGTATCTTTGAGTTTAATCCTTCACTTCTTGTAAGATAAAGATCTGAAGCATATATAACAAGATATTAATGTTTGTTTATTTTGGGTGGCAGAGAGGAGTGTTTATGATATAATTTGTACTCTATTTTTAAAATAATTTTTCAAATTTCAAAGTTAACATTTTTCAAACCTAGATATAGCTTCATTTTAGTAGGAATAACAGCGATTACTTGGCCTTTTGTCATCTGAGAAGGAATCATTTTTCATAAGTGTAATGATTCTATCCAACTGAAACTTAACTTACAGGTATGTGAACTATATTTCCCAGGACACTTCTATGTTGGTACGGGAGAATATAACAACAGTTACAAAGCAACATTTCTGTATATCCATTCTCATTTGGTCTGAACAAGGTTCAGACCTCTCAAATTTGCCAAAATAGTCTGAAAATCTCTAAGAAATGGATGTGTTATGTAACTTCAAAAACATCTCCTCTCCTGGATAGCTATAATAATAACCCTGGTTCCCACAGATGCCAAGTGCAGCTGCATTACCAGTGTCCACCCACAAAACCACAACTGCCAATGTCCATGATGAGATACTTAATGTAAGTTACTTGATGACTGGCAGTGAGGGCATGACTTCTGTGCCCTTGACACCTGAACATTGAAGCTATTACTACCCATGGTGACAATGTGCACAAAGCTGCTGCCACCATCACCCAGCCACTGCTAGTACCAATGTTGCTGATAAACTCTAAAGGTCCCATGCAGGCTTCAGAGAAGAAAGTGTTTTGGCTCCCCTGGCACAACCTGTCATGAGTGTGGGCTGGAGGAGAGTCTGAATGACAGTCCCCATGCTATACTCTCATTTACTTCTCTCTTCCAAGCTTCAAGAGGACATTGACTCTTTTTTTGGATGAGCTCTATCCTAGGAAGAGTTTGATCATAATTAAAAAGATTCCTGGTGAGCCTGCCCCACCAGTACTTTTGCAATGTACAAATACATTAAATTTGAGATGAATACATGATAGATTCAAGCTGGGTCTCTGTTACAAGTTCTAAAGCATTTACATTAAAAAATATTATTTAGAAAGGAACTTTTCCTAATACGGATTATTTACTTTCCTGACTTCAGAAATTGTTTTTATAATTCTAGTGTAGACAACAGTGAAAACAAGGTACTCTTAAGTTTCTGGTAATTATTTGTAAAATAAAAACATAATAATGAGTTTAGACAGATGCAAAAACATGACAAATATAAATGTTGCTAGGGTCCAGAAACAGGAAGTACAATATGCAACTGGCTATATTAGCATGTCAAAAAGCTATTATGAAGTATGTTGAATTAATATTTAGTAAGAAAAATCATGTCAATGAGAAAAGGAAGTAGATGATTAGTGACGGAAGTTAGCAAGGTCACAGAGGCAGACTTGGCGTTATGTCTCTGCTCTGATCAGGAGGAGCTCTCCTGTCCAGCAAATGTCATCTGTGTCGGGATAGGAATAACCTTTTCATGGTGATGCAGCCATCAGGCCCCATACAGTACAAATAATCCTATTTAAACATCAGCATCTTAAAGCCAAATGCTGTTGATCTGATTCCATGATCACTAAGTCAACAGGTTATAACTGAGCTCCCAACAAATATCCTTTCCTCTTGGCAGTGAAATTTTTTATTTTAAAGACATAATTTGCACTTTGGTTTATATAGTGGTCTTTTATAAGCAAGGTGAATGTGAATGTATCTATAGAGAATGATCTACTCGCAGGTTGTCAAAAAACATCAACTATATGAGCTTGCAATATTGAGAAAAAGATTCTAGAGCACTGTGAATTCACCCAAGTGTCAACAGGAGAATTCTTGTTGGCCAAGCAATAACCTACCTAGCTATAGAGACCACAACGAAATGAATGCAACTGCATTAGAACATTCGGAATACAGAAAAAGCCAGCCTTAATCCCACCAATGTTATAGTTTCCGTGTTACTCTTAACTTTTTGTGTATTTACATGTAATCATTTTTATGTGTTGTATGTGTTTCATGAGTGTGTGTGTATATGTGTGTGTGTCTCAGTCCATTTGTGCTGCTATAACAAAATACCACAATATTTTGAGTAATTTATGAAGAACAGAAATTTCTATCTCTTCACAGTTCTGGAGGCCAGGAAGTCCAAGGTCAGGGCACCAGCGGGTCAGCCTCTGGTGAGGATCTGCTCTGCTTCCTTCCTCACATGGTGAAAGGCTTAAGAGCAAGGGGCACTGAACGTTGTGTCCTCACATGGCAGAAGAGCAGAAGAGAGAAAACCCACTGCTTTTAAAAATAAGAGCCCTAACCCCATCCATAAGGCAACTTAATCCCCTCTTAAAGAATCCACTTCTTAATACGACAGATAGTCCCAGACTCACAATAGTTCAACTTGTGATGTTTTGACTTTACAATGGGTTTATCAGGGTATTAAATGATTATTTATACTTTTTGACATGACATTTTTTACTCACAATGGGGTTAATTAAAACCATAGTTGCATGTGTATGTGTGTGTGTGTACACACACATATATTTACATATACATACACATTTTCTCATGTTGCTTATATAATTTAGTCACTGATTTTTAAATGTAAGTTTATTTTATGTGTGTAGTCATTTAACATATATTGGTGGGCTTTTGTTTGTTTTTGTTTTTGAGACAGGGTCTCACTCTGTTACCCAGGCTGAGGTGTAGTGGTGTGATCTTGGCTCACTGCAGCCTCCGCCTCCTGGGCTCAAGTGGTCTACCTGCCTCAGCCTCCTGAGTAGTTAGGACCACAAGTGCATGCAATCATGCCTGGCTAATTTTTTTTTTTTTTTTGAGGGAAAAGTTTTCGCTATGTTACCCAGGCTGGTCTGGAACTCCTGGGCTCAAGTGATTCTCCCATCTTGGCTTTCCAAAGTGCTGAGATTACAGGTGTGAGCTACCATGCCTGGCCTCATTTAATACATATTTTTCTAATTGCCACTATGTTCTTGGTGCTGCTCTAGGCATAGAGTGAAAAAAAGCTTTTGTCCTCAAGAAGTGCACATTCTAAAATAAGGGACAGAAAATAAAATAAAGCCTGAATGATGGCATGTCTCAGGTGACAGTGACACGAAGAGCAAGTCAAGCAGCGGAAGGAAAAAGACATTGGTGGGTGTGCTCTGGTTCAGGCTGGGGATCAAAGTAGTCATCTTGAAGGAAGTGACATTGAATAAAGGTCTGACTCAACTTTTAAGGATGTGGTGTTTAATAAAAAAGGGGAAAATTAGATCAGATAAGATTTGGGATTTATTGATATCTATTACTGAAATTTCAATTTATTTCTTTAAAATGTAAGAGTGGGTTTGATATAGTATGACTATGGAATATTTACTAGCTCTGGCATTTTAGAATATTAGATATTTGTTATCTTAGAATATAGATGTGTATATTTTTATGTACATTCATTGGAATAGAAGGCAAAGAGTGATGCATACGTGTGAATGCTTCCGTGTGGGAAAAATTCCCCTGGCCTCCTGGCGGACTCACTCTCCAAGAACTTCACTTTCTTTCTGCACATTAAATACTAAAACAACACAACTCACTTTGGTGCCCTTAAGTGCTATAGGTATATTCACATTTCACCTAAGGTTTTCCTATCATTTCTAAGATTTTTATTTTGTTTTCCCCAAATTATAGTGTAGGTTTACGTCCTTTATAAGGTTCCCACAATCAGCTGATAAACATCTGAATCAAATTTACTACGAGGTGGTTTCTGACTGCCCTATTTCTAGCTAGTTTATTTTTTACTCAGTCAACAGTTTTCAAGCTCATATTATGTGCCAGGAATTGGGGAATTGAGGCCAGAGATGGAAGATAAAGTCACTCTCCTGACAGAGCTCTGGTTGGGGAAACAATCAGGGGAATGCCAACATGATGGAACAGGTGCTGTGACAGAGGCAAGGGCAGGACACGGACAGCCTGGCCAGGAAAGGCTGCCGCAGACAGCATGGGAGGTCTCCAGAGTCCTCATTTCCAAAGGAGACAGAAGATCAAGGGTCTGTACATAATTTAACCAACAATTCCCTGATTTGTTGTACATGATGATTGCTTCTAATATTTCATCAACATAAAATAAATCAAAGCAATTCCACTTCTGGATATATACCCCAAAGAATGGAAAGCAGGGACTCAGAACAGATATTTGTGTGCTCCTGTTCACAGCAGCAGTATTCACAATAGCCAGAAGGTGGAACGAACCCAACCATCCATGGATGAATGAAATGTGTGAATGATAAACAAAATGTGGACTATACGTACAATGGAATATTAGTCAGACTTAAAAAGGAAGGAAATTCTGACACATGGTATAACATGGATGAACCTTGAGGATGTTATGCTAAGGGAAGTGAACTAGCCCCTCAAAATGCAAATAGCTTATGATTACACTTATATGAGGTACCTGGAGCAGTGGAATTTATAGAAACAGAAAGTAGAATCATGGTTACCAGGGGTGGGGGTTGAGGGAGATAAGAATGGGGAGTTTTTGGCTGGGTGTGGTGGCTCACGCCTGTAATAATAACACTTTGGGAGGCCAAGGTGGGCGGATCATGAGGTCTGGAGTTCAAGACCAGCCTGGCCAAGATGGTGAGACCCCGTCTCTACTAAAAATATAAAAATTTAGTTGGGCGTGGTGGCAGGTACCTGTAATCCCAGCTACTTGGGAGGCTGAGGCAGGGAATTGCTTGAACCCGGGAGGCAGAAGTTGCAGTGAGCAGAGATCGCGTCACTGCACTCCAGCCTGGGCGACAGAGCGAGACTCCATGTCAGAAAGAAAGAAAAAAAAAAGAATGGGGAGTTGTTGTTTAATGGGTACAGTGCTTACGTTAAAGATGATGAAAAACTTCTGGACATGTATAGTGGTGATGGCCACATAATGTGAATACACTTAATGCCACTGAACTGTACACTTACATGTAGTTAAATGGTACATTTTATATGTGTATATTTTATAATAATTTTTAAAAAGGTAAACTAAGATGACTTTCTAATGCATTTAGACAATGAGACAATGTCCTGATGCATAAATCAGATTTCCCAGAATCTGGGTTATTTCTTTGTTCTAGAACCTAGAAGGGATTTTACTGGATCAAAGTTCATGGTATTTTCTGGCCTTTAATAAGTGTCACCAAATTATTTTGTGGAAGCAATTGTGCAGTTTTACTGTTCTCCTAGGTACATCCAGAAGTACTGATCTCATTGTCCATATCCTGATCCTCATCCTTGACTAATGGAAAGAAAATAATTTTAATAATCACAGTGTTAGTGAAGGACTGAGCACTGAGCCTAGGACCCAATTAAATGATAAGAAAAAATGGTGACTTCTTTAATGTTCATTTTTATCATTACTAGTGAGTTTTAACCTCTTTTGCTATCTTTTTTTTTTTTTTAACTAGATGTATTTTCTACTGTGTGGATTCTCTGGTTTCTTGGAGTATTTTATTTTACTTTATTCATTTTTTTTGAGACAGGGTCTCGCTCTGTCACCCAGGCTGTAGTGCAATGGTGTGATCATAGCTCACTGCAGCCTTGAACTCCTGGGCTCAAGTGATCTTCCTGCCTCAGTTTCTAAAGTAGCTGGGATGGCAGGTGTGTGCCACCACACCCAGCTAATTCTTGGAATATTTTAAAATTCATATCTCACTTTCTTTGCAGCTGGTAGAATACATATACAGCAACAGGGTATTTTAAAAGTGAGGAAAATTGAAGCAAAGGGAAAATAATGGTGGGAAAATAAAATGAAGACAGGGTAAGTTATTGCATATGAAATTTTACAGGGGATCTGGCTAGAGGAAGGCAACACATTTGTCTATGAGTCTTCTGGAAGCCAATAGAAAAGAGGAAAACAAGATCCACAGCTTCATGAGCTAAGCTAACATATTCTTAGTAGCAGCACATCAATTCCTGATATAGAATTGGAGACAAATTCTTCCTGTGAGTTCATAGGGTAGACTGTATCAAAAATGGCAGGAGCAATATTTTCCATCTTATGTGATTTTCCAGAACATTGTCACACCCCCACCCAACAAAATGTGGAGTCTATTTTCCCCTCCCCTTGAACCTGTCCTGGTCTTGTAACTCAGGGGTCCCCAGCCCCTGGGCCTTGGCCTGTTAGAAACTAGTCCGTACAGCAGGAGGTGAGAGGTGGGTGAGCGAGCATTACCACCTGAGCTCAGCCTCCTGGCAGATCAGCGTTGGCATTAGATTCTCATAGGAGCGGGAAACCTATTGTGAACTGCACATATGAGGGATCTAGGATGCGTGCTTCATCCTGAAACCAACCCCCTCCAGAATTACCCTCCGCCCCTCGCCCCATGGAAAAATTGTCTTCCATGAAACCAGTCCCTGGTGCCACAGAGGTTGTTGGACACCGCTGTTGAAACTGACTGTCTTGATTAATAGAATATGGCAGAAGTAAGGCTGCGTGATGTTTGAGACTAGATCACTAATGGCAATACAGCTTCCCCCATGCTCTTTCTTGGGACACATGCCTTGGAAGCCCTGAGCTGACATGTAAAAAGTCTGGCCACCTTGACGCTGCCATACTGGAGAGGCCACGTGGTGGAGATAAAGAAGAGTATCCGACCCCACGAAGCTGAGGGGAGCGGAAATGACTTGTTCTTGTGGAGCACCACCCACATTGCACATTTATGGGCAAAAATAAATTCTATTTGTTGCTTTAAGTTCCTGTTTTTTAGAGTGATTTGTTAGGTAGCGATAAATGCCTGGAAATGTTGATTTAAAGAGAACTTAAAAACTGCAGCAAACACTCCTCTATCACATCCATGTGCCCACCACTTGGGGTTCAAGGGCTGTTTCATCCAGGGCTCTCAGGATAGGCTAAAGCCAGAAGCCACAGTGCCTATCAGTGAAGCAACTAGACAGGGCTCTTCAACAAAGTACTGTGAATGTCACTGAACTTTCCTGTACTTTTTCAGGAACACACGTGTCACTCTTAGCAGTACCTGTGGAGTGTGTTCAGCTCATAAATTATCCTTAAGGCAGACACATTTGCAGAGTTTCTTCTTAAAGGTCATTTAACTTTCACAGAGAACACTTTAGACAAAATTTAAATAGTTTCTGAGTACAGGTTTACATTTATTTAATGTCAAGCTATAGGATGTCCTAGGCTTTTTAAAAATTATTATTCTAATAAAAGATTTCAGGTAAACCAGAAATAAATTCCAGATATCTGCTAAGGACTCAAACTATATGTGCATTATTCAAATCTATTATTAGAAGAGTGGAGGAGTGTTTGGGAAGTCAGATTTGTTCTCTTCCCCCTAATTAATGCCACTGTTAAGTTCCCATAATTGGTAAGCTCTCCACGGATGGGACTCAAATGAGAGCAAGAAAATCTGGGCCAACCCAGGAAAATTGTGATTAACTGAAGCTTGTCATGGGTCCCTCTCCTCCACATTTTTATTTACTGCTATTCAACAACTTCCACTGGGTGACAGAACAGAAGGAACAGAAGCCATGCCTTCCCGCCTCTGTGGCAGCTGGCAGAGAGCAAGAACATAGTAGGTTATTATCATAGTGAAGGATGTAAGCAGACTCTGGATCCAGAGAGCCTGGGTCAAATGCTGCTCATGCACTCATGAGCTGAATGATCGCCAGCAAAATATTTAGCTTCTCTGTGCCCCAGTTTCCTCATCTACAAAATAGGGATAATAGGAGTAACTAGCTCACAGGGCAGTGAGGGTTAAAAGGTTTAAAAGTCCTTAGAACAACGTGTGGCATGGGATATGTGCTATGTAAGTGTTAGCTGCTGTTACTACTATTACTATATATATCATTAATGAACTCTCAGTGAAGTTTGTTGAACGAATACATGAGTGAATAAATGCCACTCTGCTGTGCCCTAGATTTTTCCTTTTGTGCATGTTCCTATGATTTTTCTACTTCTCAGCTCCATTTACCTTGGTTTTTGAAGACTCCATCCTCTCCAGGGCTACTGAACTCTTTCATAGCACCAGGCTAAAGATTTATACATATAAATATTTCGTTTGTTCACTATTTGGCTTTCTAGAGCTCCAGGGCTTAAGTCTTCCTGTCCCTTCTGACCTTGGTTCTTTAAATGAAACTAGTTCATTCACAGTAAGAGTACAGTGTATTTAGGAGCACAACGCACACACCTTTTTCTGCTGCTTATTCAGACTCTCCTCTGGCTTACGTGCTGTTCCTTTTTCTGACCATGTATCTCTGATAATTTGCCGCCATGAGTGGGTCATTGGTACACATTTCTCCAGTTTACAGGCTTTGCTCTGCTCTGTGCAACTTTCAGCTTGTATTCCTTGGGACTTTTCTGCTCATCTCTACCTGCAGGATGTAGATGCTGTGACTGCCTGCCCCACCCTTGGTGGCCCATGCCAGCCAGTATGCTCTGACAAATTCACCACAAAGAGACCTCAGGGCCACCCTCCCAACTTCCAAGGCCCATCAGGTCTGAAGCCCCACCCCACCGCATCTTGAGAGCATTTATCTGAAGCCTTCATCAGTTCGTAGATACAAATGGGAAAACATAGTTGTGTGGTCTTTCTATTATGACTTCTATTAACACTTCATTGTGTTTATTTAGCTGTACATCTGTTTTGCTTCTTATATTGAAAGCATTTTGAATGGAAAGAATTGTGTGTCATTGTGTTGTATGTCATGGAAGCTGGGCTGTCTGTCCCAGACTTATGTTCTAGGTTCTTGACATAACTTCTTGTGTCTGTGGACTCAGGATCCATTAATGGAAATAAGAGGAGAATGGAGTTTTACCTCTGTGGTTGAGTTTTTGTCAAGTCTTGACCAGGTTTATATCAATCAATCAGCTCAGCACTTACTTGGGAGTTTCTTTGCTCTTAGGTTTCTGGTATATACTAGGCAATGCATTTGCCTAGGTGTCCTTGATTCGTGCTTTAATTCTTTGGATAATTCATTTCAGTTATTTGAGTCTTGGCTTTTTAATTTGTAAGAGTGGGGCAATAATACCTTTGAGAATTGTCTGAGGATTTAATGCAATAATTCTGATCAGATGCACAGTCTACAGGAGGACTTTGTGTAAATCAGAAAAAGATGCCCCTACTTCTAGGCAGACACAGCCCTGTGCTGGGACATGCCTCTTGTGAGTGGAGTGCAGGCTGGATTTTCCCACTCATCCTCTTGGCCGGAGGGATGCCCTCACACACACCACACATTGTACGACTGTACACAGAGACTCCATGACATTTTTCTTCCATTTATAAATTGTATTAAAATATACATAACATAGAATTTACCATCTTAACCATTTTTGAGTGTATAGTTTAGTGGTATTAAGTACACTGATAGTATTGTGCGACCATCACCACCATCCATCTCCATAACTCAGTTTCCTTGTACAACGAAAACTCTATCTGCTAAACAAGAAAACTCTCCCATTCTGCCTCTTCCCCAACCCCTAGCAACCACCATTCCACCGTCTGTCTGGAGACCCCGTGACTTTTAAAGTTTAGTTTGTAATAATAAAATGTTATATATGTATTAGAAATTCTTATTAATACATTTTTCTATCTTTCTGTTATCTATCTGTCTGTCTGTCTGTCTGTCTATCTATCTATCTATCTATCTATCTATCTATCTATCTATCTATCTACCTATCTATCTCCCCTTTAGTCATTTATCATCTCCTCCCATTTAGTCATTCCACCTCTTTACACAGAAAATTTGAGGTGGCATTGACTAGATTATGGAATCACAGCTGACATTTGCACAGTGCTCTTCCATTGATCTAAATTACTAAATTTAATCCTCATAATGGTCGAATGAGGTGGATATTCTCTTTCTAATTTTGCAGATGAGCTGACTGACTCTCGGACACACACTATTAAGTGGTGGAATCAGGATGAAAACCCAGATTTTCTGATTTAAACCCATGTTCTTTTACTAATATCATGCCATCCTATCAGCTTGTCACTATGATTAAATACAGTGTGATAGGATCATTTTTTATTTTATGTATTATATTTCAAAAATTGGAACCACTCTTCAGTGACAAACTAAACAAAATTAACATGTATTATTACAAGCACAATGGAGACACGCAGAGTTGGTCTTCTATTGGTTGGTGTACTGGTTTTAACTGTTTAAATTTTTAGTTTAATTTATATGTGAGAGAAGCAGCACATTCAACCAAAAGAGTGTGCATTCCATAGAAATGAGCTATGTTCAAAAGGGATGCAAATAGCCAGAGGAAGGAGAGATGAGGACAACATTAATGCTTGCAGCTTAAGTAATTATTCACGATCATTTATTGTGCCTACTCTATATTGCTTCATCAATATATCATGTATGATCTCACACAAAGGGGAATTCCACAGGCAGTGTTTTTGCTAAACAGGATTGAATTTTAGATGAATCTCATACATCCGTTTCATATCACCTTTTGTTACAGGATTTCAAAATGTTTGGGAAACACTGAGGAAATGAAATGATATCTAGCTCTTATCAAAAGAGCAGGAGTCTTGCACTGATGGTTATGAGAAATGTGAGTGAAGAGATATTTTGAAATTGCATGTATGCCACTCAGAACCATGACCCTGGGCTTTGGAAATCACCCATCATTAGATATTTTCCTAGAAAAGATATTTCCATGATTCCTTTAACTGTTATTGCTTATGTACTTCCAATGTAATTTTTATTGTTCAGTGTAAGCATTACACTTTTTATTTCAGTGGTATCAGACTTAGGAAAACTTTATGAAGTAGACTGGATGTATTTTCATAATTCCAGGCCTTGAGGCATTTCTCCAAAGGTATAAGGTCATGATGCCACTTCTGACTTGAAAAAGTGTCAAAGTCATGTGACCTTTAAAACAAAGGGAATCCGGGCTTCTTGGGACTTACGTTGAACTATAAGAAAGTAGGGAACAGGACAAACACCCACACTGTAGTCTAAATTTGTCAGCTGTGTCTTAGGAGACATAATTTGATTTATGGCATCATTGAGTCCAGATTACAGAGAGCAAGAGAGCCCATATGGTGCTTGGCATTTTGGCAAGGAATATGATTTATACAGGAACTTACTGGTTTTAAACTCAGAGTCATGGAATTATTTTAAGAATTTGAGGGAGCTTTAGGTTTAGCTCAACATAGTTCAGTCCAACATCTTTGTTTCCTGTGAAGAAATTGACCCCAGGGTGGAGTTAGATGACTTGTCCTGTGCTAACACCAAAACCAAGGCCTTCTGGATGCCATGTCCTTCCTCACCACACCATTCTACCACTTCCTCCTTTTTTCTGTAAGATGAGGACAAGCAGATTTATTTTTTAAAATGGTAGATTTAGGCTGGGCCCAGTGACTCATGCCTGTAGTCCTGGAACTTTGGGAGGCTAAGTTGGGAGGATCACTTGAGGCTGAGAGTTCAAGACCAGCCTGGGCAACACTGAGAGACCCTGTCTCTACAAAAAATTAAAAAACATTAACTGGGCACGGTAGCGGATGCCTGTCATTTTAGCAACTTAGGAAGCTGAGGCGAGAGGATTGCTTGAACCCAGGAGTTCAAGGCTGCAGTGAGCTATGATTGTGCCACTGCACTCCAGCCTGGGCACCAGAGCGAGACCCTATCTCTAAAAATAAAAACAAAAATAAAAGGTAGATTTATTTGAAACTTTTTCTGTATGTCACACACTGTGCTTTCTTCATTATTTAATCTTCTTGAAACCCTGTGGGCCTAAGTATTATATAATTGTTACCCCATCTTACAGATGAAGAGCTGGGGTTTACAGAGATGATTAAGGACCTTGATCCAAATCACAGGAGCCAAGAGCCAAGACCTGTAAGAGTCATGATTCTAACCCACTCTTCTCTCAGAGACCATACTCTCAACTACCACCTGAAACTAACCCCCTCTGCTGTAGGCTTTTTGCTTTGGGTCACTTTGTGGAGTCTCTGTTGAGCATTAGCCCAAGTGATGGAGCCCAGAAGGAGAGATATCACTTCACTTTCTAACTTATCATTGTCTCCTTTCTCATTTTAAAATACTCTTTTTTAAATTCTGCTTTCTGAAACAGCCTTTCCTTTTACATTCTTGAAATCTAAGACAGCCCACATGCTGACTGAAGCGTTCCACCTCCATATCCCATTTCTACTCAGGGCTTTATCTGCAGTTTTCCTTCTTTTATTTATACTTTTGATTGTAAAGGTCCTTAGGGCAGAGACTTTAGTTTGTTGGGTGTAGTCTTATTTATTGTATAAGGCTGTGCCTACTTTTGACACACATATAAATATGAAAATAACAATATTACTCATTTTGACAGAACGAGATTTATTTGTAGTCATTCTTTACAAAGAGCAGGTAGTTAGTTCGATTGTTATTGTGAGAGGGGCTATAAGTGGGTCCCTCAGCTTTTTTTTTTTTTTTTTTTCAAATTTATGCACATTCTTTTTATTGAGGGTGAAGGAAGTATATTTTCCCTCTGATTTTATTGGAGTTTGGCAGCATGGAGAATACTTGTTGCATTAAGAGCATTTCCCTATTAAGTTGAATGGTTTGCTGCCTTTGGCTCCGTATTTAAGAAAATACACTGTTAGTGAAGAGCAGAACAATGAGGTATTTTGTACCGGAAAGCATTTCTACAAAGTGCTAGAGCTTGATTTATAGTGTGAATATTGTTTGGGGGATGATAAATATTCACTGTGGATTTGATTTTAGTCCCAGCAATCCAAACCACACAATTTCTTTGCATACAGGGTCACTCGGTAAGTGACATTTGTATAAGCCCATGGCTGGGATACTGGTTTGCTTCTAAGCATGGTTCTGGCATGTCCAACATAGCTAAAAAAAACAGGGACTGGACAAATTGTATTTTCTCGGGGGCTCAGTAGCTTCCCAGTAAGGAACACAAGTGGTATCCCCTGCTGCTCTGCAGACATGTCTGGGCATCTCTGACCTGGTGGGGTTGCCCACTGAAGTCTATTTGCAGAGGCACCGAGGAGGATTCTGGGAGAGCACCCATCGTAAGTGAGGGGAGAGCCAGGCATGAAGAGATTGACTTGGGAAGAGGTGAAGATGCTCTGAGTGCAGTGTGCTGCATGCAACTTGGATTTATCTCCTTGACAAAGCCTTTCTGCGTTCATGGCTGTAAGAGCGAGGCAGATTTGTTTAATCACTACCAAAAAGTAGGACACAAACCATGCTTCTTAGGGGCCTCTAAGGGAATGTCCACAGAGGGGAGCTGTCCATTCCCCTTCCGTCCTCACAGTAGACCACTGCCCAGCTTGGTTCTAATAAGCTGCTTGATTCTGTCATTCCAGAGGATTCAGGTAATTGACATCACATCTGTCTTTCCTGCTAGGCAGAGAGCTCTGCAAGAGCCATGACAGTTTCTGTCTTGCTCCCTACAGCAGCACCAGAAATTAGCATAGTGCTTGCCTCACAGAGGAGCTCAATCATTGTGTTGTTCGATGGATGAGGGCTGGCTGGAGAATGAAATAATGCTCAAAGGTGCATTAGGCTAAGGTGAACTGCTGTGCCTAACTAGCCCTTCCTAGTCAGAAAGGAGAAGGTGAACTGATATGTATTTGTGTGAGCAAGCGTGTGTGTGTGTGTGTGCGTGTGTGTGTATTTCACATTTGGATTTAGTCTTCTTAGTTTCTGTCATGTAACTTCAAGCTTACGGCAGCCTCTGGGTATACAACAACAGCAGGGCCTTCCGCTGACTGGTGAAGTCAGTGCCATGTCATAGGCTCTGATGACTGCCATTGCTTATGCACTTACCATTTGCTGCTCCTCCACATCCCAAGTTTCAGGCCTGTCTCCAATTGTCAGTTCTGCCCATCTTCTAGCCTAGGGATCAGAAGATACCCTTTTACCAGCCGTTCCCATGTTCCCACGTGTCATTTTGGTGCCGCTTGCTAAGTCCTGGCCTGCCCTTGTTTATTTTCTTTTTACTCTGCTCCTTTTTATCCACGGAGTGCATGTCTCAGTGCTCCTTAAAACTGTAGCCAAGTCTAGTTTTAACACCTTTAGTAAGAACCAGTCACAGTTATAGATTAATCCTGTGACACATGCCAGTGAGACTGGCCACGCACACAAGGAAGGATCATATTCACAATGAAGCCATTAAGTCTCATTTCCATCAGACACTTGAAAACCCAGAGGGATCAGAAGTTCTAGGTGATTTTTATGGGAGAAGGTAATTGTTATGGCATTGGGGACATTGTTCTGGAGATTGGCAGACAGTTGAAACCCTGAACACTTGAGATGGCTTTTATGGATGTTGCTAGAACAGTGAGGTCAGGGTTTGCTTGAAGAAGCACTCCGTGGCTTGCTGTTTTCCCAGACCCTCCTTTGCCCTGCCCTGATTCTGGGCCTTTGTACATTCATGTCCCCTTTTCCATCTGGCAAACTCCTATTCATCCTTTAAGACTCAGTTCCTTAGTGAAGCTTTCACAAGTTCCCAGGCAGGATTAGGGGGCCTCCACCCCACTTGTGCTTCTCTAGCACCCTTCAGTACACATCTGTATTGTGATATTTACCAAGATATAGAACAGAGGTGGCAGATCACTCTGAAAAGGGCCAGATAGTAAACATTTTAGGTTTTGGTGACCATATGGTCTCTGTTGCAGCTATTCGACTTCGCTGTTACAGGGTATAAGCAGTCACAGACAATATGTAAATGAATGAGCATGGCTGTGCTCCAGTAAAATGTAATTATGGACACTGAAATCTGGATTTCATATACTCTTCATGTATCGTGAAATATTCTCTTTTATTTAATTTTTCCCAAACATTTAAAAGTGGAAAAACTATTTTTAGCTCGTGGGCCATACAAAAGTAGGCATGGATTTGGCGTGTGGGTTAAGTTTGCCTACCCCAATATAGAGCATGTATTTGACTACATGCATTTGTCTGCCTCTTCCATTTGACAACAAGCAAGTTGAGCTCAGGGAGTAGAATTCCCAGGGCATAACATAGTTCCTAGCACCCAGTAAGAACTCAAGAAATACTTGTTAAATGAATGCTTGTGTGGGAGTATCTGAGCAATTATTATGATGTCAGGCATTGTGATGAACGTGTTATATGCATTTTCCCATTTAATTCTCATTTAATTTTGTTATCCAGGGACACTAAAACAACAATTTTCATTAGATACTGTGCTAAACATTGTCTATGTAGTCTCATTTCATCCTCTCAACAACCCCATGGTGAGTAGGTACTGCTAACATCCACTTTTACAGCCCAGGGAAATTAAGCTTAGAGAGATTACTTGTCAAAGGTTACCCCACAAGGGAGTGGGGTGGGGTCAGGAAGGAGCCCAAGTCACTAGACTCAAGGGCCCTAACTCTTACCTCCCATCCTGTGGGGACATGTTCATGAGTATGAGGCAGGTCCTGGGACTATGGTGATGCCGAAACAGGCACTGGAGATTTCCTTTTCTCTTTTCAGCCATTTGGATATGTTTAAGAATGACCACAACTGTTTTTAACTATCTGTGTAACGTTTGGAATGTTGCTTAACCTTCTGGGTCTAAGTCTTCTATTACTATAGCAAAGAGTTTGAATGACATGCTCTCAAAGGTCTCCTCTTGTGATAAGTTTCTATAATTTTGTTCTCTACTGTTTTCAACTTATATATCGCTATTGCCTGTCTCTATTCTTCTGCCGATCCTTGACTTCAGAAACTTCAGGCCTCATGGGGTTGCTTGAACTTGGAAGGGAGGAAAGGAGAAGGGAACCATAGAAAAGAAAAGTCCATCTAGCCACAAATGCATTTTTAAGTCCCTCAAATGGCTGATTTAAGTATATTTGCTTTTTGGCTTTTCTTTTGGATGCAAATTTAGGTTTTCCAAGAAAAACAAGTAACACTATTGTCTATAACAAAATGACAATAGCGATAGCATCTTCTATTTCCATAGCACCATTTAAAAGTACCTTTGAAGGTATTATCTAATTCATCCTTCCCATATTCCTTTGAGACAGGTAAGAAGCTTTTTTATTAGGACATCCTTTTATATAGCTGCAGAATGAGCCTCTCTTTGTTGTAAACCAAAGACACCAAGTGGCCCAGAGAGATTTCAACAGCAGGCCACTGGGTGAGCAGTCATTTCCCAGACTGATGGTCACGATTCTTCAAAAAAAAAAAAAAAAGCCACGCTTCTGCCAGGGCTTTTATAAACTTAAAGATATATTTTCTACTTCATATAAATGTGGCCTTTGATGTTTAAAGATCCAACATTCTTATTTGGCTGGTGTATATTAGTTAGTTTTATTGGATGGGGTGGAAAGAGTCAACTCATTCCAAATAAATATTTGCTGAAAGAGTGAAGGAATGATTGAGACAATCCTCAGAACATCAGGAATAGTATCTATGAGGAATTTCCATGCAATGTGGCCATGTCACCAGGCCCAGGTGAACTGTACAAACAGGACCTTTGGTTTGTTTTAGATTTGTCTGTGCTTAAGCAACATCTCTTTGTCTCTCTATAGATATTAAACTGTCACCAGAGGGATAGACCCATGAAAGCAAAATAAAACATTTTTTTTCCAGAGTTTCCTATAAATGAACATGTCAGATGATCTACAACTTTTAGTTTTTTTAATAAAATAACACCTCTAAGATGTCTTTGTAGTGGAAGCATTAGCTTTTAGCTTTTTTAGCCAGTTACTATCACAAATATACCCTGACTGCCATAAAAAGGCATTAGTAACATGATGACAAAAACAGAATTTGTTTAGGGGTCCATCCAACTTCCCTGTTGGTATCCAGGTCCCCAGATCCTTCATACTGCCCTCAACAGCTCCAAACCCTAACAAGAATGTTTCACCTATGTCAACTGCTGTACTCTTAATGTGTCTCCCCAAATTCATGTGTTGGAAGTTTAATCCTCAATGCAACAGCATTGGAAGGTAAGACCTAACGGTAGGTATTTAGGTCACGAGGGCTGAGTCCTCATAAATGGATAAATGCCGCTATAAAAAGGGCGTGTAAGAGTGGTTTCTGTTTCTTGCTCTTCCATCTTCCACCATGTAAGAATACAGCAGGAAGGCCAACACCAGATACCAGTGCCATAATCTTAGATTTCCCAGTCTCCAAAACTTTGAGAAATAAATTTTGTTCTTTGTAAAGTACCAGTCTCAGGTGTTTTGTTATAGCAGCACACAGGAACTAAGACTGAAGTTTCTCAAATGTCAGAACATCTCTACTTCTCTCTATTCTGTCTCCCATTGCGTTCACTCTTTCTTCATTAGAGCATCCAGCCTTCTCTAAGTAGGAAATCAAGTTGATAAGCTAATTCACATTACAGTATAAATCAGTGTTAGGCTTTCAGATTTTATGAATAAGGAAAATTTTGAAAATTTTGGATGATCTTTTTTTTTTTTTTTTTTTGAGACGGAGTCTTGCTCTTCCGCCCAGGCTGGAGTGCAGTGGTGCTATCTCGGCTCACTGCAAGCTCCACCTCCCGGGTTCACGCCATTCTCCTGCCTCAGCCTCCGAGTAGCTGGGACTACGGGCGCCCGCCACCACGCCCGGCTAAATTTTGTGTTTTTAGTAGAGGCGGGGTTTCACCGTGTTAGCCAGGATGGTCTGGATCTCCTGACCTCGTGATCCGCCCGACTCGGCCTCCCAAAGTGCTGGGATTACAGGCGTGAGCCACCGCGCCCGGCCTGGATGATCATTTTTTAATTCATCTTCTATAACCATAATTTTATAAAATAAAGGACAGCTTAATACCTAAAAATCAGGATAAATACAATCTTATAATAAAAGATAGTTTAGTCTACTAGGAGACAGTTGGCAAATTTACAATGACATATTTAAAAAAAGGATACATTTTTAGAAGATCGAATTCAATAAAATGACAACATTCAGTTTTATTTTACAATTTCACATGCAAAATTGTCAACTGAACAATCCACATCAAAAGGTCAAGAGTGTCTAACGTGATCTGAAAACTTTTTTTTAGCATAGTCGTTGTCAAATATCAAATTTCACATGGGGTAACTTGACAAAAATATAAGCTATCTATTTTAACTTGTTCACTCAACCTGAAATGTTCTAGGTGAACTCAGAAGCCTACTCAAGTTATCCATTGCTTTTCCACAATTACTCTTTGGGGGGACTGGTGAGAAACCTAAGAAATTAAGCTGTGAGCAGGGTGTCTGGTTAGCAAATAAGCTGAAAACAGACTACAGAGCAAGCGCAATGCAGCATCTGCAGACACATAAGTCTGTGCAACCTGAGTGCCCTATTCACCTAAGCTGCGGTCATTAGAAAAGTACCTAAGAAGAAGGCTTCATGTTGGTAACAATTTCTGCATGCATTGGTCACAAGCCAATCAGCCTTTGAGAACTGTTTGTGTGAATGGCATCTCTAATCTTCAAAGGGTAATTTGCATTTGAAGAGCTTATTGACCAAGTAAGTGTTCAATGCCTTCATTTTAGTGTGCTAAATAATTTTTTGGGGGGAATCTGATGATAGCCCTAGTAACTCTCCCTAGGAAAATGTCCCAAGCCCATACAAAAATTGTATGAGCTTTATGAATTTACAAAACCTTTCTCTAATGAATGAAAAAAGTGAAGCTTTTCAGAATTATGGGAGAACTATTAGGGGCAAGGAAACTTCCCTGCAATTTAAAATCATATCTATGTTGGGTACAAGTAGCCCTGTTTTCACTGGCTCAGGGTCTTATATCTTACAAATTGTGCACCTTTCTTCCAATGCTACTAGACATGGGTATACTTATAATCAGATACAAACAGAAATATATCTTTTTTATTCTTTAAATAAATTAAACAATTGCTGAGTTATAGCAAAATAGTGTCAGTTTATGCCTTTCACAGAAAAATAGAGAGAAATTATTGTCTTTTGGTCTTTGAAACCATCTTGGAGTTCAACCACTCAAACTAAGGCATCCTACCTAGATGGTCATGAAGAATTCATGCTCCAATATAATGCAGTGATGCTGCTGGCATTATAGTTGCTCATCTGCTAAACTCTTCTGTCTTATAACTGTGATGTTAGGAAAGTACAGTTGGAAGTCATAGCCACAGCAATCAGGCAAGAGAAAGAAATAAAAGGTATCTGAATAGGAAAAGAAGTCAAACAATCTCTCTTTGCTGACAATATGATTCTATATTTAGAGAACCCCAGAGACACCACCAAAAGGCTACTAGAACTGATAAATGATTTTAGGAAATTTTAGGATACAAAATTGATGTACAAAAGTCAGCAGCATTTCTACACACCAATAATGTCCAGGCTTAGAGTCAAATCAAGAACATTATCCCATTTGTAATAGCCACAAAGAAAATAAAATACCTAGGAATACAGCTAACTAAGAAGGTAAAAGATCTCTGTAAGGAGAACTACAAAACACTGCTGAAAGAAATCAGAGATGACACAAATAAATGGAAAAACATTCCATGCTCAAAAACTGGAAAAATCAATTTCATTAAAATGGTAATACTGCCCAAAGAAATTTATAGATTCAATGCTATTCCTGTCAAACTACCAACATCATTCTTCATAAAATTATAAAAACCTATCCTAAAATTCATATGGAACCAAAAAAGAGCTCAAATAGCCAAAGCCATCCCAAGCAAAAGGAACAAAGTCAGAGGCATCATACTATCCAACTTCAAACTATACTATAAAGCTACAGTAACCAAAACAGCATGGTATTAGTACAAATACAGACATACACATAGAGCAATGGAATAGAATAGAAAACTCAGAAATAAAGCCATACACTTACAACCATCTTACTTTTGACAAGGCTGACAAAAACAAGCAATGGGAAAAGGACTCCCTATTTAATAAATGGTGCTGGGATAACTGGTTAACCATATGCAGAAGAACGAAACTGGATCCTTACTTTTGACCATGTACAAAAGTTAACTCAAGATAGATTAAAGATTTAAATGTAAGACCTCAAACTAGAAAAGTCCTAGAAGAAAACATAGGAAATACCCTTCTCAACACTGGGCTTGGCTTATACACTGCTGGTGGGAATGTAAATTAGTTTGGCCCCTGTGGAAATCAGTTTGGAGGTTTGTCAAAGAACCTAAAACAGAGCTACAATTTGACCCAGCAATCCCATTACTGGGTATATACCCAAAGGAAAATAAATCATTATACCAAAAAGACACATGCACTTGTGTTCATTGCTACACTATTCACAATAGCAAATACATGGAATCAACCTAGGTGCCCATCAGTGGTGGATTGGATAAAGAAACTGTGGTACATATACACCATAGAATACTATACAACCATAAAAAGAATGAAATAGTGTTCATTCTTTTGCAGCAACATGGATGGAACTGGAGGCCATAATCCTAAGCTAACTAACACAGGAACAGAAAACCAAATACCACATGTTCTCACTTACAGGTTGGAGCTAAACATTGAGCACACATAGACATAAACATGGGAACAATAGACACTACAGGCTACTGGGGTGGAGGAGGAAGGAAGGGGGATGTTGGTTGAAAAACTACCCATTGGGTATTATGCTCACTACCTGGGTGCTCTGTACCCAGGTAACAACCCTGTACATGTAACACTTGTGTATTAGTCTGTCCTCACACTGCTATAAAGAACTACCTGAGACTGGGTAATTTATGAAGAAAAGAGGTTTAATTAACTCACAGTTCCACAGGCTATACAGGAAGCATGTCTGGGAGGCCTCAGGAAACTTACAATCATGGCGGAAGGCAAAGGGGAAGCAGGCACATCTTACCATGGAGGAGCAGGAGAGAGAGGGAGCGAAGAGGGAAGTGCTACACACTTAAACAACCAGATCTTGGCTGGGCGCGGTGGCTCACACCTGTAATCCTAGCACTTTGGGAGGGTGTGACAGGTGGATGGCTTGAGCTCAGGAGTTTGAGACCAGCCTGGGCAACATAGAGAGACCCCGTCTCCCAAACCAAACCAAACCAGACCAGACCAAACCAGACCAAACCAAACCAAACCAAACCAAACCAACACACCAGATCTCGTGAGAACTCACCAACTATCATGAGAACATGATCTAATCGTCTCCCACTGGGTCCCTCCCATGACACTGGGGATTACAATTTAACATCAGATTTGTGTGGGGACACAGAGCCAAACCATATCACCCTGTATGTAAAATAAAAGTTGATTTTTTTTTTTTTTTTTGAGACGGAGTCTCACTCTGTCACCCAGGCTGGAGTGCAGTGGTGTGATCTCGGCTCACTGCAAGCTCTGCCTTCCAGGTTCATGCCATTCTCCTGCCTCAGCCTCCCTAGTAGCTGGGACTACAGGCGCCCGCCACCATGCCCGGCTAATTTTTTGTGTTTTTTAGTAGAGACGGGGTTTCACTGTGTTAGCCAGGATGGTCTCGATCTCCTGACCTCGTGATCCGCCCGCCTCGGTCTCCCAAAGTGCTGGGATTACAGGCGTGAGCCACCGTGCCCAGCCTGATTTTTTTTTTTTTTTTAAAAAGAAGACAGTACAGGCATAGTTAATACTTTCATATACCCTTGACCTCAAATTCTCCATGAGGAACAAAATATGTGCTTCTTAAGTCCTAGAGTTTTGTCTCTGATATTTCTATTGGTGAAAGAGAATGTTAACAATTAGAGAAAGACTGCATTGCTCAATATGCTGCATTCATTATTCATGATGCAGAAGCATGATTCGCTTTCCCCTGCTGTGCTAATGTAGACCATACATAAGGTGGAGTGGTTATATATAGGCCCTTCTTTTTTATACCAATCTGTTCAATATTATCAGACAGGACTTCTTTTGGACACACACATACACACACATCCCAGACCCATAAATATTTTTTTTGCTTTGAATGTTTCTATTGTAACCATGTAAAAAGACATAGCATGATACTTTTACACTTTTTTCCCCCCTCACTAATATGATAATTCTAGATTTTTTTTGAATTTCTTGAAAGCATCTGGACTGAAATGACAACCCATCACCTAACAAACCAGTATAAATTTGGATTGGCCTTCTAATTATTCTTCTGCTGGTGGCCTTCCCTCACTGCTGCATCTCTTTACCTTCCTTTACCCCACTCCCTGGTCTACAGGAGTGTCTGCTACAAACAAGAGAAACTTTGGACCCAGAAAACAAATAGTGTTTACCTTTCTTATAAATAGAGATTGAATTCTATTTTGGCTTTGCTAAACATTTTTGGGCACTATAAGCATAAAAGTTTTGCTTCAGAGGTAGACTCCTAATACAACTCCACCTCTTCAGGCCTGAATGAAGAAATACTGAATCAGACTGACTTCAGCTTCCTAAGATGGCAACATACTTATCTCTATCTAAAGACAGTGATGCTCTTTAGGCCTAAATGTAACTAGTTGAAGGTAGTTCTTTGAGAACTTGATATAACTTAATTCAAGGTACTGACTTGATCCTTCAGAAAACTAGTATTTGGAAATCATTGTCAAACTACTGACTTGAAAGCTGGTATACCTATATTTTAGTTTCTGTTAGAAACTTATTCATCGTGTAATCTTTATTTAAAGAAGGTTCTTCATCTACGAGGAAAGCAACTAGAGTGACAATGTTCTTCTGTCAGAGACTGGCTAGATATTTATCAGTCCTACTTCCTTTCCCTGACATAGAAAGTCCTCATTTCCCAGCCTTGTTTTCAGTTAGGTTGGGGTCATTTGAATGGTTTGTGGTCAATGAGCTATGATGGGAAGTGATGAATGCCATTTTTGCTTCTGGACATAAAACCCCTTTACAATTATCCACATACCTACCTTCTTCTTCAGAGGTAAGTTGTAGATGACAGTTTGTACTGTTTGAATGAGAGTCATTTAGGAAATCTGCTCTATACTGACCATGACAAGAGTGAAAAACAAACATTTATCACTAGAAGCCATTGAGCTTTTGGGTTTGTTAGTTACAGCAGCTAGAGTTACTTATTAAAATTATATATTCACATTAGATTTGAGACTATATTATTAGCTTATGAGTGAGCAGTGTAAAACGGTTCTTTAAAATCTACAATCCACACCATTTTTTGTTTTGAAAAATGTCAAAACATATAGAAAAGTTGAAAGAATTGAGTAATGAGCATCCACATATCCTACATCTAGATTAACTTGTTGTTAATATCTTGTCACCATGTGTATATCTTATTTTCCTATCCATTTTTCTTTCTCCTGAACATTGGGATAATAAATCATGGACATTGACAGTCTTAAAGTTTTGATCCAGATTTTATGGTTGAGATGATTTTGGGAGAATGGCAAGAACTTTTTTCCCTCTCAAGTCAATTTTTTAAACTCTGGTGCTAATTTTGAAAATGTGTTTCTAAACATAGGCTTTGTTTAATTTCCATTATTACATATCCTTAAAGTTTACAGAACTGATCATATAACTAAAGATATTTGAAGAAAATGTCACATTTCTTTTTTACTTTTATAAATAAACCCTTACTGAATGAATACTACGTAAGGTGTTTGTGAGAGGCTACTTCTGACATGAGCACTCAGTGATCTGGACTCCTGGTATTCATGCCCTTGTGTAATAATAGCCTCCCCTTGAGTGCAGGCTTGACATGGTGACTCACTTCTAACAAATAGAATATGGCAAAAGTGTTGGGGTGTCACTAACAGGACAAAAGGCTGCAACTTCAACTGGCACTCTTTCTCTTGCTGTCATTTCATTTCCTTCTCACTTGCTTGCTCTGATGAAAATAGCTACCCTATTGTGAGCTTCCCTGTGGAGAGGCTTATGTGGGAAGGAACTGAGGGAGATAATAGTTTGTGTGGAGCTCGATCTGGTTGACAACTCTGAGAGGGAGCCTGGAAGCAGGTCCACTCCCAGCTGAGCCTTCAGATGAGAATACAGCCTCTGCCAACACCTTGGTTACACCCTTGAGAGATCCAGAGCTGGAAGACCTAGACCTGGTTAAACTATGCCTATATTCCTGACTCACAGAAGCTGTGAAATAATAAATGATGTTTTAAGCCACTAAAGTTTTGGGATAATTTGCTTTGTAGCAATGGATAACTAATACAGTTCTCATTTAAATAATCAGGGTAGAATGATGGCTAAAGAGTGATTGCTGTCTTTAAGGAGCACATGGTTTTGTGGTGATTGATAAAGTAGCTATATGAACAAAGTCTTTGGGGATGGGAGTGTGCTGTTCATTCTGCTAGGTGTTGTTCAAGGAAATCATATTGAATAACTAGTACTGCATCTGATTAGGGTTTTACTACATTATGGAGTGGGAAGGGGACGCTTTGAGAGTAGAGAACAGTATATGGGGATAGGTAAGAGTCTGGTATGTTTGGGAAACATCAAGTGGTCTAGTAAGGCCATGTCACAGGTGACTGAGGAGGGATTTGTAAGGGTGTAGGTGGGACATGAGGTTACAGAGATTAGTTCAGATAATAGGATTTATTCTTTAACCAGTGAAAAAATGTGGACCATGAATTGACAATTTGTCTGTTGAAATTGGTATCAACCAAGGAGCAAAGAGCACAGAGCCAAACTTTTGGGCAAGAAAAAAATTCCTTTGACATTGTATCATCCACCCAGTCTGTGCCTAGATAATACCAATACTAATTAAAAAGCCATCACATTATTTGGTTTGGTATTAAAAATTGTTTCCTCTGATTTTTTTACTGAGTTTTTTTTTAAGTGGGACAAATGTAATCAAAATCTGTTTCAAGGCATCTTATCCCTTTTTCAAGGGGCCTCAGGGGCCTTTTGACGAAAAGCAGAGTTCTTCCCTAGGAACAATGCTGGGGATATCCTTTTTTCACTGAGCCTCCAACTTTGGTTGATTTGCTATTGCTATGTTCTTAAAGTTTACAGAATCAGATATTTCACAGGTTGATAACTATACAGCATCAAAAAGCCCCACATCTCACAATTGCAGGCATTATTAAAGAGAGGGCAGTAATTCAGCCTGAAGCTAACACAGTGGTTTTTTTTTTTCTGTTTTTCTTTTTTCTTTCTCTCTCTCTCTTTTTTTTTTTTTTTTGGTATTCTGTAGGCTGTATTTAACCAGAAAGGTTAGAATTCTGTGCTGGTACCCATTTTGTTGGAAAAAAAATGAATCTTTTGAATCATAAGTATACCACTTTTCAAATTTTATGAATCTTGCATTCAATGCTTTCCTAGTTAAATGATCAAATGATTTAACATTACCCTTTCTGCTCATATTTCTTCTTAAGTGTTACATTTGTCTTTCCCTGGATTCCTTTGCCTTGTTCTTGGCCCTTTCCCTTACTAGCAGCTAAGAATAATGACATTCTTGGATAACTGATAGTTACTTTATTAGCTGCCCAGCCAGTATTAATATTGGAGTGCCTATTTTCATAAGAATCAGCAGGGCTTTGGGACGGAAACTTCCATTTGTTGCTGCACAGAGTGGAACTGATGAAGTCCTGGGCCCCACAGGGCCAGCCTGGCTTGGTTCAGTCACTGGAGCTCAGGGATGTTGATTCTGATGATGAGTCTAGCTTGTTAGAATCACTTTTTGCACTTCTTTCTCGGTTGGGGACATTTATTCAATAATCACAGCTATGGCAGCCTGAGTGAATGGGGTCACCTTGGTGTATATGAAATAGCAGCATACATCTATCAGTCCTAGATCTGGGCATGTTTAAGCCTGCTGCTTGAGAAGGGACAGACTCATTCCCTTGGTTGAGATTTATCTGATGCCTGATATCAATTGCACTTAAATCTTACTCCCCTACCTGGAGTTCCTGCTGATATCTAAGTCCTCTTTTGCACACTTCAAGTATGGTGGTTGCAGTTCCAGAAGGAAGAAAGGTTGAGTGGAGGTCAGGTCTATAAAAATATCAGGGGAAAGCTTGGGAAGGTCTAAGAATCACTGTAAATTTTTACCAGCTTCCTCTCTGTCCTGCTGTCTTACAAAAATCACATTTCTCAAAACTAGCTCTAAATACAAATAAAAAATAAAACCAAACTGTTTCTTTTATTCTGAGTCACATTCTACATAATGTCTATGTGTTTGATTGTACCAGTCTTACCCACTGATAAAAAGAATTACAGAATAGTTATTTTTTTTTGGAGCTATGTTTTCTCCAGTGTTGCCATTTATAACAAAATCTCCCAATAGACACGGCTCAAGAACATTAAAAAGGGAGGAAATCCCAGACAAACTCTTTCCCACTCTTTCACTGGGCTTTTCTTTATTTACTGCCCTTTGTTCCACAGGCTACCTGGTGCTTTTGCTCAAGAAAGTCAGGAGGCTCGAAGGTTTGGCTGCTGTTTTCATTTCCCAGCATCCTAGAACCAAAAGCTTTGTGTCCAGTTCAATATTTCTTATGTTCAACTGGTTGGTTCACCTTGTTCCCTAGGCCACAGTAAAGCAGTGACTTGGTATCTCCTCCCCTTTGGTACAGACAGACACTATTTTAGTGTTAATCATGGCTCATGGATTGCATTATCAGGACATGCTTTGATAATGATCGACTGCAAACATTTCAGTGTCTTAAAATTAGGGGGTTTATTTCTCACTCATGCTGTGTTCCCTCGTTAGGTGGCTATGGGACTTTGCTTCGCGTGCACTTTACTCTTCCTTAGAGCTACGTATCCTTTAGGCACATTTTCTGCCTTCTGAGTTTTCACAGGTGAACATTTTAGCACATATTGTATCACTGTGTAATAGGTATTGACATCCTTGTAGCTTCTGATAGTGGTTTCCTTTCTGTCCACTGCCTGACCTCACATTTTAGTTTTCTTCTGGCAGAGCAGAATTCCACTTGTTGGTACCAATTTCTGAATCAGTAAGGAATGGCTAGGTTAAACCACAGAAGAAAACAACTTCAAAATCTCAGTGGCTTAAATGACCCAGGGTTCTTCCTTTTTTTTTTTTTTTTTTTTTGAGATGGAGTCTTGCTCTGATGCTCTCTCGCCTAGGCTGGAGTGCAGTGGCATGATCTCAGCTCACTGCAACCTCTGCCTCCTGGGTTCAAGCAATTCTTCTGCCTCAGCCTCCTGAGTAGCTGGGATTACAGGCATCCACCATCACACCTGGCTAATTATTTTGTATTTTTAGTAGAGATGGGTTTCATGATCCCCCTCACCTTGGCCTCTCAAAGTGCTGGGATTACAGGCATGAGCCACTTTGCCTGGCCGACACAGGGTTATTTCTGACTCTTACTACACATTACACATTCATCATGGACTGAAGGACTCTGGTCTATGTCATCCTCACTCAGAAATCCAGGCTGCTGAAGCTCCATAGATGCTTCTACAGTTCCCTGGGCTGGTATCTCAGTTACCTATTGTTATTATGTAACAAATAACTCTAAAATTCAGTGGCTTACAAAAACAACGATTTATTTGCGTACTATTTTGCAACTTGGGTTGGTCTTTGCAGGGCAGTTCTGCCGTTCTTGCCTGGAGCGGCTCAGGCACCTACAGTCAGTTGGTGCATTGGCTGGGGACTGGCCAATTGTCCCAGCAATTCAGATTGCTGGGACAGCTGGGATGGATGGATCTCTCAAACCATCTGGTCTATCATCTTCAAAGATACTAGCCTAGACTTGTGTACATGGTAGTATAGTCCCAAGAAAGAGTAAGAGGTGAAGTTTCAAGGCTTCTTGAGGAAAAAGCAAGTCAGAGCGCTAACTCAGAGGCAAAAGGAGGGGAAACGGAGTCCGCTTCTTGACTCTGAAGTAATAGAGAATTTATAGCCATTTTTAATCCACCAGAGCAGGAAAATGGGTGGCAAATTGTGTACTTGCTCTTAAAGATTTTGCCTGGACATGACAATTGTCATTTCCACTCACACTTTATAAACCAGAGCAAGTCACACGGCTATGTCAAACTTCAAAGAGATGGGGGGAATAAACTGCCCTGTGCTAAGAAGGTAGACAGTGGAAAGTATTTGGTAAATGGAAATAATGACGTAAATAAAAATTTCTCAATCGTTGAGCATAAAGGCTTTTATTATTAGGGATTGATGTGTTTCCCAAATTGGTCTCCAATAGCGTGTTGCTCAAGTAGCAGAATTAATCATTCAGTTAGATTCTTCCATTTATATTTAGGATGTTTGCCAGACATTGATGGTGCTAGTGTGTAGTGGCACAAGCCTTTCCTAATGTTTAATCATTTTGTAGACCTGCATTGATTAGAATAATCTTTGCTACATCCGTCATCAGATTTTTTTCAGTGTAGCATCAACACATCAGTCTGTGAACACTGTTCTTAAAGGATTCTCGTGATGTTTATCACTTATTGATAAGATGGGTCATCAATGTCTTTATTTGCTTAGTTTAAGGAAAAAAATCCAATTAATATTTGCATGAAGATGACTAAACAAATCATACAAATAATTTGAATGTCATGTGTGACAAATTTACATTTAGTATAGTAGTAATATTTTGATATGAGCTTTGAAGAGACAGTAATACTTTGGAATCCCTTTGGAGGTTGTACTGTTTCAGTCAGAGACAGTCCCTGTGTATGAAGTCAAAGGCTGGTGAGAGATGGAGGTAGGTCAATACAAGTTATACGGTGTTCTTAACTATTTTCTAGATGAGATGAAATAAATCATGTCAAGAAAATAGTTATATACAACTAGGTATATATAAAACTTGTTTTTTAAATTTCACAAGTACAACTTTAGATAGAGTGAGTTAGCCTTGCAATCTGTTGAGAAGTCAGATGGCAGAGCAATGCAGGGAAATCTGAAAGGCTAATGCAGATATGAATAGTGTGGTGGGTACCAGGAAGGGCTTTGGAGCCTGGTGGATCTGGTTCAAGTCCTGGCTCTGCTATTTCCTAGCAGTGCAGCTCGGAGACTGCAAGTATGAACACCTAGGATGACATGATTCCACATCTCCCTTGCAGTTGGGGTGTGATCATATGACTACATTCTGGCCACTAAAATGAGCACAGGAGCAGTGTATGCCATCATCGGGCCTGGGCCAGAAAAATACCTTTGCATGTGTGATCCTCACTTAGCCAGCTGAATGGAGAAGACTGAAGTGAACCTGGAAAAGGACCCAGAAGTTAGAAGGAGCCTGGATCCTTGAATGACTTCAGGTAGCACAGCTCACTCACCCTCTCACCCTTACTGTCCTGCATCAGGCTGGGACAGGAGCAAGAAAGTTTTACTTTTACAAGCCACTGAGATTTGGGGTTTGTTGTTATAGCAGTTGGTGTTACTCTATTACATGTATGAGATTAGTCAAGATAGTAGTCCTTATCAGCTTCAATTTCCTTATCTATAAACTGGGGCAACTAACACCCACTTCTTGGGATTTTTATAAGGATTAAGAGGGAAAGTTTATAAGTGCTTAACATAATGCCTAGCATATAGTAAATACTCAATAAAGGTTAGGTATCCTTATGAATAACAGGATTGCACATTGGAAAGTTAGAATTTTCCATTTTGAAGGTGGAACAAACTATTTTTAAAAATCATTTGTCTTATTGGACCCTGAAATTAATTATGGTAAATAACTTGGAAAGACTGAGGTACAATGAACAGTTTATTCTGTACTTAGTTGTATACCTTAGGCTAAATGGAAAAATAATAAATAGAAGAATGCTCTATTTCATTTATTTCTTTGGGGATGAGATGTGGGTCAAGTAGGACAGGCTGGATAAGGGATATGAAATGGGAAGCTACAAATTCACCCTATTTATTAGTGGGCACCAGCCTGTGCCAGGGAAGACATAGAGCTGATACTTCCCAAGGCCAGTGTACACCAGGCACTGTTGAGGTGCATCTCATGTGTTAACTTCTTAATCCTCACAGGATTTATAAGAAGTGGGTGCTACTGTTATCTCCGTTTTATAGGTGAGGAGATTGAGGCACAGGATTTTTAATTGCCCATTTGACCAAGGCTAACCCACCTGGCAAATGGCAGTCAGGGTTTGAATCAGGCAGCCTGATTCCAGGGCACACACTTTTGGCCACTGAACCACACACTCTCACATACATATTCAGAGTAGGTGCTCCATAAATATTTGTTCATAAATGAAACATGCCGCCAGACATGTTTCGAGAGTCCTATATCACCCATATGGGAATTGGAACCTCCTTGATAGTAATCAAATCTCTGACCCTTTAAGATATTAAAATACGATGAAAGAGGTGAGGGAGAAGGGTCGAAGAGCCATGCTGATGCTGTGTAAGGCTAAAATTAACCCAACATTCAAGCTGAGTTCCTGAGATGGGCACAGCCTATCCTTGTTTGGCAACTGCTTTCTGGCCTATGGCTGCTTGGCCTCCACGCATATCATAGGCAAGCCTAACAAGGGGTGAATTGGCAAATATGCATAAATGCCCAATTTCAGCTCTTTGAGAAGCTTCTGGCCTAGGCTGCTTGTGGTCTCCACAGGGGAACTGACTGCCACTGTGCCTTCTCCAGCACTGGTCTCTGGTTGTGAGGAAAAGAATGTCACTGAAAATGGAAGCACAATTTGTACTTTATATTCCCCAAATCACTCTTCAAAGCTTATCTGCTTTTCCAGCAATTTTGTGATAGATATCACTGCTTATGTTGTGTTACGAGCTACCCACAACTGATGATTTTTTTTTACAGGAGATCATAAGGTGAGTGACAGTATACCTACCACTATCTGTCTCCAAAGGTGATCACATACATATATCTATATATAGATCTATACGAGGAGAGGAAATAGACCAAGTTGACCTATGATTCCTTTCTTCCTAAAATTTCCCTGTGTCTGTGTCATAGCTGTGATCTTAAATCTTATTTGGCAAGTCACAGAATGTGCTAGTTTATCAAAGAGATAAAAAATGGACGTTTTTTGCCTTCTGAATTTCAATGAAAGAAGAGTATTTGTCTTCACTATTGATCTATTCCATTGAGTAGTTCTTGTGATGATTACCCCTTTTCTATATTTATAGAGAACCACCACTTCATAAATGTCAAAAGCCACTTTGCTTTACATAAGTGTCAGTGTTCTAACATTTTACAAAGTCAGCAATTATCATGAGAACCACGTGTGGAAACTGGAAAATAAATAATTACTAAGGGAAGTAATTTTTTTCTTGATAAAATTGGGAAACAAGGAAGAGTTCTTTATCATCCGTCTTATTATTTGAATTGCTTGTCCTTGACCATAGGATATGTGTCACATGCCACTGTGGCATGTAAACTTACTGATCTCATTTTTCCACTTGGTTCTCTGTATCAAATATCCTCTCTCATGCGGCTTGAATATCAAGTGGGTTATAAAAGTCTCTTGCAATGTGGGACACTTGCACTGGGACAAAGAAAAATTACATTTTGATCATAGGAATCAGAAAGGGCAACTTTTCGGGGTCCTATGTAATTATCATATTAAAGTTTATAAAGAAACTTTTGTATACTTTCATGATAATGTAAGTGAACATTTCAGACAATTTTTTAAATTGGGGGTGGAGGGTTTCTAAATAATGTTTAAGAGCTGTCTTGACCATTTACCCTCCACTGCATTGACCATCTCTTTCATGTCCTGTAGACATAATCTGTGCCTGTAGGGTTTTTTTTTACTCTGGTCCCCAGTAAGGCTACTTTGAAAAGTTGTCATAGCAACACTAGCAGCAGTTAATGTAACAGGGTGAGGAGGTGGCCTCCACTGGACTCCAGGCTTTGTTAGTTCATGCTGTTGTGTGCTGGAATGGCTTGTTCCAAAACAACATTTCGTTGCAGCAAAAATACTCTGTGCTGGAGGCTCCTAAGAAAGCCATATCTTCTCAAAACAGACTGGCCATGTAAACCTCTCCCAATGCCTTCTGTACCCCACCGCCTCTACTATTTAGTGGAGCCTATGTTCAATCCCTGGGCACATAGATTGTCATTCTCCACTGAATCATTCCTGATCACGTGCTTATTGAATGATGCTAAGTTGGGGCTTATAGTCTCTTCTGAATAGCTTTAGATGGAAAGGCAGCTTTTCAGCCATGTGAGGGAGCCTTGTACAGTTTTCTTTGTTGAGTCTGCTGGCAAAGTTTGAGATGTCCTGAGTGTTTTTCAGCAGACTGCTGTCACCTTCACATGATTACTATACATGTTATGGCTCTTGCATTTAATGACTGTGTTAAATGATGTTACTCCCATAGTTCAGAGGGATAGTTTGCAAAGCCCTGTGTATTTCAGGATACTGCAATGGAATGATGAATTCCATCTGTCTTCCTGGCACAGTTTTTGCTTCAAGTTTTCTGTGTTGAGGGTCCTAGTCTGTCACATTTACGTTGATTGACTTGTCATGTCTTTTCAATGGATGAAAAAATTTCTGCTTTCACTTTGTTGTACCTGTTTGATTTCAGTGGTTTGATTTCTGGTATTTTCAAAAATCTTCAGGATTTTTTTCAGAGTTGCATTTCCTCTAGTCTATCTGCCCTTCTTACTCGCCTCTGTCTCTTTCATACTTTTTCTGGCCTCTCACTTTGACCTTATTGGAGCATGATGGGCATCCAATAAATTTTGATTGTGTTGACATTTAGGAGGGACAGAGAGAAAGCATGATTTAAATCAATGCTATTTTAGTAGACCATCTTTATGCTGAAGTCTTTCAAAGGGTTATGGCCTTATGTCAGGAAGTGGAATAGAGCTGAACTTCTCCTGCTGATAACCGACCATTCCCTGTTTGAAATAAAGAGCAGATTTGTTGGCTGCAGGCCGTGTGTGGACTGACACAATTTTCCAAGCCAATCTGATCACTGAGAATATTCATATATTGGGAAGATGTCTGTAACTGTCATGGGAAGCTAGCAAAAGAAGAAAGTAATTCCTGCTCCAGAATAAGCCTCTTCTATGTTTGGGTATTTCCATCTGATTTATTGCCATGATTATTTTAAATACTCTTACGTACAGTGAACAAAAAATGTATTTTGCCTTTCATCCCAATAACTCTGGTGATATGTGATCCCTGATTTTGATCAGCTGAGGTAGTGCCATGTGAGGAAGCAATGCGATAATAAATGAGAGCGTAGCAAAGATAAACTGCCCTGTCCTGCCCACTCACCTCCGTTCTTTTTTTTTAATTGATCATTCTTGGGTGTTTCTCGCAGAGGGGGATTTGGCAGGGTCATAGGACAATAGTGGAGGGAAGGTCAGCAGATAAACAAGTGAACAAAGGTCTCTGGTTTTCCTAGGCAGAGGACCCTGGGGCCTTCCTCAGTGTTTGTGTCCCTGCGTACTTGAGATTAGGGAGTGGTGATGACTCTTAACGAGCATGCTGCCTTCAAGCATCTGTTTAACAAAGCACATCTTGCACTGCCCTTAATCCATTTAACCCTGAGTGGACACAGCACATGTTTCAGAGAGCACCAGGTTGGGGGTAAGGTCATAGATCAACAGCATCCCAAGGCAGAAGAATTTTTCTTAGTACAGAACAAAATGGAGTCTCCTATGTCTACTTCTTTCTACACAGACACAGCAACAATCTGATTTCTCAATCTTTTCCCCACATTTCCCCCTTTTCTATTCGACAAAACCACCATCGTCATCATGGCCCGTTCTCAATGAGCTGTTGGGTACACCTCCCAGACGGGGTGGCGGCCGGGCAGAGGGGCTCCTCACTTCCCAGAAGGGGCGGCCGGGCAGAGGTGCCCCCCACCTCCTTGATGGGGCGGCTGGCCGGGTGGGGGCTGCCCCCCACCTCCCTCCCGGACGGGGCGGCTGCCGGGCGGAGACGCTCCTTACTTCCCAGACGGGGCGGCTGCCAGGCAGAGGGGCTCCTCACTTCTCAGACGGGGCGGCTGCCGGGCGGAGGGGCTCCTCACTTCTCAGACGGGGCGGCTGCCGGGCGGAGGGGCTCCTCACTTCTCAGACGGGGCGGCTGCCGGGCAGAGGGGCTCCTCACTTCTCAGACGGGGCGGCTGCCGGGCGGAGGGGCTCCTCACTTCTCAGACGGGGCAGCCGGGCAGAGACGCTCCTCACTTCCCAGACGGGGTGGCGGCCGGGCAGAGGCTGCAATCTCGGCACTTTGGGAGGCCAAGGCAGGCGGCTGGGAGGTGGAGGTTGTAGCAAGCCGAGATCACGCCACTGCACTCCAGCCTGGGCAACATTGAGCACTGAGTGAATGAGACTCCATCTGCAATCCCGGCACCTCGGGAGCCGAGGCTGGCAGATCACTCGCGGTTAGGAGCTGGAGACCAGCCCGGCCAACACAGCGAAACCCCGTCTCCCCGCAAAAAATACGAAAACCAGTCAGGCGTGGGGGCACGCGCCTGCAGTCGCAGGCACTCCGCAGGCTGAGGCAGGAGAATCAGGCAGGGAGGTTGCAGTGAGCAGAGATGGCAGCAGTACAGTCCAGCTTCGGCTGGGCATCAGAGGGAGACGGTGGAAAAAGAGGGAGAGGGAGACTGTGGGGAGAGGGGGAGGGGGAGGGGGAGAGGGAGAGGGAGCACCTCCATTCTTTAAACACAGATTGACTCCAGGACATGAACGGACTGCCAAGTAGTTAACCTGCACAACAGCAGTAGAGCTGCAGCGGATAAACTGTCCTTTGATGAAAGCATCCCAGTGCCTCCTTAATTACATCCCTGAGAATTCGCATATCTTACGAATGGCCACATTGAATGGCCACATTGGTCATGGCCATGTGGAAAAGGAGTTAGAAGAATCAGACACCAGCAGACTAAATCACTCAGGGACTGTGGTTCTCAGGGCTCTAACCCAAGTTGCAGAGGAAGTCCGATCACGCTAGGGAGTAAATCACAGAGCATCTTGATATTGTTTCAGATTCCCACTCTTCCTCCAAACCTGCAATGCCACACATAACTCAATAATTAAATTTTCATAATTGAAAAGATTCTAGGGTAAAATGTTCATATTTCCACTTTCCCAATGGGGGAAAAAGTAACACAGAAGGTAGACTTGTCTATAATACTGACTTGTAGCTCTAAATGGCAACGTTAAAAAATATTAAATACTGTTATATCTCAAGTTATAGGGGTCCATGGTAAAATAACAAACAATGGGTTCTTGTTTTCTATTTTAAAGATGTTGGAGGAAAATGAAACAGCCTGGATTATACTAGGAAATACAGTGTCACCTGGCATACAGTGCTCAATAGTTATTTGAGCCAAAAATGATGTGAACATGCTACCTGGTCTCTTAATTCAAGACAATTCAATTCAGTTCAATATATTTCAGTTTGATTCAGTAATCATTTACTACCAGTTCTATGCAAGGTGCTGTGTTAGTGGCTGCAGAGAATAACAAGACACAATCTGTTGTTGTTCTTGGTGGTGGTAGAGATAATTACCAACATCAGACCATTCAACAAATGTGGAATCTACAAAACAGGCAATGTTAGCTTCACAAGAGAGCTACCTAAAAAGTACCCACAAAGGTCATGACACAGACATATGAATATTACTTCCAGAGTACAGATTATAGAAGCAACCAAGCTGTTGTCACTGGCAGCACTTATTCAGTTAAGCATAACAAGTCATCTAACACTGAGTGCATATTTGTAGACCAGAATGAGTGCATGCTGGTTTTATTGAACCTTTCTCTTGTAAAGGATGTTGCGTGGTCTAGTGGGGGGTGAGCTAGCAATTTTTAGCTTAATGGACCTGTGTTCAGATCCTACTTGCACTAATTGTTAGCTTTGTGAAACTGGTAAATAGGTCTTTGATTCTCAATTCTTTTTCTCTAAAATAGAAATAATATTTCTATTAATACTAATTTCCAAGGTTGTCATGAAGATTCAAAAAGGATTCACAATATCCTTAGTACAGCATCTGGCACATAGAAGACCCGTACTAAGGATTCCTTCCCTGTCCTTCTCTCTTCTGTCATGGAGCAAGCTTACATACGTCAATCTATTCACCTGATACATTTGCCTTCATGGTGCCATGGAGAAGGGCAGTAATTTTTTTCTGGGCGGTTTACTTTTTAGTAGCACTAAGGAAATGAGGGGAAAAAATTTAAGAATATGCAACCAATGCAATGAATGTTTCCCAAGATGAAGACAACTCAATGTGCTAAGGGGTGTATTGTCTGTGTTTACAAAAACTAGCATTGATATTCAGAGGATTATTTCAAGCCTCTTTTACATACATGATCTAAAATTCATCTCGTTCACTGTTGAGTTATGTTTGAAAAGTAGCCAGCTTCTTAGTATGAATGTTTGACTGATAAATATTTTATTAATATTATAGTTCAGATCTACTTTCATTTTCTTCAATATTTGGATTTTTTTGTTGGTAAAATTGAATAACACTGTACCTATGACTGAAAGTGGTGGTGGATTACATTTCTGAGCATATTTTCCTCCCTAGAATTTGAGGTTCTTTTCAGGTGTTAAATTCATTATGTTGTATTGTTTCCCCCTCTTCTCCAGTTCCTCTTTCTTTCTGGAAGGTTTTCTTGAAACACAGATTCCTCTTTATTTCCATATTTTTCCTTTTTTCCTCCTAAGACTGTTATTGAAGATAGCAGATTGTAAATTCCCTGACAGGAGTCTTTATGTCTTAAATCTCTTTGCTTAATAAATATTTACTCATATGCCAAAAAAAGCCCAGAAAAGTCTCTATTCAATAAAATCCCCCATTTGTAACATTAAAATCTTTATTTTAGTGACTAAAGCATTACTCATCATGGAACATTGTTTCTAATTTTCCTGATGAGTCAGAAAGACACAAAACACTATATCTGGAAAAGTCACAGCAAATGGATATTTTTATTTATTTCATACAGGGTGTATTAATTTGTAGAAAATCTTAAAAATCAAATAGATTACTCAATGATAATACTTAGCTATAACATTTTCCCATGTTAAGTATAAAAAAAATATTTTTCTCTTTCCCTCATAGCCTTCCTCCCTTTCTTCTGTTCTTTATTTCGTTCTCACCTAGATCATTTCATAAGAGGGGGGCAATATACTGTCACGGTGGCTGATTTTTCAAGGCTCACTGCATTACTTGCTCCAAATATTTTCCCTCCAAATCACTCACTTCTTATAGCTATATCTCATATTTAAATGGAATCACAAACAAGTAGAAAATATATGGCAATCTACCTTATTTTTAAGCCATCCTCTCTTTTTAGAGATATACTCTAGGTAGATATACTTCATTATATAACACATATTTAGTGAGCGTTTATTACCAGGCACTATACTATTTGCTAGAAACACAGTGGTGAATAAGAGAGACCTATGAATGACAGTCAGTAGCTATAAAGCCAAAGTTTTCTATGCTCAATGCAGTTCACATTCAGTCAGGGTGTCTGACAAAGCACATTCAGCTTCTCAGTTAGAAGAGTACAGATTAGGAGTTCTGCTGGTTAAATAAATCCCAGGCACAGAGAAGACCTTCAATAAGAAGTCAATATCAATCAATAAAATATACATATCAAGGAGAAATGTCAATAACTAAGAGAAAACCTTGTTTCTTGAAGTTCCAGCATGAACTCCAGAAATTATTTTACTCATTTAAACTTAAAAGGTTTTTAATTATTTAAACTCCTCTCTTTCAGACAAGCTTTCCTCATTTGTTAGAAAAACTGACCACGCTGACTGACAGTTACTCAATGCAATCTGGAGAGGTGCATTAAGTACTATACTAGACTCTGTGCAGAGGCTGGGAAGGTGGTGGCAATAGTTCTCTAACAGGCATTTTTAATAGATGATAAAAATAACCTTTTTGATACTTAAATCATTTTGCTTCCAAGGGCATTTAATCAGGCCCATTGCCAAATGCTAATTAATGATACAAGTAGAGGATTTTATTTAAATTTGTTGTACTAATATGTTGAAATATAAATAGAAACTGCCAACTGAGAGGAACTTCTCTAAGAGTGGAATGTGTGAGGTGAAGGAACAAACACCAAACTTTAAAACAGTAGAAGTGCTGTGTTACAGAAGGTAATTGAAATAGAAACCTTGTAAAGAAGATAAGTTATTTGTAAAAATCTTTTCATGAGATTTAAAAACACCCAAACTACTGAAAACTATATACAATAATGAGAATTATTTTAGGCTAACATTTATTAAATGGGATGAATTCAGATCAGGTGTGAGAGAAGTTAGCACTAGATGTGTGGTATAAAGCATCTCCCTTTCGTTGAGCATATTTGCTTATTCCAATGTTTATGTTTTCTCTTGGTGTTAGCCCTGAGTTTATTTCCCAACTCCAGCTGCTGGTGATGTCATACTTTAGGTTTTGATTTGCAAAGGAAGTTCATTGCAGGGATATGATACCAAATATGGCTGATGGCTAACAAGATTAATAACATGCTCAGTGGAGCAATGATATACTGCTAAATCTAGATATGTCTGGGGTATTATGAAGCATGTTTTCCACTGGGAAGCCCAATGATTTGGCTCTTTGCCACTCATGTTTCTGACTGTCCCAGTGGCTTTATTGTGGATTAAACCTATTGGGTTAGCTAAAGACATAAGACACACCTAACACTAAGAGAGGAGTAGGAGGCCCCACACTCTTCTATTCTCACTGGATGTGAGCAAAAATGGGAAGGCCTATTTTGTTTTTCCATGTTAGTAAAAAGACTGGATCTATAGACTTCTAAACCGTGGTCCAGCAACTCACTACTGAATTTAATCAACTGAGTAATTCTGGTCAAAGAAACAAGCACTTTGGGTCAAGGATAAGTTTGATGGGATCTGCTTCATAAGGTCTAGAACTATTGTGTAGGGACCTGCAGGTTGTTGACACATTAAGCAACAGTGTAAGATATCATCTGCTCTATTCTGATTGCTTTGAGATTTCTCAGCTTAGTGCCTTTGTTTGTGCTAATTTTTCCTCCCTAGAGTAAACACCCTCCAGTTCATTTCTTCCTTTATATTCATCCATTATATGCCAATACAAATTCCACTTTCACTGGAAAAACCTTGGAGAACTCCATCTAGAATTAATATCTTACTCTGCTGAAAAAGACATTGAATAAATTTAAAATCCACTGGATTAATGGCATTTATTGCCTCAAGTCATGTGACTCGTGTCATACAATATCTTGTTTTGTAATTGCATGGATAGTTATCTCTTCAAATTAGATTTCACATTCAGAGAAGGCAGGGGTGATACCTTTGAATTTCCTAAGTCTTTGCATAGTCTCTTGCTTAGGAAAGTTGCACAGTAAATATTTGTTGATGAACAAATAAATGAACATAGCGGGTTGAACTCAAATGATCAATGTCATCAACAAGCTGGCGACAACAGTGTGTTGTTCACTCTGTCAAGACAGGCTGTCCTGTTCCTCTATTCTTCACTGTGGCTCTAATGCCTGAAAGGGACCTCACTGCATCTCATTAAGTGAAATACCAAACATGGTATAAATATCTGGGTATTCTCAAGATAGACACATTCAAGACTGTATTACCAGATGACTACAAAATGCCTGACAAGGCTTTTCAGTGTTTCTTTTTGCTTACAGATCTCAGTCAACATTTGGATTCTTGTAAGTACTGGGTGATGTAACTCCCTTGGCATCACAAGGGGGTCATATTTTTAGTTGCTCTTCTCAAGACCTGACATCTTCTACCTGAAACCCTAGGAATGAAATAGACTTTACACACTTCTTCCCTTTACAGAGGAACAAAGAGAGAGACTTACAGAGTTTAGAGGACTTACTCAAGGTCACTCAGCTTGTTATTGGCAGAGCAACCCAGGTTTCTTTACTGTTGGTACCATCTATCTGAATACAATATAATTCACAGATGGCTGCCCTATTTGACCATAAGATATAGACCAAACCCTTAATTTCTTGACTCTTTTGTATGATCTCTCTATATCATCTTGAGCTGTTTTGATCTTCATATATCAAGCCTTGACAGCCTCTGCCAACTAGGCTATTTCACAGATGAGGAGACTGTATCATATATAAGTTAAAATAGTTTGCTTGAGGTCAGAGACAACTAAGCCCATGTAGAAATGATAGTTACCATCATTCGAGTTTTTGTTATGACATGTCATTCCGGCAAATAAAAGGCATTTTTTGTTGTTGTTGTTCTTGCTTGGTTGGTTTCACCTGGGACCAATAACAGGCATTTATAATGAAAATTGTTACTGTGAATACTCGCCCATCAGTGGATGCAAAGCAAGGCATGGTGAAATCAAGAACTCAGTCCTTGCCCCTGTCCCTGATCTGCTCCTGCAGGGTATTGAGCTTTCCCGCAAAGACCTCTGCAGGTGGGGGGGTTCCCAGTGATGGCTGGCATGTGCTGACAACTCAATTTTCAGTTTTAAAAATTAAGTAGCGTTAAACTATGTTCCTTCCTTTCTGTGGTGACCTCCTTTTACCCCAGTCCCCAAAGACATTTGAGTGTCTTTCCATTGCCATTTCTAATGGTGGCAGCATGAGGCCACTGGTATTTATTTGAAATTCCATCTCATGATTCTTCCAGTGATGCCCATCTTTAGATTTCTCATTGACAATGGGTTCCACACAGAAACAGAGAGTGGCTCACTCCCTGTTTCTTTGCCTCGCTTTCTTACTTGGGCCCTAAAACCACTACTTGGGTACACAGTCTCAAAAAGTCTCTTTAGAAAACAGATCCTGCAGATGCTGGCCCTAATTCCTCCCTGTTTTGGGATACAATATGAATTCAAATGGCAGGGAAGAGATGGGTACCATTATATCATCTTGTCTTAGTCATGTGGGGCTTGATATGGTTTGGCTGTGTCCCCACCCAAAATCTCATCTTGAATTGTAATCCCCATAATCCCCACATATCAAGGGAGAGACCAGGTGGAGGTAATTGAATCTTGGGGGCAGTTTCCCCCGTGCTGTTCTCATGATAGGGAGTGAGTTGTCATGAGATCTGATGGTTTTCTAAGTGTTTGGTAGTTCCTCCTGTGTTCATTCTCCTTCCTGCTCCCTTGTGAAGAAGGTGCCTTGCTTACCCTTCACCTTCCGCCATGATTGTAAGTTTCCTGAGGCCTCCCCAGCCATGCAGAACTGTGAGTTGAGTAAGCCTTTTTCCTTTATAAATTACCCAGTCTCAGGCAGTTCTTTATAGCAGTGTGAAAATGGACTAATACAGGACTGCTATGACAAATTATTGCAGTTTGGGTGCCTTAAACAACAAACATTTTTTTCTGACAGTTCTGAAGGCTGGAAGTCCAAGATTGGTGTGGCAGCATGGCAGAGTTCTGGTGAGGGCCCTCTTCTAGGCTGCAGACAGCTGACTCTTTATATGCTCACATGACAGAAAGAGTGTGCTCTCTTCTCTGGCTTCTTCTTATAAAGGCACTAGTCCCATTTGTGAGGGCTCCTCTCATGATATAATTACTTCCCAAAGGCCCCACCTCCAAAAACCATTACATAGAGGGTCAGGATTTCAACATAAGAATTTTGGGAGGATGGAAACCTTCAGTCCATAACACCTATTTTCTTTATTTTTCCCTCCTCTCTCCCAAACCTCTCTCATACTTTCCTAACGCAAAAAAAAATGAACACTCCTTATTCTCCTTCAGCAAAAAAACCAAAAGATCCTTGCATATTAACTGATGTAAAGAGTTGGTGGAAGAAGTCACAGTCTCTGTTCCTTGGACAGTAGGCAAAACACAAATAGGAAGCCCCTCACTCCTATTGTTTTCACACCCCTACTCTAAGCCACATATTTTGACATATATTATTATATTTAATTCTCACAACTTTTTTATGTTAAGTGTTCTTTTTTAATTTCATTTTTAAAGTTGGCAAATAATAATTGTACATATTCATGGGATACATAATGATGTTTCAATGCATACAATATATAGTGATCAGATTAGGGTGATTAGCGTACCCATTATCTCAAACATTTATCATTTCTTTCTGTTGGGAATATTCAATATCCTCCTCTGAGCTATTTGAAACTATGTAATATATTTTGTTAAGTCACCGGTCAGTGATGTAGAACACTGGAAATTATTCCTCCCATCTAGCTGTAATTTTGTATCCTTTTACAAATCTCTCCCTATGGCCTCCTCCCTTTTCCCCTCCCCAGGTTTTAGTATCCTCTATACTACCTTTTACTTCTATGAGATCAACTTTTTGAAACTTCCACATGAGTGAGAACATGTGGTGTCTAACTTTCTGTGCCTGACTTATTTTACTTAACATGATGTCCTCTAGTTCCATCCATGTTGCTGCAAATGACAGGATTTCATTCCTTGTTTGGGTAAATAGTATTCCATGGTGTTTATATACCACATTTTAAAATTCATTCATCTGTTGTAGGATGCTATATCTTGACTATTGTAAATAATGCTAAAATAAACATGGGGGTGCAGATGCCTCTCTGAAATACTGATTTTCTTTCCTTTGGATAAATGCCCAGTAGTAAGATTCCTGGATCATATGGTAGTTCTACTTGTATTTTTTGAGGGACCTCCATACTGTTCCCCATAGTGGCTGTACTAATTTGCATTCCTATCAAAAGTGTGTAAGAGTTTCCTTTTCTCCATATCCTCACCTGTATTTGTTATTTTTTGTATTTTTGATAATAGTCATCCTGATTAGAGTGAAATGACATCTTATTGTGGTTTTGGTTTGGAGTTCTCTGATGATTATTGATGTTGAACATTTTTTCATATATTTGTTGGCCACTTGTATGTCTTCTTTTTAAAAATGTCCATTCAGATCATTTTCCCATTTTTAAATCAGATTGTTTTACTTCTTGCTGTTGAGATGTTTCAGTTCCTTGTATACTCTAGATATTAATTCCTTGTCAGATGAGTAGTTTGCAAATATTATCTTTAATTCTGTAGGTTGTCTTTTCATTGTGTTGATTGTTTCCTTTGCTGTGCAGAGTCTTTAGTTTGATATAATACCATTTGTTTATTTTTGCTTTTGTTGACTATGCCTTTGAGGTCTTAGTCATAAAATCTTTTCTCAGATCAATGTTCTGAAGCATTTCCCCTTTTTCTTCTTCTGGTAGTTTTATCATTTCAGGTCTTACATTTAGGTCTTTGATCCATTTTGAGTTGATTTTTGTATAGGGTGAGAGATAGGGGTCCAGTTTCATTCATCTGCATATGGAGTTTTCTTAGCACCACTTATTGAAGAGAGACAGTTCTTTCCCAAATGAATGTTCTTGGTACCTTTGTCAAAAATCAATTGGCTATAGATATTTGGATTAATTTTTGGGTTCTCCAGTCTCCATTGGTTTATATGTCTGTTTTTATGCCAGTACTATGCTGTTTTGGTTACTAAAGCTTTGTTACACATTTTGAGGTCTGGTGGTATGATACCTCCAGCTTTGTTCTTTTTGCTCAGGATTGCTTTGGTATTTGAGGTCTTTCATGGTTCCATACAAATTTTAGAATTTTAAAAAAACATTTCTGTAAAGAATGTCATTGGTAATTTGATAGGGGTTACATTGAATCTGTAGATTGCTTTGGGTAGTATTGTCATTTTAACAAGGTTAATTCTTTCAACCTATGATCATGGGATGTTTTTCCATTTGGTTGTATCCTCTTCAATTTCTTCTATCAGCGTTTTATAATTTTGCTTGTAGAGGTCTTTCACCTTTTTGGTTAAATTTATTCCTGGTAATTTTTTCTGTATCTGTTGTAAATATAATTGCCTTCTTGATTTCTTTTTGGCTATTTTATAGCAGTGTGTAAAAATGTTACTTTTTTATATTAATTTTGTATCCTGCAACTTTACCGAATTCATTGATCAGTTCTAAGCATTTTTTGTAGAGTTTTTCTATGTATAACATCATGTCATCTGTAAACAGGGATAATCTGACTTCCTTCTTTCCAATTTGCATGCTCTTTATTTCTTCCTTTTCCTAATTGCTCTGGCTAGCACTTCCAGTATTATGTTGAATAAGAATGTCACATGAAAGTGGAAATCCTTGTCTTGTTCCAGTTCTTAGAGTAAAAGCTCTCAGCTTTTCCCCATTCAGTAAGATGTTAGTTGTGGACATCTCACAATGTTTTGAAGGGTAATACCATTCCAAATTTAAAGATGAGAGAAATAAAGCTCAGAGGGATTAAGAAACTTGCTCAAAGTTAAGGAACTTGGTTAAATCATACAGTTATAAGTGAAAAATATTGGATTCCAGCCCAGGTCTGGCTGACTCTCCAGCTGATGTTCTTTCACTGGGTATACCTGCTTTGGTGGTACCTAACGGCTCATCAAACTGCTATCTCAATTATATCAATTATATTTGTCAGCTGGGCTGTGCCTACCTGTTCAAATCAATGCTACAGATAGGGAAGCAATATAATGCTATGAGAAATATATAAAGTCAGCACATATTAAATTATTTTCCACCCTAGGTCAATGCATAAGAGTCACCTGGGGTTCTTGTTAAACAAACAAATCCCTGGGCCCTGTCCCAGTGATTATCATCGCCCCAGGTGATTTAAACTTCAGGTGACCATGGAAACTCTGGTGTGAAGGATGTCTGTCTGGCTGGGGAGCCGAGCAAGGTTTATTAATGTAAGTGGAATGGGATCTTTACACCATACTTGACCTGCAGGGCCATTTTTGCTCAAGCTGTCTCATCTTGGGCAAAGGCCATACAGATTGTTAACATCTGTGCTAAAGGGCATGCATGCATTTCCTGAGGTCCTTGAACCATCTGCTTAAGAATAAGGTATTTCTTAAAAAACGGAAGATGCTCCAATACCTTCACAGATCTACTAATTTGTATGTAGGCTTTGAGCCCAGGAACCTGCATTTTTAACATGGTCCTAGCTGAGTGTTACGCACAATCAACACTAGATCCAAACACAAACACACGAACAAAAACAGGAATGAATTCAGAAATAGCTGTTTCCATCCTGCTTCCAAAATGAGTCTGTGTTTGAATGGTAAATAAATGAAAAAATGTGACCAAAAGGCATCTCTAGGCATTGTTTCAGTTATATGTGACAGCGGGGCTGTGCCTACCTGTTCAAATAAATACAACAGAGAGGACAGCAATGATAATGATATAAGAAATATACAAAATTAGAGCATATTAGATTAATTCTTTCCTCCCCCTAGGTTAGTGAAGTGTATATTTCCTAGCTGCTTTTCCCCATAGACTTTCAAAGGAGATAGTGGGGACCGAGGTCCTGTGAGATTGCAAGTGATTGAAACCACAAGAACATTGGAGCATAAGGGCTAGAATTAATTAGCATCCTTAAAACAGCAGCACTAGGCCCTTGAATTTCTGGAACATATGAATGGTAACTGTTGATTTCTCAACCCAAAGCAGAACATCTGTTCTTTTGCCGAGAGTTAGCAAAGATTGAAATGCAGAGTCAGGTGGGGGTAGAGTTGTAAGGAAATGCAGTTCGTATCATAGCTGTCCATTTGGTTTATTATTAGATAGCACTCAGTGTAATTGCTTTCGCAAGAATTTTTAGATGTCTGACACATACACTGTACATCATGTGGGATTTTATTGGACCTTAATCCTCTGTAAAGTTATTCCAATCAGAAGTGCATATGAGAAGTAGCTATAAAATGTAATAAACAATTGTATTCAGAATCAATTTTAAATTAAACACAATTCATTAATTCCCATTAAATCACAGTCTTTGTCATCTTGTTTGCCTGAATCTTTGGGAGATATAAATCTGTTAGTGAAGGAAGGAAAGGATGAAGATGAAGCAAGGGGGAAGGAATGAATATGGGTTAAGTTGTTTCTTAAGAAGTAAATGACTATATCTTAGCTAATCATAAGATAATGGCAAAGAGAAGTTAAAACAAAAATAAACAGAATTATTAAAACTAGCAAGGATAGACCCTCATATAATCTATAATTATCATAAAGTGTCATAATTTTTGTCATTTATTCATTTTCAGTTTAACTGGAGGAGTCAGAGAGACATTGGATTCCATCCCAGCATTGCTACATATTTGTTCTGTGATCTTTGGGAAGTCATTTAAATTTTCTATGTAAAAAGAGTTTATGTAAAATAGAGATAATAATTCCATCCTTATGAGGGTCTTGTAAGGATGAAAGTAAGAGTGCATGCCTACCAAAATGCCTGCCATAGAAGGTATTTAGAGATGCTAGTTACTTCTCTTCTTCCTCCTCTTATTTCTACTAAGTGCTATGCAGCTGACATTTTCATGTTCTGACTTGATAGAACTGGATTATTCAGTTGCTGCTTCACTAAATTAATTGGAAAGTGAATGGCTGGCTACATTAATTTTCTGTCTGTTCCTCTACAAACAAATATGGTTTCTTGTTATAAGTGGAAGTGGGTGGAGAGTGGTTCAGTTGGGAGTGAAGAGATAGGTGATGCTTGAAAAGCAGATTCGTTTTTATTTCTACAGAATTGGTTAGTTATGTATTTTCTTCCACTGGGATAGAAACAAATCAAAATATTGTGGCACTCACTTTTGTTTCATTTTCCGCCATACTTCTGGACATCTGAAGCATCCTTGAAAGCCCGCGTACGTGGAGAGGGTTTGGGAATAGAAGGTGACCTGGGGGAGCAGGTGCTGAGACAGCTGGAGCCTTTTGCTCCCTTTGTCTTGGAAATGACTCAGTTTTCCTTTCAAGGTCTGATATTTTGGTAGGCTTTAAAAACATTAATAATGCTGCCCCATTAGCATTTTTAAATTTTATAAACTATAGAGTTTATTATAAGGTATAAAGGGGCTTATTGAGTGGGAAATGAAAGGAGCAAGATCAACAGCCAGATTTAGATCATTAACGTCATTAGGAACTTGGCTCTTTCCAATTTATACTTTAATGGTTTGATTTCTAGAGTTACATTTAGTTGGCTTGATGGTGAGTGATTAACTCTGTGTGGATATAGCTAGCATCTCTGACTTCTCTAATGAGCTTCCAAATTATGCCTTTTATTAATTAAATTAATTCAGCCAGATGATTTGATTTCTGTAGCCTCCTTAGTGGTGAGTACCATCTCTGTGATAAGGAAAGCTTGTAAGAGTTCAGCTTTTACCTGGCAATTGTTAGCTGCATTGCCCTTCGCTGCTTTTGTCCTTATGGCTAGGGATCAGAATTCCTATGTATCAGGAAGAGAGAAGATGAAATCTAAAAGTAAGTTAGATAACATTTAATGTTTTCAGCTTTCACAGAAGGTTCTCAAAACACTTTTCAAGCATTCCTCATGCCTTATTTAATCTAAGTAAAAGTAATCTAGGTAAGAGAGGGCAATTTTTTCATAAGACAAACAATAAGTTAGCCGTAGATTTTTAACAGTCACTTTTGGCCTTATTTTCCATCTATAAGGGTGAAATGTCCTTCTATGAGGACACTGTAAGCAATGGTACTTTGGGAGTAAGTATTAGAAATGAAATTGACACTAGGATTAGAAATTGACACTCTTGTTTCTTACTGAAAATAGACTAAGTTTACCTCCATAAGGACATGGAAATGATCAAATCTGGGGTTTCCTACAGTGGTTTTTATTTAGTAGTTTTTCAGAAAGCCAAGATTTTGGTTAAGCCTATGCTGATTATTCATGCTGTAACAAATACAGCACTAATATTGGATTTGGAAGAAATAGAAAAATAATCTAAATTTTAAAAAGAAGCATATGGTGCCTGTACTGGCCTACATGACCTAGCAGTAAAAACAAATTCATTCTCTTGGTTCCTTTTCTTTTGCACCTTACATGAGGTATATGATCATTTTTTGGTAGATTTCTTTTTTTTCTTTTTCTTTTTTTTTGGAGTCAGTGCCAGAAGGAAGGCACACAGGTGTCACAAGTGTATTTTTTCTAGAGCCTTAAAAGGAAATTTCAGGCATATTTTGTTAGGAAATGGTATTCATTGCTGAACTGCAAATTAGATTGCAAGTGCTTTGGGCATTCTTAGTAAATTATATAGCTAAAACCTGAAGCGATACTAGACCCTTTGAATTTAATTTGACTGCTGGCAGCCATCAATGGCTACAATATTTTAGAAATCCTGAACGCTAATGCTTGAATGTGCTGGTAGGGGATGTTGTAGGAAAGACAGGTGGCTCAGGGAGCTAAATGAAACACTGGCCTTTTACAGACTATTCAAAAACTAATACAATAAAAATGAATATACTGCTTAATATTGCAAGTAGTGCTAATGTAATCAAGGCACACACAGCCTTATGAGGTGCAAGTTCATTTTCTACCTTCTGAGTTATTACTCATACAATTTACCTCTCTACTCTGCAGTCTTCATTCTGGAAAGACTTCTCTTTCCCTGTATTGCCGGCCTGTGTCCTTTTGCATGCTAATTGCAATATTCTGTTCTAACCTGACGGTAACAGATTAGCGAGTATCTCTGAATCCCTTTCTCATCTAATGCAATTCCAGCTGAGCGGGGAACCCAACGTTTGTCTTAAACAGTCCTAAGCATTTTTTCATATGAAATTCAATTAAGCTATTTCCTAGTCTAAGTATCTATTCAGTTTCTTACCTTTCAGCAGGAATGAAGTTTTTCTTCCTGTGAAAAAACAGTACTTAAAAGCAAGCAATTGAAAGAATGGGGAAGAGAGGGAGAGGTGTGGGCCGGAGGGGGCGAACCATGCTGTTTGGCACAGTCAGCTAATTGTTTCAGCCTTTGTTTTGCTGTTCCCTCTGAAGATGAGCTGTATGTTAATTACCGCATGAAAGATTTGTCTTGATTAGATGGCTAGGAGGTGTCAGTGCTTTTGAAAGAGAAGAAAATTCATAGAGAAGGGGAAAGAGGCAGGAAACATGGATTTATTTCAGAAATTTTGTAGGTTTCTGCTGTCCTCCTTCTCCCCTGCTACCTACTTCTGCTCAGACTCCATTTCAGGTACAAAAGAAGCTTTGGGATGTTTGATGACACCGTGTTTTGAAATAGAATCCTCTTTGCTTGGGATGAGGAATGTATGGATGAAAACTGCTGAAGTGTGCCTTGAAAGAAATTAGGCAAAAAATTCTATTTTAATGCCATGAAGAATAACTACTATGCCAGGGCTTTCTGCTTTACTTCCTGAAATTGAAAAAATGGCATCACTTGCCAGCCAAGTCTAGACACTGGGTAGGCAATGTGGGTAGAAAGATAAATAAGGTTAAAACTCTCTGCACTTGCATTGCTCACAGTCAGAGAGGGAGACAAACAAGTGGGTATCTTGCTGCATAGTAAATGCCCTCATAGAACATGCAAAGGTGCTCCTGGAGCATGGAGGATAAGATGCCCAAGGTCACCCACTAGCTGGGATGTGGGTTGGTAAGGCTTCCTGGGAGAGGTCATCCTTGTGCATCTTGAGGGATGAGTGACAGGGAAAAGGGTCTGCATATGGAAGTAGGATGAAGACTGAAAGGTCTTCACAAGGTTTAGCAATTAGGTGGCCCTTGGTAACATTAATGAGGACAGTTGAAGGGAGTGGTAGGGGTGGAAGCCAGGTTGTCAAGACTGTAAGATTGAAAGGGCAGCAAAGAGAATCCTTTGGATTTTTCTTTTGAGAAGATTACTTGTGGAGGAAAGGAGAAAGATAAATTCTTACTGTGTTTCAGTCTAGGCTTGCATGTAAAGCAAAGCAAAATGTTGATATCTAGATATCTCAGGCTTCAAAGTTTTGCTGTTAAAGAAAAACCAGATTCTATTTCGTTTGCATTTTTCAAATGGTGAACACAAATGAAGTCAGGAGACCGTTGCTTGCTTCCCAGTTTCTCTTTGCCTCTATAATGCAGCCTTTAAAGGGAAATATTTCTCATAGAGAGTCTGTGAAATTATCTTCTTTTTACTCTGGACATTTTTTGATTTTTTAAAAATAGCAGATAAAGGACCTAGTTTAGTTTAATACTTTGGTTTAAAAAAAGTCTATGCAATATAAATGAGTTTAGCTTTACATAACAGCTAGAGAAGCAGTAGATGTTTAGGCTAAGGTAACATTTAGTTGCATAAATAGCCTTTAAAAAAAAACTCACAGAACACATTTGATACATTCATTTTTTAAAATGATTAATTCTCAACTTCTTTATAAAAGTCAGTAAGAGACCCACAAATACCAGTTTTTCAGTTTGTTTTCTTTTTATTTTTAAACTGCATAACATTACGGTACTGTCATTGTTTAATGACTTTACAAATGTTGGTTGTGAGGCAAATAAACATAATTCTCCATCCCAGCCTGTTTCTCACATGATTGAGAAAAAGCAATCAGAAGTTAATTTTTGCAACAAGGAAAGGAAGGAATGTATATGTGTGAGATGAGAATCAATCCTTAGCCTAACACAAAGTTCAGGTTGATTCCGGCATAGGTATTAAACCTTTCACTGTCCAAGACTACTGCCAATAAGTTGAAATGAGGTAAAAGAGTAAGGAAAGTGTTAAAAAATAAAAGTAAAAAAAGAACATTGCCAATTCTGGAAAAATTTGCGTCATAAAATGGCATCATATTTTTATCATAGAAGGCATAATTTTCCCTATCATTACCACTAGAATTTGTTTTACTTAAAGTAAGTGATTATTGAATGCCTGATGAATATGTGGTCTATATATAGCACCTTCATTCATATTTAGGTGGAGGCTATTTTTTTTAATCCTACTTGTTGAAATTTTTATTTTTGGAAAATAACAGGAACAGTTTGAGTTCCTGAAAGATCAAGAAACGTTGAAACTGAATTTATGGGATATGGCAGTAAGTCTAATTGGATTGTTTCTAGGTGGAATTCTGCATTTTTTATAAATGTAGTAAAATTTGGGGAAAAATTACCTTCAGATCTGGAAGTGAATGTTAGAAATTTTAGTGTGATGTTTTAGTGTATGGGTTCTCCTTTCTTCTGCCTTATAAAGGAAGGCACTGAAGATGTGAATATGAGGTTGGATTTGAAATGATCGTATATACAGAAGAAAGGCACTATCCCTCCAGACTCTGGGGAAAATGCCCAATTATTTAAAGCAAAAAAGCCTGGGTCAGAGAGCAAATATATGGGCCAAGAAAGATTTACGTTGGTAATTCCTTCCCCTGCTATGAATTTGAGAAGTTTCCTGAACTTAAAACAATAGAGTCACTAAGGATGATAGCTTGGGTTTGTCTTTTAACTTGGTGACAATGACTGGCAATACTCACAATGAAGAGAGTGTTATATTGTTGAAACCCAGGCAATCATGAATCAGCTTCTTTTCAGAAAATAGCTAGTATTTTCTTAGGTTGTGGTGAAAATGGAAAGTTTTCTTGGAAGGAAACACAGATTGTATACAAAGTAGGTAAAGAAAGTCTTATCACTTTGCAAAAGGAAAGACCAAAAAGTTCTTGTTGAAAAGTCTAGAAGAGGCAATTTGAATCTCCTAGTAAAGGGACCGATTTTAATCTGCTATCCAGTGCCATAGAAGATATTTAAAGCTATGCCATGCATCTGATATTAGACTCTGCTCTCTTGAGCCTGCTTTATTACTGGCTGTTATTCAATAAAGCATAAAAGAGTTTTAGTACAATTTATCTTATTCATATTTGTTGTGGGGGGAAAAAGCCATTTGAACCACCAACCTAAATTTATAGTTATTTCACAAAGGACAGAGACTTGAAAGAATCTTAAAAAGTTAACGCAGTTAACATCCCTCTTGGTCAATTTATGATACTTCATTGAAGAAAAGCAGTTTTAGAGAAATGATATTTCTCATAAGGTCTGAAAAGGCCTGTCTTAACTTTCTTAATTTCAAATGTAAAATGATATATGTGGACATATGGAGTGGCAAAAGCATCTGTTAAATTAGATCATGGGCATTGCTAGGGTTTATGTATGTGTGTAAATATGTAGGAGTGTAGAATTTCTGTAGATTTTATTGATGAAAGAAAGGTTACAGAAGGATGCATTTTCCTTCCAAGTTTCAGAAACATAATAATTTTAGGCTATTGAATTTTAGGTTAATTGCATATTGCCAAAATAGATTGATCTGGTATATGGAATTGTAATTTCTATAAATAACACATATTTAGAAATTTAAATTTGATAGCTCACTAGGATAGTATGACAAAGAGAAATGGGTTCACCATTCATTCTGTGCAGGAACAGTTCAGGTAGGGCAGAAATGGGGTGTCACAGTCTTTGTGCTTCATAGGTAAAATAAACTCTCGTAAACATGTTGTTAAAGTAAATGCAATTTTTTAGACAATGAATATTTAAAGAATGTTTAGGCTGTTTACTGGGAGACAGTTGCATGTCCGTGCTCCAACTCAGCCAAATCTTGATTAATCAGAATCCAATTCTCCTGACTAGGAATTACCCAGGGCTGCCTCTGCTGCTGGTCATTTCACTTATTAGCATAATACTCAAGCATATGGAGGGGAGTTAGGAGATAAAACTCAAATCAGCTTTGTTCCTTGCTAACAACTCTGGCAAACTGTTGACACTTCTGGCTAAAATGAAGTTTGGGCATTCTCTACGGATTTTTATTATTTGTACTGTCCTTGTCTCCACAGATAATGAACAGTTCACTGCATAATATATAGCAGCTGCAACCTGGCTCACTCTTTTGAATGAGTAATCAGAGGTAATGCAAATTAACACCTTCACCTTGGAAAGAAATAACTTTAGAATTCATCCAGTTTGGTAAACAGAAGAAGCAATCTTAATCATAGGGTTTTAATGATAAAGGATTCAGAGAAAAAACAAGGCATCTCCCTCGTGTTTTTTCAGTAAAAAAATACATTCTAATTATCTTCGATATCTACCAAAAGGGAACAATTTAAGTTAACTTGATCCTATATTTAAACAAAATTGAATAAAAAATAATATGCAAAAACAATTCATGTTAATTCTTTTCTCTCTTCTTTTTTTCCCAATAGCTGTGCTGATAATTAATACTGAGGAATATTTAATTTCTTGAAATTTAAAAGTAGTAATTTAAAACATTATTTTCTTATTTTAAATAGCACATATTCACTGTACAAACTTTAGAAGTCACATCAAAATGTTAACAGGGTGACAAAGATCTTGATTTTCATAATGTTGCTTATTTATATTTTTATGATACCTTTCCCAAAGGGAACATACTGTAATATACTGTTCATATTGTTTTATAATCTCTCTTTTTAGTTAACATATAATGTCATTAATTTTTTTTTTTTGAGAGGGAGTCCTGCTCTGTCACCCAGGCTGGAGTGCAGTGCACCATCTCGGCTCACTGCAACCTCTACATCCCGTGTTCAAGCAATTCTCATACCTCAGCCTCTCAAGTAGCTGATATTACAAGTGCGTGCCACCACACCCAGCTAATTTTTGTATTTTTTAGTAGAGATGGGGGTTTCGCCATGTTAGCCAGGCTGGTCTTGAACTCCTGGCCTCAAGTGATCTGCATGCCTCAGTCTTGCAAAGTGCTGGGATTACAGGCATGAGCCGGTGTCATTAAATATACTTCTATAATACTAATTTTCAATGGTGCATAGCATTTCATACCAATATACTGGAATTTATTTATTCAGTTCGCTGGTGCTGGACATTTGGTTGTTTCTAGTTTTACTTATTATAAACAAATATAGATTGAAAATCCTTATAGCTAAATCTTTACATAAATTCATGATTTTAAATTTTTAGGAGTAATTCCTAGTTGGGAAATTGCTGAGTCCAAGAACATAAACACATACTTCAAAGGCTTGTGAAAGGTGTTACTAAATTGTCCTCCAGAAAGGAAATACTGATTGATGTTTATGTTTGTGGTATTTAAAGACAGACCTAAGTCCTGGGGCAAGGTTTCCAGGATATGCTATATTTGCTACTGTTTGAACTCAACAAGTAAAACACAAAGCTGTCTGTGTGTGTACACAACTCTGATCGTTGCGGTACTGAGTGACATTAGCCTCATCTCTTAGAATCTTGCATAACATTTTGGCACCTTGAAAATATGGCTGGTTTTTTTTTTTGTTTTTTTTTTTTTGTTTTTTTTTTCTGGAGCTTTGAGGAATCTGGTATTCAGAAAGTATTGTAGTCTCCCTTTGAAAATGGGCTACCCTATGTCTGCAATCTGTTCTTATTTCCTCACTGTAAGGTGAGGGGTTTGTTTTAATTTCTTTTAAATTACAAGATCATTGTGTGTGGGGAAGTGCGCAAGACTCTGTACCTGCTATGGTTTGAATGTATGAGTTATCTCATAATTCCTGTGTTGGACCCTAAGACCTCATGTGATAGTGTTAAGAGGTGGACATTTAGGACAGCTCCAACTCATGAGTGAGATTAGTACCCTTATAAAAAGGCTCGAAGGAACTAGCTGAAACCTTTTGCCCTTCCATGTCTTCTGCAATGTGAGGATGCAGCAAGAAGGCACCACCTTGGAGGCAGAGAGCAGCCGTCCACAGACATGGGATCTGTCGGCACCTTGATCCTGGACTTTCCAACCTCCAGAACTGTGAGAAATAAATTACTCTTCTTATAAATGACCCAGTCTCAGGTATTTTGAGATAGCAGCCAGAACAGACTAAGATTGTGGCAGGCCAGTTCTCACTAACAACTGTTTCAGTACTGACTGAGTGGTTAAGTTAAATATTAAAAGCCAGTGCCTTTAATCAAAGGCTGGGATGTAATGAAAGCCCATCAGGAGTTTTTGCCTAGGCCTTTCCTGGGCCTTAAAGAATGACAAAATAACGAAGGCATTCTTAACAGGAACCATTTAGGATTAAACAAATTTTACAGTGGGATGGAAGAAACTCCCCAGGCATCCACAAACAGGATTATTGGGGGTCTGAAGGAACTCCTCAAATCTCTGTGATTTAGCAGGAGACAAGATAAGGGTAATCACCCCAGCATCTGGACTCATTTAGATTAAGTAAATTTACTGAGGCTCCAGAGGAAGGTCTTCAGGACTCAGACCTTAGTTATAGATTAAAAGAAGTTAATCACCTATGTCTTTAGATGAATGCACACTTACACGTAGACATATAGCTTAGAAGATATATATGCTCTGGAAAACTTTGTAATTTTGAATGGGTTTGGTGATAATTTCCAAGCCTTCTCCCTGTAACCAGTTGCAGAAAATAAAACTCTCTTCCTCTCCAGTTCATCTGCATCTCATTATTGGGCCACGAGAAATAGCAGCTCAACCCTCAGTTTGGTCCAGGAAGAAGATGGTGCCCAGACACTGACCCTGGAATTCTAGATGTCTGCCAGGGCTGTGGATGTGGGAGCCCTACTGCTGGGTTTATCCTCTCCTTAGGGAAAACTCGTCACCCCTGGGGGTAGCATTCAGAGAGAAACACGTTAAAGGTCATGCAGGTATGGTTTTTTACCTACTGCAAAAGCCTGCTAAAGTGGTTCAGGAATCGCCTTTTGGCTGCCCAGAGAGGGAGCCTTTTCCACATCATGGTTGCCCTTTGGGTGAGAAAAAATTTCTACTACATATAGGGGAGCCATAAGGTACAGAAAATCTTTATTTAAAAGAAAAATGTTAAACATAAATTGTATTTTGGAGACATAAAAGCATTGTGGTTTGATCAATTACATTAACAGATAACAGAAACTTCATCTCATATTCACAGAGACACGAGCAGAAAAGTTGTGTTCAGAAATCTGTTTGCTTCTATCTTCACAATCCCCATTAACTGTAATGGCTTCTAGGCATTCATTCTAAGGGTAAAACAGACCATCGTCAAGACCACAAGACTATAAAACTGCTATTTTAGGGGCTTTGTTCTTAGGGTCTCTCTATACTAATCTACTCTTATCCCTCCCTGTCACAAGGTGAGAAAATATATACTCTAGACACTTCCTACAACTCCCAAAAGGGTTTACATTCAATACTCATTTTAGGCTGCAGGTTAAAAGTCTATTAGAGAGCTATGTTATGGACCAAAAATTCCTCTTCTAGACTGCATACCATATTTACAAAAACAGACAGTTGGTAGTTTGCCAACTTAATTAGTAAGATGAAATATACATTCTGATATTTACCTATTTTGCCCTTATTCCTTCTAAATTTAATAACTTAGGATTTTAAAACATTCTTTTATCAAACTTAAAAATAGACTGTTCTCTATGTATCTCTATAGCTATAGAGACCAATGTGTTGGATTTTTCAGCCCTATTTTCAAAGATATTTTTCTCCTGGCCTCCATTTTATTGACTAGTAAAATGTTTTTCAGACCATAAATCACATTTTTTTGTGTGTTTCAGAAAATGTGTTCACCATATTTATGGTTAAATACTGCTCATATCCGTTTTTCACAATCCTTCTGTCTTCACTCTGAGAATATACTGACTACTTCCTGGCTTTCTGGAGCATAGGCTTGAGCAAGCTCCCCAAAAGAACAATAAATACTTGGATTCATAGAGATGAACACTCTAACACAAAACTTATTCTCAGGTTTCAAGTTTTGTTTTTCTGAGTTTTGGTGGCACATTATAAACCCAGGTGAACAATATGAAGAGAAGACAACACGCATGTGTCCCAAATGGGAGAATTCATCAATAAACGGGGTAAGTTGGTTTTCGACTTGTGCCCATCGGCCTCTGGACTCAGTGGGAAGTCATGTGTGAAGGATGCTCTCCAGCCCCATAGCTGCCCATGGGAATCATCGTAAAGCAGTCTGCCAGAAGGAATGTGTGAGCAAATGACAAACGGTACCTGACTCCAGGGGAAAATAGACTTGGGGAAGCTTTTAATGCCAAGCTTTATAATGTTTAGGATGAAATACTGCATCAGATTTCTCATGAGGATGGAAACGACCTCAGATCAGTTTAACAAAGCATTCTCCAGCAGAAGAGAACATGCTTGAATAGAAAAAGAAAATAACGTAGTACTTAAAGCTTAAAGAGTGCTTCCTTTTCTACCTATTGCCTGGCTCTCCCCACTCTTTCATCCTGACTCCCATTCTATAACTCCCGGTCATGCTCACTTTAAAAAAATCCCTCTAAATGGATTTTCTGAGTTGGTCCTGAGGGCAAATATCCTGCCCCATTGAACTCAGAAGTACCTTCATGATTGTCAGGCCATGTATCCCACTTTTTTTTTGGTTCAGAAAACATGGGCATCATGTTTATATCTAGTCAGTCATCAATTCCTGCCTTTCCTTTTTTTTTTAGGTATATCTCATCTCCACCCAGCCTCTTTGTTCTCCTTGCCACCATCTTAGCCCAGCTCCTTTTCAGACTCAATTAGTGCCATGATTTTCTTACTATTTCTATCTAGATTGATGGAAATTGAAAGGGTGAGATGGACAAGAGGTATTTTTCAGGCAAAATTTAGATGATCCTGGAATATGATAGAGATGAAAGCGTCAGTGATCATTCTTAAGGGGGTGGCCTGCCTAGAAGAACCTGAGTGATGGCATCAGGGTGACCACCTTCCTTCAGGATGTAGAGAGGAATCCTACTTTCGATGACTAAAGGCACTATACTACCATTTTAGTTGCTTAATTTAATTTAATCCCTTAATTTAATCTAAGACTCTGATTCTAAGGATCTCACCACTATTAGAGCTTGCCTTGACATCCATGTACAATGACCTCTTACGGCATTCCTCTTTATTTTGACATGAAAGCCTATAGAAAATGAAGTAGGACTAGTTGAATTTAAAGTAACTTCCAGTTCCTAAACTCTGTGAATTTTTGTCTTGAATTATTAGGAAATAATGATTCTCTATCTAATCTATCTTTTTATACTTCCTCATTATTTGATTGATTTCAGAATTGAGATCTTTTCATGTCTTTTGTTTTTTCTTATGTTTCATGAATTGGTATGATAAAGGGAACAGAGGAATACTCAATAAATATTATTGATCATACTTTTAATAATGAGGAAAGGCAGATGCTGAGTATTCATTATTTACTTTTAAGGTTCTCTAGGTAAATGAGTGGACTTGATGTTACTTTTCCCTGTTTGTGATTTCCTGTTGCTATGTAGAAAAGAACCTGTTTCACATATTCAGTTAAAAAAATATGCCTAGGGAAGGGAGAACAATCATGTCTTAAGGCTTCTTTAAGTGTATTCCAGAATCCATCTTCCCCTGTGTTTATGTGGCTGAGGTTGATGACCCTGAAATTAGAACAGATTAGGTTTCCTTGGCTTCAATCATCTTTTAAGTGATGAGAATGTTTTCAAAATAGCTCAATCTGGAGAAAACATGACTGAGAAGCCAACTCATTTTAATGCCTCACTATACAGCGATGCACTTTAAAAAAAGTGAATCATTTTTCTGTGGAGTTTACTTTTTCCATTGTAGAAGTAATACACACTCATTACCAAAAATTCAGAAATATAAAATAGAAGGAGTGAAAATTTTTTCCCATATTACAGCTACTCAAAGGTAACTAGGGTCAGCCTTTCAGTTGGTAACTATCTAGCCCCCTTTAATATATGATTTTGAGTACGTGCTTTTTAAAGCAACTTTTTAATGGCTTCATAATACTACATTTAATTGCTACAATGTAACTTCTCCAACATAAATTATTTATTGGGCATCCAGGTGATATTCAATTTTTCATTTTCTTAGATTATGCTATAATGAGCTTCTTTGGGCTTTTCCAGTAATTAGGATTAATTTCTTAGAATAGATTATGCAAAGTGAATGTTTTTAAGGCTCATAATTTTGCCAAATTAATTTTAAAAACTTTTATCAGTATATGAGTGTCTTTTTCATCTCACATTTATCAGTGCAGAATCTCCTTAATTAAAAAGAGACTAATTTTATAGGCAAAAATTGTGTTTAATTTAGTTTTCTTTGATTTCTAGTGAGGCTGACAATTTTCTAGTGCTCATTATTGTTCGTTTGTTGAGTGTTCTCTTTTGTGAATTATTTGTGTGTGTTTTTGGCCACTTATCTATTGCAATCTCAGTGCTTTTCTTTTTTTTTTTTTTTACAGAATTAATTTGGTAGATTCTTCACATCTTGAACATTAATCTTGGTTACATTTATTTTGAATTTTTCCTCTTATTTCCCTTTTTATTGGGGCTATTTTTAATTAACATGCGACATTTTAAACTTTCATATAGCAAAATCATAATTCCCCAACTTTCTTGGTATTTAAAAAGAAAATTCTAGGTTCAGCCTTAGAAATTTGCCTTTCTACATAAACACTACCATCCATCCCTCTACCCTAATTAACTGGAGAGTTAAAAAAAGAGTATGATTAACATTGTTATAGGAAATACGAACCTTGAGGAAACTTAGAAAAATATTTATCCATATTTTGTTGTATGATTAAAGTTAAATTATCTAGAAAAAAGATTTGTGATTTAACTTTTTTATTTCTCTCTCTGAGTCTTGGTTTCATAATGTTTTATGCATAGAAATTGTGCTTAGAGCAGTGGTTTTTAATCTGGGGCATTTGCCTCCAGTGGATGTTTGACAGTGTCTGAGACATTTTTGATGGCTACAGTTGAGTGGGCAGTGGTGGGGGGGTAGGTAGTGATATCTGGTAGGTAGCTACTGATATCTGGTAGGTAGAAAGCAGGATGCTGCGAAACATCCTACAGTGCATAGGAGCATCCACAAGTCATTATCCAGCCAAACATGTCAACAGTGCTGCTGTGGGGGAAGTCCTGCTACGGAGTTAATGCCAGCCAGAAGGATGATTTCTACTATGTACGTGGAGGAGAAACTTAATGTCAAATCATATAAAGTTCCTTTTTATTTCTCTCTCTTTTTTTCTGAGAGTCCATTATTTTCCACTTTATTTTCTCCAGGTATTTTAATGATTTACTTTTGCTCTTCCTCAGGAAATTGTCCAGACTAGGGAAGTGTGTGCGGGCATGGTAACTGTGGCTGACCCTCCCTCCTGTGTTAATGTTCCTGCAGTGGGGACCCAACCATGCACCAGCTCCAGGGTATGCATGGTCTTTATAGTCCCATTTTCGAACCCACTCTTGTTTGGAGTTGATAACCTGGATATCATGGTATTAAAAACTGTGACTATGATATATCTACACAAAACTTAAAGATAGAGCATTGCATTTGGGCAGGGTTAGTTCTTTCAGGCTGCCCTAAATCAGGATGAATGAAAGGAAAGGGGTAAAAAAGGTTTGTCTTTGTCAATTTCCTCAAGGGAGAACCTACAATCAAGTTTAGTGAGTCAGTGCCAATACAAAATCCAGAGATAGAAATGAAATAAACAGTAAACTGTAAATAGAAACAGAAATGAGGAGCTAAATGGAAGCAGAATACAGGAGTTGCCACGCAAACGAAATTGGAACATCTAGGCTAGTTCTTCACTCAGAAAACAGGGCAACAGGCTTTATTTAAGTACATTCCTACTATACAGGATTCTCATTCATATTATGTAAAAAGCAACCATCCAGCCACCAAACAAGCAAGATGACAAAACAAGTTCTCTTTGCAGGCAATCAAATTTGGAGCACAAATTTAAGTGTCTGTGTGTGTGTGTGTGTGTGTGTGTGTGTGTGTGTGTGTGTGTATATCTATATATCTATCTTTTTTTTTTTTTTTTTTGAGATGGAGTCTCGCTCTGTCACCCAGGCTGGAGTGCAGTGGTGCATTCTCGGTTCCCTGCAACCTCCGCCTCCCAGGTTCCAGTGATTCTCCTGCCTCAGCCTCCCTAGTAGCTGGGACTACAGGTGTGTGCCACCACGCCTGGCTAATTTTTGTATTTTTTGTAGATGCAGGGTTTCACAATATTGGCCAGGCTGGTCTTGAACTCCTGACTTTGTGATCCACCTGCCTTGGCCTCCCAAAGTGCTGGGATTATAGGCATGAACCACCACTGGCCAAATTTAAGTACATTTAAACAAATATAAATAAAATTACATTTGATTTTTGCTGTAGGACTTCCGGAGTCTTTACTGTGACCATTTCTACTGCAACTCAAAAAGAGGGGCTTAAAGACCAGCACCTTCTAAACTTACTCTACTTGAGAACCCTTGGTTTTTCATGGGGCATCTTGCAGAGCTGGTGTTGCACCAGTGGCTGTCATTTATGGCTGCAGATTTGAATTAAAACGGTGGTGTGGTGGGCATTGGCTTGTGTAAGAAGCTTCCTAAGTTACTCCACTGTACAGCCAGGGTGAGAACCCCTAATTAATGAAACATGCTTTGGGAAGAGCCCACTGAGATAATTTAGGTCAGTGTTTTCAAACTTGTGAGATGATAAGTATCATCCAAGTGCTCATTAAAAATTTATTTCCTGATGACTTGAGCCCAGGAGTTTGAGATCAGCCTGGGAAGCATGGCAAAACCCTGTCTCTACAAAAATTACCAAAAATTAGCTGGGCATGGTGGCATGTGCCTGCAGTCCCAGCTACCCGGGAGACTGAGGTGGAAGGACCACCTGAGCCCAGGAGGTTGAGGTTGTAGTGAGCTGAGATCATACCACTGCACTCCAGCCTTTCCTCACTCTTGGAGATTCTGTTTCAATCAGTGAGGTAGGCTCCAGAAATACGCATGTTCATCAAGTTCCTTGAGTGATGCTGATGCTAGTCTGAGGAATAATCTGATATTCTTCAGTCTTCAATGTCAGGGCCTTAAAGACAAAGGGAGCATGGCTGGTTGGTGAGAACTGACCAACACTGGAGCATGGTAATCTCGCTTTTAGTTCCTGTGAACTCTATTTTTAGTCGTTTGTAGGTCAACAGACCTCTAAGTATTATTATTATTATTATTTACAAATGAGTGTATCCATTCATTAAGGCTTTCTTCTTTAGTTGCAAACAAGTTTTGGAAATAAAATAGATGGCTGGTCTTGAATACTGAAAGACAAATACTGGGGAGAGAGAGAGGGAGGGAAAGAGAGAGAGAGAGATCTCAAATCACAATAAGTAGAGAAAACCTGGATTGTACTAAAAAGATCTGACTTAAGATAGAGCCTTTCATACCGCCCTAAGTCAGAAACTATGCTTGGTTTCCTGTGGACTCTGTGGCTTATGGATCTGCTGAGTCTAGAGGTGAACTCCAAATTGGGCAGGATCTTGAGGCAGTTATTATTTCATTGATGTAAAATATTGCATTAATCCTGTTTATACTTTTTATCTGATTTCCTTCTAGACTTTTAAAGCCCAATTCAGCAATTATTTTAAGGAGAGGTCAAACAAGCAGGCTGAAGCTACAAAAGATTATTGCTGTTTTGGTTAAAGCAGCTAGGAGCTGTTATCAGCTAAGTGGTAGGTTTGACTCTAAGTGAAGTGAAAAGTCAGAAAACATTTATTATCTGGGCAACTCTCTTTAAGAAAAAATCAGCTATCTTCTTGTTGTGTGGGGATCAAGAACTTGCTTACCCTGCCTGGTCTGACTGAAAAAAAGATCTCCAAATGGGTCTTCTAGAATAGAGAGTTCTGATAAATGTTGGTTCAGCCATTGCTCAACACATTTCCCTGTGCCTGACTTTTTGCTAGGCAATAGTATGTTAACAATGAAAGTCTTGGTTACCCGCTAGGAGATTAAGTGTTGCAGTGTCTCCCAGTGTCTCAGAGGCTCCTATTGTTTATGGCTCTACCCCAAATCTCTGCTAAGTGTGTGTATTAGTCTGTTTTCACACTACTATAAAGAACTACCTGAGAATGGGTAATTTATAAAGAAAAGAGGTTTAATTGACTCAGTTCCACATAGCTGGCGAGGCCTCAGGAAACTTACAATCATGGTGGAAGGGGAAACAGGCACATCTTACATGGTGGTAGGTGGCAGGTAGAGAGGGAGGGGGAGAGTGAAACCACCACTTATAAAACCATCAGATCTCATGAGAACTCACTCACTATCACAAGAAACAAGAACAGCATGGAGGAAACCGCCCCCATGATCCAATCACATCCCACCAGGTCCCTCCCCTGACACGTGGGGATTACAATTCAGATTACAATTCGAGATAAATTCAGGTGGGGACACAGCCAAACCATATCAGTGAGCACAGCTGTGTTCTGTACCAAAACCCCACCTTTCTTGTGTAAAGCTGATTAGACCTGAGTCAAGGCAGCCATTCTTAGGCTGGCCAGGAAACAAGACACAAGTGGTGCAGCACCACGAGATCAGAGAGACCAAGCAAACTCATCCTTCAGGAACTTGGAATCGGGAAGCTGAGACGTCGTACCTGTTAGCACCAGAGGCAAAAGATAAAAGGTGACCTCGAGAGCTGGGTAATGTAATGGAGGCTGGGATAGCCTGTGGATTAAGCAGAAGTAGGGAAATCCGGCAGAGAGAGAGAGAGGGAGAGAGAGGGAAGGATGGAGTGATGAGCAGGCAGGCACAATGATGCTGTGACCTTAGGTCTCTGAGGGGGGAGATGGAAAGAAGGGCCTTCATTTCTGATGGCTTTTATGTTCCTGCTCCTATGAAGCTCATTTTCTCATGTGTCTGTGAGGCCCTCTGCATCCTTACAATAAATCTCTCTCTGCTTGGTCTGGCTTGCAGGCGTCTCTACTCTTTGCAGAGAAAGTAGAATACCAAGCAGAAAACAGGCAGTTACTAAGTTGTGTTAAGTGCTGTGATGGGGAAGGTACCGGGGGCTACAGGAGGATAAGGGGGACATCTAGTCAGGATTGGGGCAGGCAGAGACGGATTCCTGGAGGAGATAATATCTAAGATGGCGAGTGAAGGACAGGGAAGAGTTAGCTGGCCTAAGGGAACTGGAAAATAATTAGGGAAGAGCATAGGCAAAGGTCTAGTGATGAGAGGAAGCAGGATGTTCTCAAGGAAACCTGAGAAGTTCAGAATGCTGGCAGAGACAATGAGAGTTTCAATTGATGAGACTGGAGAGAGAGAGAGAGAGACAATGAAGGGCCTTGTGAATCTTGTTAAGGACTTGGAAATTTATCTCAGGAGAGAGGGGGAAATATAGAAAGACATTAAAAGGAGGACTTTAATGTGATTTGCTTTTAAGAAGGATCACCTTGGCTGCAGTAAAGAGAGACTAGGTTGGAAGCAGGAAGACCAGTTGGGAGGACATTGCAGCTAGCTGGGTGAGAAGTGATGGAGTTCTGAATTAGAGAGTGGCATTGTGGGTGGAGAGAAGTGGATAGGCTCCGGCTGTGTGGAACCTGGAGCTGCCACAGCTTGATCATTGCTTAGAGATGAGGGTAAGGGTCAAAACAGAGCTTCCAATTTGGGGTAGTTTCATGAAGATAGGTTTAAAGTGTGCCGCAGGGATTAGAGAGATCAGCTGTATTGGAGTAATGGGGTAAAGGCGGTTGAGGAATGAAGGGAGACGAGGAAGAAAGGACCTTGAAGGGAAGTTTGACTGTGAAGGAAAAGGGAAGATGCTGGGGTAGGGTGAGGGGATGGCGACACCTGAAGAGAGGAGCAGCAAGGAGTTGGTAAAAATTACAGGAGCCCAGCCCTCAGGATGCTCACAGCTTTGGGACTGTGACATTGGGGGACAAAGACATGAGTTCCATGGAAACATGCAGGAAGAACTAGGGGAGCTCAAGCAGTTTCCAGGAGGAGGGGACATTGAGTTGGGGCTAAGAATTAGTGAAACTGTTGGATGGAGAAAGAGCAGAAAAGGGGAAGATGCATCACAGAGAGAAAATGGAACATGAAAGGATTTTGAGGAGGGCAAGGTGTGGGCTCCTGGAATGGGAACTGGGTGTACCTAGAGTGCGGGGTGCAAGGAAACCAGGGTGGAAGTCATTGTAAATACCTTTATTCACCACGTTCCATCTGTAAGGATCTTAGGAAATGTAATAACAGCCAACGTACTGAACTTAAAGGGCTTGCAATGATGCAGGCTTTTATGAACTACTCTGAGAGTAATTTTCCTTAATATTTGATCTGTTCTGGGCCTTGAGGAAAGTGATGTGTACATACAATGTATTTTTCCCCTCTTTCACCCACTCTCACCTGGCCCCACTGCTTCCTCTGTGCTTAAGCCTGTGGGTGGAAACTCAGTGCACAAGCTTGTATCTCTCTTCTTGGGCTGATGCTACACTGATTTATTACTTAGGTCAGGTACCTAATGTTTTGCGTACATCCTTGCCCTCTCACCGTTGTCAGTGAGTCAATTTTTATTTTGGAGGCTGCAGACAATTTACAGTAATTAATGTGCTAAGGACAGCAGCTGTAGCAGTCATTAATTCCTTAATCTTGGAGTAGAGAGAGAAATGGATTACAGATAAATAGAGCTTATGGCATTTTCTCCTGAGAACAAACCCTTTAAAAACAGCGTATTCCTGCTGCAGTGTGGGGGTGGTAGGAAGATGAGAGCCTTTTTCCTTTTCCTTGGGGAATTATTCTTGCAAGAAGGAAGGAGTGGGGATGAGGTGAAATGGAGGTTCAGTTAAAAATGAGAGAAAAACGCTGACCCTGGACACCGGTAGAGGCTTCTGCCTTCACCCCCAGGACCTTGTGACCTCTGGGTGAAGATTCGCCATTTGAGCTTCTATGAGTGTTTCGTGCACACATCAAATCTCTGCTTAGGGAGCCAAGCTGGGGGAGGAGGAAAAGAATGCACAACAAACAAACCAGATTCTCTTCTGTTGAGTGAGCCATTTGTTTCAAAATGAGATGAGAGATTGCTCAAAGATGTTAATGGAAATCTTTGCAAACACGGGCTTAAAGTTTCTTCAATCCATAGAGTCACTCAGCCATAAATATGTGTGGGTTATTTAGATGTTTCCAAAGGTTACTTGAAAATTGCCTATTTTTCCACAAAGAAGTGAGTGTTTATTGCTTCAAAAATGTGCCTCAGAGTGAATGCTTTTCTTATTTGAGATGGGAAAAAATACTGAAATAGGTGTAATGCTGAGAAAAAAGTTTGCCTGGAGAGCAGGGAGGTGTCTGGAGCTAGGAGTTTAGGATGGTTGCAGAAGGTATGTTTCCTCCGAGCCTTAGAATAGAAGAAAAAGCAGGCAATATTGTCTTTATGTGGGATGAGCAAGTGTTGGTCTCTTAGTGTATCAGATAAAAGGCTACAGTGAGGTGGGCTGGGGGACAGAGCTGGGGCTTTGGGGCATTGGGTTTCTACAGGAGACGTTTGGAACCTGAAGAGAATAATGCCTCTTTGAGCACTTTCTAACTGCTACCTGACAGAAAAGAGAGCTTTGCAAGGCTCTTGATGGAATCGTATTAATTCATGGCTGGCTCTACTGCATGACCATTAGTAGATCCCAGTTTTTATTCTTTGGGAGCTCCTAGAATAGAGAATATTTTCTGGCCACTTAGTTACTGGGTCCCAATGACATAGAGGCTGGTGTAATGCTGGGAAAAGGGTTTGACTAGAGATCAGGGAATGTAGTTCAGATACTTCTTTTTGTGGACTACTCATATGGCCTTAATAGGGATTGAATTTATGTCAAAATCAGGGTTGGGCCCAGGGCTTATTAAGTGTGATTGTAATTTTTGTACTTGTAATGGGGAGAGTGTGGAAAATCACCTTTCCATGATATCCTTTTCATGGATATCATGGAAATTAAGGGAGATTGCGAGATGACATTTGCTGAGGACCAACAATATTCAGTGCTATGCTAGGCATTTTTCCTATAGTATTTTAATTACACCTCAGAATAATCCTGAAGGGTATTTCCTCATTTTTACATATGGGTGAAGAGATTTGCCCGAGGTTAAAAAGAGAAAGAGAGATTCAGACATACGGGAGTGTTGCCCTTCTTCACACTGCCCCACAGAGCAACACAGGTGAACGCAGCTGAACATCCCAGTTCCCTGCAGTAGTCCCGAAATGTGGAAAGTCAATTGGAGTTATCTGGCTAGATGCTATCTGCTCCTTTGGTGATGCATCTAAGGGTTTATAACTGTGCAGATCACCCTTCCTCTACCCTCTTCCAGGACTTCCCAGCAGGCTGTAGAAATCATAGTCCACACTGTTGATCAAGATGATGGAGTTTTCTTCTCTCCCAAAGCCCTGAGGACTGAGACCAAATGCAATCATCACGTTGTGTTATTATTTGTACACTAACTGAAAAATTTGACTCTTTATAAAAATATAGACAAATACGTTGTCTGCTGAGAACTGAAGATAAGAAATAAACCAAGTTATTGGCAACATTTCCCATGGGTTCCACTTGAACAAGAATGAATCATTCATTGGATATTCATGGCAACCACCACCAACAACCTTGCTTCTTTTGGAAACTTTAAAAAGAAATTAGATTTTTGTGGCACTGCAGTGAGAGGAAATAATAAAACAAATTAATTTTGAATTCACACAATGTCAAAGTCCTTGTTTAGTGTGGCTTAGATTCATGCATCTGTTTGAGGAGACGCCTTTCTTAGTTGTTTACTCTGATGTTTTGAACCTTTTGCAGTATACTCCTGCTTAGGCAGGCTGGTGTCAGATCTTAAATTTAATCAATTTTTTTGCCCTAAAGACTGACTTGATTTGTAGGGCTTTATACATAGTAGTTTGTTTACAATGCATTTAATAAAGCTAGCACTAAATTTGGGCCATTTTTCCCAGGTCAACAGGCAGTATAGAATAGTACAATACTAACAGTACAAGGGTTTCATTGGAATTCAGTTTTGATCGTTAAAATGGATAGAAGATAAACTGCTTAGCAGCTCCTTACAACGACGTAAATTGGATGTCCAACAGTGCAAAACTCCAAAATGCATCTTTTAAACCTGCAAAAAGAAGCATTAGAAGCAGAACTTAGAATTCGTTTCAATTGAGTTGACAGTAATCCCAGATACAAGGGAGTGTCCTAGGTAGTATTCATTTCTTTGGAAATTGATATGGCTAAAACCAGCCAATAGTGCTGGAAAGAAAAGCTATCATATTCATGAACTGTCTTTGAGTTTTTGTGCTTTAATTTAAAATTGTTTGTTAAAGTCATGCTTGACTCCACCATGAGAGTGTTGACTAACTTTGGCTATCTAGTAAAACTTCAATAAAGTTAAATGTAAGTTATAAACAGTACTAATGCTAATTAATGATATTGGTATGTGTGGTTAAAAAGCAAACAATTGGTTTCTTCCTTGATGTGTAAATATATTTTATAAATTTGCTACTGCTGCTTCTTTGCTCAAGGTAGAAGTTTCCTTTGTGATAAGAGAAAAATTTCTAAGCTATTTCATGCTCCCAAATCTATAATAGCTAAATATACTTAAACTGTAGGAATATACCCAAATTCCTGAGCTGGCATTCAAGGACCTACCTTGCCAACCTCATCAGCAGGATAATTTGAAGGCAATACTTCCTGTTGTGTGTGTGGACCCAAATTCTCCTAGCCTAGAATATTATTACCTTTCATCTCTAATTTTTTTACCCATCTCTCTGATCTTCTTTGACACCAAATATGTGCCATCTTTTCTGACACCAAGTGATTCTTCACTTCTCAGACACTAGCTGGGTATCTAAGAATTCAGTTCAATTCTAATGCTAACTCCTGGAGTGAGCACAGGCCCCACAGGTTTGGCTCAGTCCCACAAGACTGCCCTCACTAACTCTTCTGTACCTTGGTTGCAGGGGTGAGGGGTGATTAACCCCCAAGTGCGAATTCTTATGAAGCAGATGGTCTCTAGTAAGGTCCTGCCCTTGGCCAGGTTTTCTTCTCCTCTTGAAGGGAGGCCAGCAGGGATCATTTTTATGACCTAACTTCTTCTTTCACCTTTCCTGGGGTTTACAGTTTACCTTCTGGGGCACTAACGAAGGTTCTGGCCAGCTTTATGCATACCTGCATCTTTCAAAGTTCTCTCCTTCCCCAGTCCATTACCTAGTGGTGAGGGCTAGGAGGGATCACCCTAGTCATGTTCACAGAACTTTCTTTGACATGCCTGACTCAGTTTATTGGTCTTTATGAATGTTCTCCAAATTTCCCACACAGTGGACAGAGGGATTACGAAATGTGTTTGCATGTGCATGGGTATAGTCTCCTCACCCATGTACTTCAGCTAGGTTTGTTCTATTGTCCCAGACACCCACGTGCTCATATGAAAATAATCTCAGGGCATCAGTGTGGTCTTTGGAAGCAAACCCACTTGAGATAGAATTCTGATTCAGTTACCTACCAGATAGGTCCTCTTGGCAAGTTCTTTAAGCTTTCCTCTATTCAGTTCTTACTCTGTAAAGTGGGGATTATGACAGTAGCCAACCAAAAAATTTGTTATGAAGATTAGATGAGATAGAGCAGATCATGGATTATGTTTATATTTTCTCTTTCTTTCTTTTTTTTTTTTTTGAGGCGGAGTCTTGCACTGTTGCCCAGGCTGGAGTGCAGTGGCGTGACCTCGGCTCACTGCAAGCTCCACCTCCTGGGTTCAAGCAATTCTCCTGCCTCAGACTCCCAAGTAGCTGGGATTACAGGTGCCTGCCACCACGCCTGGATAATTTTTTTTTTTATTTTTAGTAGAGATGGGGTTTTACCATGTTGGCCAGGCTGGTCTCAAACTCCTGATCTCGTGATTTGCCCACCTTGGCGTCCCAAAGAGCTGGGATTACAGGCATGAGCCACTGCGCCTGACTATATGTCTGTATTTTCTTTAATCCAGGTGTGTGTATATCAATTACTGCTAATATCCATGACAGCTGAGGGCTATCACTTACCGGTATGAATTAGTCATTCGACAAAGATTCATTGAATGCTTACTATGTGCTCTCTCTTCTAGGCCCTGGAACAAAAGTGAACAAAATCAGAAATGATCTCTATCCTCATGGAGCTTATAGTCTGGTAGGGAAAGAGACATTAATCAAGTGATCACAAAAATATGTGTACAACTGAAAACTGTGATGTGTAATAAGGAAAAACTATGATACTATGAGGGTATTTGATTTGTAAGATGGTTAAGAGTAAATTAAGTGAAGTCAGAGGGACTAGTATATGCAAAGGTCCTGTTACAAAGGTAACTGTGGTTTATTTGAGGATTTATAAGAACATCAGTGGGGCTGGAACTGATGGAAAAGTAGGAGATAATTTTATGAAATAAGACTGGCAAGGTAGGTACAGTAGGCGGAAGAATGCACCCCTACAACCCTAAATTTCTACATGCTAATCCCTGAAAACTGAATATGTTACCTTACGTGGCAAAAGGAACTTTGTAGAAGTGATTAAGGCTAAGAATCTTGAGATGGGGAGACAAACCTAGATTATCTGGGTGGGGCCTGATTTAATCACAAAGGTCCCTAGAGTGAAAGAGGAACACAGGAGTATCAAGAGAGAAAGAGAGAAAGAAATGGAAGATGTTTTTGATTTTTAAGATGCAGGCCTTCCCAGAAGTATTGGCTATAATTTTAGTGACAACCATTGCGGGAAGTATTTGACTTTTGGCTTGGAAGTTTCATGGTCCAGATGAATCAATAATATATGACACTTATTTTACATTCCCTCCAATCATGTCTATAAAAGGCAGTCTTTAAAAAGGCCCACCCACATTCAGGCAGAATCAGATGGTCTATTAATTCAGATTTGAATTAAAAACTCTCACCTCTCTTGCTTTAGCTGTTCAGGATGCAGCCTGTGTCTAATTATTAAAATGAACACTTACAGTGACCACAGTCCTGTATCTAATACTCCATATGGCACCAGAGTGAAGACTCTCGACATGTGTACTTTTGTCTTTGGTCATTTTAGACTGAAAATACAATTAGACTTGGCTGTCAGACAGATGAAATCTGTCATATTTCTCCTATAGGACCTGCACTCGATCCAGATCAATAAATACAAAACCACTTGCACATAAATTGCAAACTAAGCTTGCAGCTTCAATACATGTGGGCTTAAATTCACTTGTATCTGGCATACACTGCTTCCTGGCCAAACAGTCTGTTTCTGTGATTAGTACAATTTCATAGCTGGACCAGAAAAACAAGACTGAAAACCACTATAAAGCAGCAGATGGCTTTGCCACACCTTCCCTGTAAGGGCAGTTCCCCAGAAAATGGGGTTTTAGCTGCTTGCTGTATAGAATGGAACTTTAAAATTGGGATGAGTTCAAGTCATTTCCTGAGCATAGCTCCATAAAGCTGTTGTTATTTTTTTCCTATTCCTTCTCGAGATTTCAAACTGAATTTGTAATAAGCTTTGCCTGGACACGACTTGTCACAGGGAAGAGATGTGATTTATATACAGAGATACAAGCTTCTCTGTAGATGCTTCACAGAGCCAGCTTTTTTACTTGATGATACATACATGTTGGATTGGCTTCATGAAGAGGAGAGTGAGATGTGCTTACACTTTTTCTCTAGAGACTGCTAATCAAGGTAACATTTATTTGGGGGAGAGGTGAATGCTAACACCTACTTCTCCCCCTCCTCAGCCTAACTTAAAGACCCAATTTCACACAAAGGTTTTTTTTTTTTTCTAGTGAAACATTGAATTAGGCTGTAGAATTTGCTGCTGTAGGATATTAAGTGAGGCAATTAACCTAGACTATTCAGAGGTAGGAATTAGACATTTCCTGTATATGAATAAGAAGAACATCTCTATTTTCAGGAGCTACTGTGGAATAGAAACCCCAAGCACATATTCCAAATATGGTGCTTGTTAAGCAAAACCAGGTCAAGAAAAAAAAATCCCTCGTAACACATAATATAAAAAGACATGTCAAGTAGGTAGTGCAACTTCCTCGAAGGCCACTTCTACTGGAGTTAGAATATATTAAATGGATGGCTAAATCCAACTGGCTCCATGCCCCTTTACTTGCTTAGTCTGGCCATTCCTTTTTTGGGAATTCAAGTAACATTGCCTGATGCTGCCTACTCTGAGGTGCTCATGTTATAATAGAAGCTTCTCATGTGTGGTAAATAGGTGTCTTTTCTTTGAGGGCTATTTAAAACCAATTAATTCAAAATAGGTGGAACAAACGATACATATTGTGTTTGCAGGACATGTATTTTGGAGAGAATAATATGATTTGGATAAATTAGTCCTAAATTCATGTGTTTAGATTTGGTTTTAATTATAGTAAATAAAATCTGACCAAGGTTTGGATTGATATAGACTAAGGATCACAGTCTTTCAGATTTTGTAGGGAGGTAAAGGGAATGAATAGGCCAAGGGCCAAGAATAAACCTCAGCTTTATAAAAACAAAACTGTTTTACCAACCAACGGTAAACAAACATTTACCAATGTTTACTCATTTTACCAACTAGAGATTAATTTACATGAACAAGCAAGTTTTAAAATACTCTTTCCCTCCAAAAAACCCAGCCATGCCTCTCTGTATCTATCAGGGTCTTAACAGAAAACAAATGAATGCAAATTAGGATAATTCAAGAAAAATCTAAGGAACCTTATGTACAAAGGTGTGGGTGAATGGAAACTGGGAAAGACAATTCAGGAAGCTGGAGTCAGAACAGTTGAGCTCTTACCACTCCTGAGATGAAAGGGGGTAGGGAGCAAGAGGTTACTAAACCAGGTTACCAAACCCAGTTACCAAACTGTAAAAGGAGAGCACTGTAGAGCATGATTCCTGGGTTACCTCTAATAAAGGAACCGGTCATCTCCAGGAAGCCTCACAAGGAAGCAGCCAGGGAAATACATGCCCCAACCTTGTTTTCCTTTTCTCCTTCCTCTGATTTCCTGTCAGGCTTCCCATTGGCCAGAGGGTACAGGAGCTCTGAGTAAAGGATAGTGCGTGCGGAGGGGCCAATGGAGGACATATTATGCACACTAGCCCAATTTACTGGGTGAGAATAGAGTCAACTAAATAATCTGTTACCTCCCTTATAATGCTCAGCTGAGGCTGGCTACGCTGCAGGAATGAAGGTTGGAAGCAAATGGGCATTTCTAGAAGGATGAGCTTATGTGCAAGAATTAGGTACATACAGCCAGAGCATAGCATAAGGGGTCTGAAGGACTTGATAGCTAGGGAAAAATATTTGCATGGATGCTTAAAGGGTAAGCCTTCAGGTGGGAGAGCCGTAAGGATGCTTTGTACAACATTTTGTAGTTGGAAAAAGTATCACAGAGCCCACTCCCCTAATTTTACTATGATAGTGACTGAGGCCCAGAGAGGTGGTGGGATTAGCTCAGGGTTATGCGGTTTGTCATGGAAGAGTCAGAGCTCAAATCTTGCTCTCTTAACTTGCTGCCACTCAACTTTTCTCTGTTCCATGCTGCCTCCTAAAGAAACAAACCAACATAAAATTTTACCAAGGTTCCTACTGACAGCATCCACTCTGTGTGCTGTGTTTTAGAAGTCATTTCCTGTGCTTCAGGTGGAAAAATAGGGCTGGGTGTGGTGGCTCATGTCTGTAGTCTCAGCACTTTGGAAAACCGAGGTGCGAGGATCACTTGAGGCCAGGAGTTCGAGACCAGCCTGGGCAATGTAGTAAAGCCCCATCTCTACAAAAATTTAAACGTATATATATATATATATACACACACACACATATATAGACACACATACACAGAAACTAATGCTTATTATATATTCTATGTAGCTGTCTATGGGCCTACCTATCCATCTATTTATCTAGCACTGTGCTAGGTGTTAGGATAATTATAAGGGAAATAACAGTCATTTCTGTTTTGCTGCCCCTCAAATAGTTTACCAGCTAACCTGTCCAATGCATGGCCACTGAGTGTCACCCTGTCTGTTTTCTGTGGGGTCTTCCTTGTTTTGGTGAGAATCTACTCTTTATTCTTCTCTTGGTCCTCCAGCATGTCTTCTTCACAGAAACATATCCTCTTTGACTCTTTTGTTTTTTGGCTTCTATGATGTCCTTTTCTTTATGTCCTGTTTTGCTTTCACTCCTTCTCACTGCTCCTTCTCGTTCTCTTAGTGGGTTTGAAAATTGGTGCTTCCTGAGTTCTGTGCCCAGGTCTTTGATCTATGAGCTTATTGCCTGAGAGGAGTAATTATCCTGAAAGAAACCGGACCTGAAGCCTCCAGTTTGCCGAATATATGTTGACTGATTTGTAGGAACCCCGAATGAAGGAGAGTGAGACATCTACAAGTGATGTGTGTGCTTCTGAGATGTAAACAGAAACATCAGAAGCAATAACATCAGAAGGCAAGTGTTATATTGGGAATTCCCTTAATCTGATAATTACTCCATTGAAGGCATTGCTGTTGAAATCGTGCTTTGGAGCTGAAATGTCCTTCTGAAGAATCCTTATGGCCACAAAATCTTGGAACTCATGAACATTTGTAAACAAAAAAGTAGAGATGTTGAAGAAATGATATGGGGCAGAAAAACTAGGACCTTAGACAAAACCATAAATGATGCATTACATTAAGTTAAATAAGATGGAAGTTCCATCATATTCCACACCGAATTGTGAGCATATACCAATATGTTCAGTAATCAATGGAGCACATAGTTTCTGGCATAGAGGTACAGATGCACTTCTTATAAGTAAGTTACTGAATGAATAAGTTAAGACAGAGATTAGGCCATAATCAGTTTGTTCCACCATTTTGCTTTTTATTTACATGGAAAAATTTTTACCATTTTTTCCATTTTAATGTTTCAGAGCACACAAATGATGTGAATTCCAAGGTATCTGACAGCAGAAAGTTGGTGGTGAGGCTTACACAAAGAATAGAGCTTTGTGAAACTGAAATCTCACAACAGACCTTTATCGTCATTACAACATAAGCAGATCTTCAATAAGAGTTCCCTATTGAAACATACAATGATATGCACCGAATGGGACCAGCACAGCAAAAAATACCCCATGGAGCCATCACCTTATTCTTATCTAGCTGGAACCTCGCTCTTGCCACATCCTTTTTGGGGAACCACAATTTTCCTTGATTTTACTTCCAAGAAACAGGGGCTGTCTTTACCAGGCCATGAGACTTTACAGAAGATTATGAAGCTTAGCTGCTGTTTTAAGATTCAGACATTTGCTTTATGCTCTAGTACCTAGAGAGAGGGGGAAAAACGAGACAGACTTTTCGTGTCCATAAAGTACAACAGGCATTAAAGCTAATGTGCGGAGGAGAGATTTGGGCTGTGTAGTTGGCTCCTGCAGGACAGGCGCCACACCTTTCAGTTGTGCCTTTGCTAATGGAGAAGGGACCAGGTAAATGCTCCCATGGGAGGGGGTAAAGTTACCACCCACTGGCCTCATCTGGGGGTCAACATATAAAAGTGGGTGCTTAGGAGAGTCAGCAGGTCTGATTAATACCCTCTAGGCAGTACTTATGAAGCAGTTTTGGGCCCATCAAATGGCTAATAATAAAGTACAATGGTGCAATTTGTATTTTTATTGCAGGCCAATTAAGAAGGGGGAGAGAGAGTAGTAAGTAAAATGACATGTCCTTGCAAAGCAGAAACAACAGTCATAGCAGCAGAAGGGGGACAGAGGGGTTGCGGAAAGGAAACAGCCAGCTACTTAACAGCAGTTAAAAGGGCCAGAGCTCTCCTGTCTTATTGCCCACCTCCTGCCAGAAATTTCCCTTTTCCTGCTGGTTTGTATAGCAGTGGATGTTTTCAAAGGGTAATAATCTGTGTGGTAACATATGTTCATCCAGACAGAGATGGGTGAGTTTAAAATCAAATAGTATTTTTTTTTAAAGTGTTGTTTGAAGAGAAAATGGTGATTCATGACATGCTTATCAGAATTCTGTAAGGCTTGCATTCTTGGGTTTTGTGATTTAGCCTTCCTAACTTACATCTGTTTCTAGTCTGCCTTTTTAAAACCAGAAAAAAAATATTCTGGAAAACTTTACCATTTGGTTATTATTTTTTCCAGTCTTCAGTGAAGATAAGTTTTTATAAAACTTGGGTTTATAAAAAACATGCCATTTCATGTTGGGATGTACTAATAACTTTATGAAATTCTCTCAGGACGTCTTCTCACCAGGCTGTTTCTTAAGTTACTATTGTTTTCTCTGGGCACCTGGATTGCTAGAGAATAGGAATAAGAAGAGAGAGATGTAGAAAGGAGAAGAAAGCAACAGAGAGGGAAGTAGAAAAGGGGGCTTGGGGAAATAAATCAGGGACTACTTTATATAGTAGAAGAGAGAGAGGAAGGTGGAAAGGCAGCATCGGGAATCAATGTAAAATGACAGTAATTTAAATAACCAAAACCAACATCTTCCTGGTTAAAACAAATGGTAGGAAATAAACTAAATACTGTTGACTGCCTTTGGGGAGAGGAAAAGAGAAGTGGATAGGGTAAATATTTCAAAGTTTGTGCCTGTTCAAACGTATTCATTCACTTATGACATGATGAACTCTGACAGAGTGAAAAAAAAAAGGAGAAGCAATTTTCTAGGTAATTTAGGTCCCAAATCCTACTGTTGGCGGGGGAAGGGGGGGAAGCACTGAAGGCAAGAATAGGGGTGAAATATCAATTCCCAGCTGGCAGTTTACATTGATGGAATTCCCTGGATATTTTCTCATGCATCTCTCCTCCCTCCCGTTCTATTTTTACTTTCCTTTTTGAAAGACAAATTTTAGCTTTATTTTTTTTTCCTGTTTATAAAAATATAACCCAAATATCAGCCTTTTCCTTTCCTGTCTCAAGATCCTCATCCTCTGGAATACTTGGGGAAGATGGTGTTTGTCTCACTTGTCTTACATCTGTTTCTGAGTCGTCCCGCTTGCAGCCTGAGTCACGCGCAACTCTTGGTTCTGGGTTAAAAGGAATAGTTATGTGAAAAGAGAGAAGGGGTGAGTGTTATCTACTCCTCACGATCTTACTCCCAGGTTATAATGAAAGTGGATCTCAGAATTAATTCTACCACGTAGGCAGATATTCAATAAAGAAGCAACCGTTAGCAAAACAATATATTTAACCTGTTCCATAAATTCATTGAAGTCCTGTAAGTTTTCCTCTTGGGGGCTGTAACCATAACTTCATTGAAAGGTTCACTTGGGGCAAATCCTATAGCTCAAACAAGATTCGCTTACCCTTATAGCTGGCAATAGGCAACCGGAAGTCTTTAAACTGATGGCTGAATGCAGGACTCTTCAGGGATCAACCCTGAAAATGCAGGCCTCGGGCCTCTCTAAACACTTTCTTTTCTTTTTTTTTAATGATGTTCATGCAAGAGGAGAAAGCGTCTCTGAAACATTTTAGTCAATTTACAGATCTTGAATTCCACAAATTTCACCAATGATTGCCCATTTCTAATATCCATTATGTTCATTAACAACCATTAATTTCTCCTATGAAAACCCATTTCTGAAATTCAGTATGCTAATTAGCAAAACCTTTCTTGTTGATTAGAGATGTGGATTACAGAAGGGCTTTTAGTAATCGCCTCTGGAGTGTGGCCTTTTTGATAAAATGCTAGCTGACTGCCCTAGGGTGTGGAGTTCTGATTAGAACAATTGTCTCCTCCTAGGGTGTAGCCTAAACGATAAAGAAAAAGGCACAACAACCATGTAATCTATATCACACTATATTTGCTAAAGTATTTAGTAAATCACAGATACCACAGCACATGTGAATACAAATCTTTATATTGTAGGTTGAAATGGCCATATAATATTAATTGTGTATGTACTGTAATAACTAACTCCCATTTGTTGGAACTTCAGGTTGTTTCGAGCTTTTCACTATAATAATTAATGACTTGAGGATCCTTATTTTTACTCACCTGTTTAGTTCCTTTCTTAAAATGAATTCCTAGAAAGGAATTGCTGGGTCAAAGTTATGCATGTTTTAATTGTGATACACATTGCTAACTGCTTTCCAGAAAGGTTATTCTTCAGATGGAAAGCATATGAGAATGTGCATTTTCTTGTACAGCTATCAATATTTGTTATTGTCAATATTCTTTTACATATATATATCTTCTAATATATATATATATATATTAGAAGATGGGGTCTCACTCTGTTGCTTAGGCTGGCCTCAAACTCCTGGGCTCAAGCAATCCTCCTGCCTCAGTTTCCCAAAGTGCTAGGATTACAGGCATGAGCCACCATGCCCGGCCATCAATATTCTTAATGTTTGCTGGTCCCATGGTCATCTCATTCAGTCTTATGGCTTTAAATTCCACCTATATTCTCAGGATTTGTAAATGTACATCTCCAGCTCACAGATGGAAAAGTGCTTTGGAAATCTGCCTTGTTGCTCTCGCTATCTGCCATCTCAACTTGGATTCCTAGTGAGTATCTTAAAGCCAATGTGTCCAAAACAAGACCCCTCAACCTCTCCCCGACGTTCTCCTTCCCCCAAATCTACTTCACTTGCAGCCTTTCCTTCACAGTTAATGGCCACTCTGTCCTTCCAGTTGCCCAGGCTGAAGATCTTGATGCCATCCTTGATTCTTATCTTTCTTACAGGTATCATTCACTTCCAATTCCCTGTTACCACAGAGCTATGCCGCCTTCATCTCTCACCTGGATTATTGCACTAATCCCCTCACATTGACCTACTTCCAGAAGAATCTATTCTCAGCAGGGAAGCCAGAATGATTCTGTAAGATTGTAAGATAATATCTGTAGTCAAGACCCTCCAGAGCTACCCCACGTCATTTGGAGTAAGAGCCTGAATCCCTACAGTGGCCCACAGGCCGTAGCTGATGGTCTAGGTGATTACTCCTCCACCTATGCTTCCTCCTCCACTTATGCTTACTGCTTGTACTCTAAACTATTTCCACACTTACTCTTGTTTCCCACACCCCTCTGGCCACATGGGCCTCCTCGCTGTTCCTGTAGCATACCAAGTGGCTTGGCCCAGATCACTGCCTCCCAGATTATCAGCATGGCTCATTCAACTAGACCTGTCCTGATCATGCTATTTAAATTGCTACCTGTCCCACCTTCCAGCATTCCTATTCCTTTCTAGCTTTATTTCACCTCATAGAACTTGTTCCTTAATACATCATGCAGTTTACTTACTCATCGTATTTCTTATCTTGATCCAATAGAAAGTAAATGTCACAAGGGCAGAGATTTTTTTTTCCTGTTTTCTATAATCCTGTATTCCCAGCTCTCAGTGCAATGCTTGTCACATAATGGACACTTGAAAAATGTTTTCTAAAGAGATGAATAAATGGATTTGATAGGTAAAAAATTAAATCTCATTTTATTTGCATTTTTAATTACTAGTGGTGAGATTTTAATAATCTTGGTGTACGGAAGGCCTTTCTGAGCTTAAAACAAAATTCACAAAGCATGAAGGAAAAAGTTGATAGTTTTGACTTTTTACAAATTAAAAAGTCCTCCATAGGAAAATAATGCTTACCACAAACAAGACTGACAGATAGGAACTCCACTTGTAATGCATACTTCAGAAATAAAGGTTAATAGCCCTAATACACAAAGAGTGCTTACCAATCAATAAAAAAGATGAACAATATAATAGAAAAATGAATAAAGGAGAAGAACTGGTCATTCAGAAAACAAGAACTCCATAGAGGTATCTGAAAAATGTTTACCATGACTTCACTTTTTCTTAAATGTGCTTTCTTTAAACCAGAGAGACTTTTCATTTCCTCTTGCTTTCAATTTCATCTTCCCTAAATTTAATTTCCAAGGAACTTTCTTATTTTCTGTAATAACTACAGTGGATTTCCAGCTGTTTTTCCCTTAGCAAATGGAGCCCCATATCCTGTCTCCCTGGGTTTTACAATTGCTTCTCCCTCCTTCTCCCTCTTTACCCTCCAAAATACTCTATCATCATGGGCAAAACTCCCCAGAGCTATACTGCTGGGTATGATCCTTTCCTTCACTCCTCAGAAAAAATTGTGCTGGGAGGACCAACGCCATGCTTATATATTTAGTAGCAGTTTTATTACAAATATTTTGAATCACACAAAATGTGCAGATTTGCTATTTCAACAACGATAAAGACCTGCTTGACTTGCATAGCATTTAATGAGCAAACGTGCCAGGAATGCTGATTGACAATATTTGGCTGTAGAGTTTCCTAAGCTTATTTTACACAAAGTTTGTAAACTTATGCTCTGAAATTATTTATCTTTTGTGCATGCCAAATGCAGTGCACTAGTCTCATTTAGGAATGAGCATTGTGCCTTATCCAGAACTGTGTATCTGCAAAGACAAGGAAAGATGAAATAGGAGAGGACAATTAACCAAGAAATGCAGGAGGGGAAATAAGTGGCAAGCAGAATGAGCAGACTACTAAAGCCATGGGACTTTGATACTGAGCGACTCCTCTGGCAAACGTCTGCTGTCTAACTGGATAGACATAAATTATCCAAGACTAGGTGATTTATAAAGAAAAGAGGTTTAGTTGGTTCATGGTTCTGCAGTCTAGCTTCTGCTTTGCTTCTGGGGAGGCCTCAGGAAGCTTTTACTCATGGTGAAAGGTGAAGGGGAAGCAGGTACATCTTATATGGATGGAGCAGGAGGAAGAGAGAGCAGCAGGCAGGTACCACACGCTTTGACACAACAGATCTTGTAAGAACTCACTCACTATACAGTACCAAGGGGGGATGGGGATGGTGCTAAACCATTCATGAGAACTCCGCCCCTATGATCTGCTCACCTCTCACCAGGCCCCACCTCCAACACTGGGGATTACAATTTGACATGAGATTTGGGTGGGAACACAGACCCAAGCCATATCAATCCAGAACATCAATTCTTGGATAAGTTGTTGGGGAATGAGAGAAATGGGGAAAAATCATGGATTTTATTGGAAACTCCCCAAGATATGTTACTTATGAAAATGCATAAATGTGTCATTAACATTTTCTTCAAGGAAGAAATTTTATTTGCAGGAAAGAAGGACACATTTGTTGGTTGATGGTTCTGTTACCATGGAAACATAGAGATTAAGAAATAAAAAAAAGTTCTTATATATTAACTTTTTAGATATCCTACTATAGCCTACCTTTACCCTTGAGGCAGAATGAAAAAATAGTCCTCACCCAGGTCATCATTCCAAGCCATTCTGTCATGAGAGGCAAGCTCAAATTCTCCTTTCTGTCTTTTTTGCCTTGCAGATTGGCTGAATATGGACTTTAAATTCATGCTTTCAGTGTGAATAGGTTGCTTTGGTGCATACAGAAAAACTTTTAGGCTCTGAGTAAGCTTTGCAAAACAAAGCATGTTGCTTATAGGACTTGGCTGAATAGACATGGGAAGACAAGTCATTTGGAATGGAATTGGTGACCAGACCACAGCCAATGTCTTAGTTCTTTCTGGCTGTTATAACAAAATATCTTTGACTGGATAATTTATAAACCACAGCCATTTATTGCTCATAGTTCTGGAGGCTGGTAAGTCCAAGATCGAAGCTCCAGCAGATTCAGTGTCTGATAAGAGATAGCTCCTCATAGAAGGTGGCTTTTATATGTGCTTACATGGTACAAGGGGTATGAGAGCTAATACTGAGGGTCAACTTGATTGGATTGAAGGATACAAAGTATTGATCCTGGGTGTATCTGTGAGGGTGTTGCCAAAGGAGATTAACATTCAAGTTAGTGGGCTGGGAAAGGCAGACCCACCCTTAATCTGGGTGGGCACAATCTAATCAGCTGCCAGTGCAGCTAGAATATAAGCAGGCAGAAAAATGTGAAAAGAGAGACTGGCCTAGCCTCCCAGCCTTCATCTTTCTCCTGTTCTGGATGCTTCCTGCCCTTGAACATCAGACTCCAGGGTCTTTAGTTTTGGGACACAGACTGGCTGTCCTTATTCCTCAGCTTGCAGACAGCCTATTGTGGGACCTTGTGATCGTGTGAGTTAATACTTAACTCATATATATATATACTTAACATATATATATATATATATATGTATATATATATATATATATATTAGTTCTGTCCCTCTATAGAACCCTGAATAATACAAGGGGCAAGCAAGCTCCCTCTATCCCTTTTATAAGGGCATTAATCCCATTCATGAGGGTGGAGCCCTCATGACCTAATCACCCCTCAGTGGCCCCACCTCTTAATACTATTACATTGGGGATTAAGTTTCAACACATGAATTTTGTGGGGACACAAACATTTAGACCATAACAGTCAAGATTTCCAAGTGAACGCTTTATTCAGCCATATAGATGTAATTAATTTTGTCTGCCTTTTTTATATGTGTGACATGGCAGAAACTGGGATGGGGTAAGTTATTTAAAAGTTTAATTAAATAATACTTTGTTAACTATGACTTGTGTGCTCATATTTAAATATGCCACTTAATTCACTTGTTTGGAGAGACTGTATCATATAGAGAGGGAGCCCACCATGGTGCTTAAGATGAGCACAGGCTTTGGAGTCAGGTATGCCTGGTTTTCGATTCTTGCGCTACCTCTAACTGGTTTGGTAACCTAGGGCAGGTGAGTTAATCTCTATAATCTTTGATTTCATCACCTGAAAATGGGGATAATAATTCACAGTGATTCTATGAAAATTTAAGAAGATAATACTGTCTACATGATATACTTAGCTTGTTGCTCGACCCTAGGTCTTTGGTAGCATTGCTGAATTATAATCATTGCTGAAATATACCAAATGTATCAGTCACCTCCTAAAACTTCAAATGGAAGGGAGGACCCTTCTGCCACTGAAGCAGGGTTCATAGGGCTTCTATATTCCTACGAGGGCCCCCAAGATCCCCATACTTCTGTTTATAGTTCTATTTGAAGCCAATTTAATACTACCATATTTCACTTTAATGCCAGTGCAAATTTGAAAATATTTCACCAAATTCTTTTAAATAAATGCACTTCTCTCTTTTATTTATTCACAAATATGTATTGAATATCTATTATATGCCAGGCCCTGTGCTAGATTCGGGGGATAAAGCAATCAATAGGATAGAAATAGCTTCTGCTCTCATGGAGTGTAGTGGGGACAAAGCCATCAGTAAGCAGGCAATTATAAGGCTGTGCTTATTCAGTGCTGTGGCAAGAGTACAGTGAGATGTAAGCATCTTGCTGGAGCTCCTAACCCAGGTTTGGTTGGGAGGGTTGTCTCTGGAGGTGAAATTATTTTTAAAGCCATCTCAGAGCTAGGGGTCTATTCTGGGGCCATCTTACTTTGCTAGAGCTGCCTTGAAGTGTTAGACTTCGTTCATTCACTCCTTCATTTAATTAATTCACTCAATGAGTGAATGTGCCAAGCACTGGGAAAACTGGTGAGCAAAACAGACATGACCCCTTTCTTTATAAAGCTTATAGGCATGTGTGTGTGTGTGTGTGTGTGTGCGTGTGTGTAGAAATAGAGGAATTGGAGAAGTGAAGGGAGCTGAGAGATCAGATTCTGATTCACAAGGCCATCCTTATTGCAAAAGTAGATTAATTGACAAGCTGTCACCATGATATGCCATTAACCTGGATCTAACTAAGAACATGTATTCTGATTTCATGTTCACAAACTCCACTTCTGATTATGGGTTGACTTCTCCCACGGGTCAGCCTAAGGGAAGAATAAGGTGGACAATGTTCCATTATGGTTCACATGGCAAATCTAATTTTCATGGGAAATTAATACTTCGGGATTCTGGGCGTACACATCATTGTTATTCCTATTCTGCCTCTGAGATGGACCTGGGTCCCGTCTTGGTGTAATGAAGAAATGAGTTCTGTGGCTCGAAGGATGTGTCTCCTTTGGAGACAGCCAGTTGATCTTTCTCTGAAAGCAACACATTCCTGTGCTCTGAATAAGATGGTTTCTTTTAAAAGAATTTTGACTTTTATTTTAGATTCTGTGGGTCCATGTGCAGGTTTGTTACCTGGGTATATTGTGTGACACTGAGGCTGGGGTATGAATGATCCTGTCACCTAGGTAGTGAGCATAGTACCCAACAGGTAGCTTTTCAGCCCTTGCCCACTCCCCGCCTCTCTCCTGCAGGGGTCCCCAGTGTCTGTCGTTCCCGTCTTTATGTCCGTATGTATCCAGTGTTTAGATCACACTTATAAATGAGTGCACACAGTATTTGGTTTTCTGTTCCTGTGTTAATTCACTTGAAGAAGCGGTTTCTTCCTCCTGTTAAAAGTCTGCACCCATGTGTCTTGGGTCTGTTTGGACTGATCCAACCTTTTCACTACGGGCTTGAAAATCGCCTCCCTGGCTTTTACTAAATACATACATTAAACGTATTTTAAGTATTGTTTACATTCAGAGGATGCGGCTGTCATAATTGAATGAGTCTTTTCTAATTTTATTTTATTTTTTTGCCCAAAAGCCGTTTAGAGCAGGCAGCCTGTCAGAGTGATGATGAGTGAGGTGTCAGGGGCCAGTCGAGCTGGGTTTCAATTCCAGAGCTGCCGATGAGTAGCTGTGTGGCTACTCCCTGCTCTGTGCTTTAACCTCCTCCTCAGGCTGTTGGGAGGTGGTGTAAGTAGCGTGCTCAGAGTCATGCCTGCCACATGGAAGCACTCGGCAGGTGAAAGCTTATTATTTAAAAAGGCCTGATAATCACCGGCATTGTGGCCAATTCCACTGTGCTCCAGAAGCTTTGCATCAGGGGTCTTGTGTGCTTTTTAAACATTAAAATAAATAAAACCTTGAAGCTCTTATTCCAAACAGATATTCAATTCCTCTTATTGCAAAAAGCGGTGAAATAGATTCCTTAATCCGTCCCTGTGTCTGGGAGTCAGGCCTGACCGAGGGGCTGGAGCGTTAGCATGTGCGGGGCTCGTCCGCGCCAGCAGCTGGAAGAACTCTCCAGCAAATGTGCAAACGTGGTAAGTTTGTGGCATGTCACATCGTTTTCCCTCTCCATCTCTTCCCAATTGCATTTTTAAAAGTAATGCAGTTAATTTGCATGAGCATTTTAAGCCCAAATTAGATCTCATATTGTAAACACTGCAGAAGCTGAGAAAGATCTCGTTAACAAAAGCAAATTACTAAACTCTCGCAAATCTGAATCAGACCCGTGGAATTCAAACTTGGATGAAGGACATGCCTACAAAATTCATTCTGGCTCCATTTCTGCAGGATTAAAGTGAATGCAGGCATGCTAAGCTACCAGCAGATCTGTGACTGTAGCACCTAATTGCAGCTGCCTTTAAACCTTGGGCAGGTCAATGGAGGCATGATGATCTCAGGGATATAATTTATCCTTTATGTATTTCTATGGTGTGATATATAATCCCTTGCTGAAAAGGGTCCTTGTGGATGTCAGCTTCTGCTCCTGGCTGTAACAGAATAAAGAACTGGTAAATAGTTACTCTTTATTCATCTCTCTTTTGTCCTGCATGCTGTGGGCCAAGGGATGGAGCTACCCCTCTTAAGGCAGTGATGGGGGCATTCAACCCATAAATGATTCTGGATTTGCTTTATTCCATGATTGGACTCAATCGTATGCTTCTGAAATCTTGATACACTATTATGATAGTCTCGAATAGCCAGAGAGCTCTTTTCCACTTTGCATCTTAAGTCTTACTTTCTCTGCTCACTCTTAAGATAGCTGAGCACCTCAAATAGGGTGGAGTAAAGAGATTTGAAGAAGCAATCACGCTATCTTGAGATGCAGAAGCCAGGGAGGTGAAGAACTCATTTTGTCTGTGTCTGGACACATTAGAAGCCCTCTGCTTAAGTGCAAACAGTCAGGCAGTCAGCAGGGGTTTATGGGAAAACACACAGCAGGTTATAGGGCAAAACCTTGCTCTAAACATTTCAAGTATGCATTAAACAGTGAACAGGGTTTCTTGACCTTGCAGTCTGTTGCCTTTTCTGCCCCCCTAACTATTTGTAGATTTGAAGTACTGAGGGATTGAGATGCTCCCAACAGGAAAATGGGGAAAACTTAGCCAGGAACCATGGCTTAGGGTAGAGTAGGGGAAAGAGCTATCCTTGAGCCGGGCATTTCTCTCCATTTTCCTGCTTGGTACTGAGGGTTGCAGCACTGTAGGGCCACTCATGGCAGCCCCATGCCAAACGCAGCAGAACTAAGCAGAACCGTGGTCTGTGGTCTCGCACATCTTGGCTCCTTCCTCCCGATAGGCAGGATGCACTCCCTGGGCCTCCCTGTTTTGTCTCCATCAGCTTTCTTTATGTGTCTTCAAGGCTGCATGGCACAAATACCTCCTCCTGTTCTGAAATCCATTTACCTCCATTTTCTCTTCCTGACTTCCCTCCCTCCTGGTTCCTTTCTTTTCTAATCATTACATAACTAAGGTAAACAAATAGCCTCCATGCAAGCTATTATGTAAGTAAATATGAGAGTCCACTGAAAAGGTCAGCAATTGTGAAGAAAATAACGGGCAAAACTTCAAGGAGGAGGTAGGCCTTGAGCTTCTGTGAATGAAGTGGGAGGGATGCGGTTGGCTGGTGGAAGGAGGAACATCATGCCGTGTTGATGCACGTGGCCCAGGGGTGAAGGCACAAGCCCAAGAGTTTTGGGGTCGCATCCTGCCTTCCACAGTTATTAAGCTCTGTAGCCTTGGAAAAGTCACTACACTTGTCCTGGACTCAGGCTTCTCATCTGTAAAGTAGGGATAATCATACCTAGTTTCCACTGTTGTTAGAAGGATTATGGTTAATGAATTAGCAAATTAATTTGATAGAAATTGATGGTTAGGTGCTGTGCACTATGGCAGGCATGGAAAGAATCAGACCCGTGAGACTTCTAGGAGCTAACAAGAGAGAGAGACAAATAAGTTTGTAAGCCTGTAAATAAAACTAATATGTGCCGTGAAGGATGCAAACAGCATAACAGAGTCAGCAGTTTTCACAGGGTGGTCAGGGAAGGTTCCCTGAGAATGTGATAATGTCTGTGTGGCACTGTCACACCTCCTGGCACGGGGTAAAATGAACTCTTTGTAGTTCGTTTTATCCCAGGGACACTTGCCTGAGGACAGGAGAATTCGGGAAGGGCTGCGTGAGAAAGGGGAATGTGGTAGCAACAGGGATTGCTGTCTTGTAGACTTCCCTGCTCTCCCTTTATGCCCTTTTTCTTTTTAAAGGGACAGGTTCACATACAAGCCTCAGGAAGAGGAGGAATTTGCTCTGCAATGTGCTGGTTTGTCATGTGTCCTTGTCCAGAACACCCTCTCCATCCCCTTAGCCTGCTGTCCCCCATTGTGATGAGGTGAAGAGGATGCCTGTAAATCATCTCAAGCCTTAGAAAGAATGCAGGCATCGCAGTGGAAATATTAATAACATGGCTGCTGGGCTTTGAATTCATGGAATGTTTTCTCTGAAGTGCTCTGAAGAGAGGCGGTAATAGGGTTTGGCATTATTTTCTCTCAGGAGAGAAAGAGGAGCGCAAAGGCATAGATGGCATTTGCTAGAAATGTCATGGGTAGAATCAGCCAGGCCTTCCACGTAGGCCCCTGTTGCCAGTTCAGTGCATTGACCGCCAGGTGGTTTGCTTTAGGGGACATCTGGATGGCACCCTCCTTCTCCGCTGGCTCCGTCCTCCCTGTGCCTTCCAGGCTCCATGAGTTTGCGCCCCGGGAATCCTGCCAGGCTTGTCACTTCCCCAGTAGAGGCAGACAGGGCTGCACCCTGCATGCTACAGTCAGAGGACTGGGGAGCAAAACAGAGATTTTTTTGTTTGGCAGTTACAAACTCCTTCATCATGAAATTCATTATAAAAAGCAGGTCAGACATCAAATATTTTAAAAAACCTGTCTCTGATTTAGACCAGGCTATCACCAAAGGACAACAGGAAAAGTATTTTTCAGAAGGTTTAGGGGACCAGGATAGGAAAGAGTGAACAGCCAGGATTTTCCACTGGATCTTCTGAGAGCTCTTGTAGGAGGTGGATGAGTTCCTTGGTCAAAAGTGGGTGTGGTAAATGTGGAAAGGCCAAGGGAGGGTGCTTCGGGACCTCAGGGGCATCAGGTGAAAGGTGGCAGGGCAGATCAAAAGCTCGCTCAGGGGGTTATTATTATTTTTGCATTTGGTTAAAAATTGACAAACTAATTGCCGAGCCCATTGTCAGAAAACTGGCAACCCATTAGAGATGATTGTAAGCAATTTCTGTCTATTATTCCTAATGAGACTGACGCAGCCTCATCTTCTGTACTTAGTGCTCAGAGAGAAATGAGGGTTTTGTCTGTTTCTCTAACTCAGCCAGAGAGCATCTGCTGCACTAAACCTGCGTGGGGCTGCTGTGCAGGACACAGGGCTTTTCGAATATTCCTGACCTCAGCCGGGAAGATGGATGATTTGTTTGTCTGATTGCCTGAGTCTCTTGCCGCCTCTTCATTTTCCACCTTCTCTTCCTTCCAAACACTCTTCTTACTCCTGGCCAACTCTCAAGATACAGTTAATCTAAAAAGCAGGAAAACAAAATTGAATAGAAAAACAAAACCGAACACTTTTAGAAGTGAAACTTTAAATATCGAAAGCTGAAGCTTCTTGGATTTGAGTATTTTAGTGGGGTTTGGAAAAGACCAAAATATTCCTTCAAAATCACTTAGAATATTTTCTACTTTCAAATATTGGAGTAAATACTTATATATTAGTAGACTGTCCAGGTTCTTGATTAGAAAAGAGAAAGGTGTCCAATATCCCTTCAATCTAGGATATTGCATCTCAGCCCACTTTTCTTGCGCTAGCCCAGATAGAGTCAACATTTCTAAGTTCAGTTCAAAGGCAAGGTTTTCTATGGCGCGTCAGACATCCTTGTCTCCCCCCTTGGTGAAGGCCTGAACATTGTCTTCTTCCATCTGTGGGAGGGAAGTTTGTGTTCTAGGATGCCCCCCTCACACCCTCACCTTTCCCATGGTCTTCCATGACTAGGATGCACTTTTCTCTTCCATTTTTTTTCACAACAAAATGAGTTCTGGTTCATCTAGTAGATATGCAGATGAGGAAGTCCATTTTAGTGGATTTTCTGTCCATTTTAAAACCAATTTCTGTGTCAATTGCCTACTATTTGCAAAATCATGAAGATCAGAAGAAATGTTAAACAAAGTGGTTGCCAAGCCAGTTAACATGAGCACATTTTATCATTCCAATGTACTCTGTGATGAATCCTTAATAATCCTTCCTTAAGGGAAAGATTATTCTTATAATATTGAATTATTATTATATTGATTATTATCTTAAGATGTTCAATATTATCAGTTATTTCACTAGGGGTTGGCACCCATAGCTATAAAGTATGTGTCAGATTCTTATTACACCCAATAATATCACTAACTTTGAGGGTTTGGCCACTGCTGTATTGTCAGTTTTTGAAAATGGAAAATGACAGTCATAATTTCTTTCAGAAAGGATTTGGAGACTGTATTAGTTTTCTCTTGCTGCTGTAACAAAGTGGTTTAAAACAACACAGATTTATTATCTTATGGTTTTGGAGGTCCAAAGTCCACAATGGAACTTAACTTGCTAAAATCAAGTTGTCAACAGGGCTGTTCCTTCTGGGGCTCTAGAGGAGAATCTGTTTCTTTGCCATTTCCACCTTCTAGTGGCTGTTCAGATCCCTTAGGGGAGACTGCTTCTATCTTGAAAGCCAGCAATGGCCCTGTTCCTACTTCTGCTCCTGTCATGGCCTCTCCTTCTCTGACTGAGTCTCCTGCCTTCATTTTAGAAGGACCCTTGTGATTACTATTAAACTCACATATATAATCCAGGATAATCTCCTCATCTCAAGGTCCTTACCTTAATCACACTCGTAAAGTCCTTATGCCATGTAAGGCAACATATTCACAGGTTCCAGGGATTAGCATGCCTACATCTTTAGGGAGGCCGTTATTTTCTCTACCACAGGAACAAAAGGCAAAAGTAGACTAGAAGATCAGTTTTTATGAATGAGCAACACCAGTACACTTTTGGATGCTTTTTATTTTTTCTTTGAAACAGTTGTTTTCAGTTCCATACGGGCTTGAAAACGGCAAAAACATTAATTGAATTCCTATTCAACCGTATGGTTTGTGATTTATTTCGTGTGTATGGAAGTACGGTAGCTTCGTTTGGATGAAAAATTTACTTTCTAATCTTCTTTTAAAGGTCAAGTGGCAAAGAGGACTGGTTTTAAATGCAAGTTATCCACATGGAGCAATTAAGGAGAGATATAAAGTGGTATAGATTTTAACATGTGACATGGGCCAGATACAAGCGGAGGAGAATTGACTAAGATATTAGCTGATTTAGGAAAATTTAAATCCTGCCTTTGGGAGCACACTTGGATTAATATATATTTATTGTAATTCATTAAAAAATCCTTCTCTTCTAAGCTATTTTATCATTACATTTGCAATTTGCTTCTCTTTGCAGCCAGACATAAACACCAAGAGCCAATCTCAGAGGTAAATTCTTGCCTCAGCCTCCTTTTTGCTGTCAGTGGGCGGTGTTGACTTAAAGCCCACTTTCAGAGATGTATTGAAATTCCATATTAAGTTAAAGGATGCTTTGTAATGTTCGATCTCTCTCCCAGAACAAACAGACCTGACACGGTCCAGGTATCCCTCCCTCTCTTCCTGATGTCATTTGTGCTTTCAGATCTTCCCTTGCCGAAATTGCTCTTGGTCATCAGCTTGACCATTGGGGCATTTCTAGATTTCCACTGTAACCTGATTCCCCTGTGGTGTAGGAGGGAGGGAGATTTCAAAGGTGTCTCGGGAGATCCCGGCCTGGTGGAGCGGAGGCGCTGCCCTCCACGTGTGTAGGTTGTGAAACCTTCGGGATCTGCTTCTCTTTCTCTTTCTGCTGGTGACTGAGGGATGCTGGGTGGATCAAGCGGAGCAGGCAGACCCTCTTTAAGCCGCATGCCGATTCCTTTAGGCAGAAACACAAGCCTTTCTCCATCCCGCGCCCTCTCCTCCTGTGGTGCATTCAGGCGATAAAGGGGAACAATGAAATGCAACCTGTTGGTGCTGGCATCTGCTCAACGGCTGTAGCCTGTGTGGAGGCAGCTGACTGTGCTGGCACCTCTGCCTGGGCTTGGCAAGACCAGAGCACACACCATTCTCACCACAGCCTGGAACGGGACCCGATGACAAGTGGCTATAAAATGATGATAGAGAGAGGCAGGAATCATGGTCCAGGAGAGGGAGGGGAGCAGGAGGCAGCACCAAGAACAGCCATGCAGTTTAGAAGAGGTGAAAAACAGGGAAATGTTAGTTGCTTGCATTTTTTTGTTGCTTTCTTTCTTTTCTTTTCTTTTCTTTCTTTCTTTCTTTCTTTCTTTCTTTCTTTCTTTCTTTTTCTTTCTTTCTTTTCTTTCTTTCTCTTTCTTTTCTTTTTCTTTTCTTTCTCTTTCTTCCTTCTTTCCTTCCTTCCTTCCTTGTTTCTTTCTTTCTTCTTTCTTTCTCTCTCTCTTTTTCTCTCTTTCTCTCTTTTGCTTGTTTTAGTCAGGTTGTTCTTGTGAGGGCAGAAATCTGTGTAGTAATCTTAAGGCTGTCTTCTCCTCTGATTTAGTGGATGCTTCTGTTTAATGAATCACTTCATGCTACTTACTGATGGGGCTTTCAAAGGAATGGCTTTGCGGTAACAAGTACAATTAGAAATTATCATCAGCAATTACAAGTGATACTCTTGATTTTGGTTGGCTGTGATCATTGTTTATTGGTTGGGCAGGGCCTTTCCATTATCAGAAATATCCTTTTAATTTTGGAGAAAATCAAGGAAAAGCATTAATTGATATGTTTATTTTTTATAGCTTTATAATGTTTGAGAAGTTCTGAATAGGAAATCTTCTCAATGGAAATTTAAAATTTTATTAAGTGTTACTCAATGGCTCTCAAAATTCAGTGTGCACATTACCCGAGGAGCCTGGAAAATGCAGAATTCTGGGTCCTATCCCCAGAGTTTTGAATTCAATAGATTTGGGTGGAGTCTCCAAATTTGCCTTTTTAACAAACTCCCAAGTTACCCTGATGCAGGTGGTAGGGATCATGGTTTGCAGAAAACTAGATCATATGCCTGGACTTCTCAGCTAATTATGTCCTGATTAGCTCTACGGCCAACCCCTCCCCACGTGTTTTCATTTGATATAATTTTCTCTAAGCTAGTTGTTGTGTTTTCATGCATTTCGGGAAGGAGGCTTCTGAGAGTGCGGTGTATCGCCTGCATTGTTATTTTCAGAGCTTTTGGTCTTAGGTTTATTCCCAGTACAAAGACTGAAGGATGATCTGAAATCAAATACATTTGTCTGGGAGTGGAATGTCTGTTAGACCCAGGCATTGATTTCCTTGAGCTTGAGTTCTCAGTAAATGTCTTTCCAGTGAGAATTCCAATCAGAATTCTAAAGGTTATATGAAATAGGATTGATTTCTGGGCTTCCTCCAGGGAGATTGCTTAATTTTTATAAGCAAAATTAACTCACCACCACGGCTTGTTTTGTAATCAGCACACAGTTCATATTTTAGGATAAAATGCTCTGTTGATTAGTGTGTGAAACAGGTGATCCAGAAAATATCTCTGTGCTGAGAATCTTTAAGGGAGAAATATTTGCACTCCAGAGGATGAAAAGATAGCAAAACGAAATCTAGGCAGAACTAGGAGAGATGCCCGATTTCTACAGGTGCTCTCACACTATTCGACCACCAGGGGGCAGCATTGCACTTTGTTTGGAAAACGGTCTCTGTGGCTAGCAGCCCTTTAAAGGAAAATAACATCTAAGTGAGCAAAGCTAAAAACCAGAACATTAGCAAGAACCAGAAAACCAACAACACAGAACCCAAACTCTCTTTGTTATAAAGTGCCGTCTTTGCTTTTCTTGGTACACGGGTTTTAATATTGTAGTATTAAGACTCTCCAGGGCATACTTTATCGGTCCATTAATACATACTTAGGGGTGGTGGATGATTCAGTGAGATTATTTTTCATTTTTCTTACTTTTTGTTTGCTTCTCTCATCTCATCTCACTTGTCCTTGTCTTTGTGTCAAACAACTACTGTCCTGTATCTACTTCTTTCAGAGCAGAGATAGGCCCAACAGCTGGCTGCACCTTGCTATTGGCTGATCATTTTGTGGAGCTGGGTGGACGTGTATAGATCCTGGCTGGAAAGCTCTCTCCTTCTTGGTGTAAAACCAGGTTCACAGTGTGCATAGTTCTGGGAAGTTCCTGGGGATTATAGTTATTTTTAATGCACCCTCACAAACACTTTTATAGGAGTCAAGCTATCATATTATAGAAAGTGATGCAAAATAAATATATGCTAAAATTTTGTATTTTTAAAATTGACTCATATGATTAATGGATAAAGTGTGGTTGAATGAAAGACCCAAGTATGAGTGTTAGGAATGTGATTTCCGCCAGTCCGGGGATCATGTCTGTTTGTTCAGAGATGATACATCAAGCTCCTAGAACTGTGCCTGGCATGGCAGGCACTCAATTAATGTTTGTTGAGTGAATTAATGAATTTAAACACATGTTATGACCAGCTCCTCCTTCCCCTACCTGGGCTTTGCGTTTGAGCAATGATTAACTTGGGAACTAAGGTAAGGCTGGGGACATTTACTTGGCCTCCTTGCCTGTCTCAGTCACTGTCTCTTTTATTTCTGGGGGTAGTGGAAGTAAAATGACCGAGAGTTTCTTGAAGGAAAGTCCTAAAATCTATTATTTATTTATTTATTTATTTATTTATTTATTTATTTATTTTTTGAGACGGAGTCTTGCTTTGTCACCCAGGCTGGAGTGCAGTGGCATGATCTCGGCTTACTGCAACCTCTGCCTCCCAGGTTCAAGTGATTCTCCTGCTTCAGCCTCCCGAGTAGCTGGGATTACAGGTGCCTGCCACCATGCCCCACTAATTTTAGTAGAGACGGGGTTTCACCATATTGGCCAGGTTGGTCTTGAACTCCTGACCTTGTGATCCACCGGCCTCAGCTTCCCAAAGTGCTGGGATTACAGGCATGAGTCAGCGTGCTCAGCCCATATCTAATCTTTAAGAACAACTATAAACCCTAAATATTTTCGTTTCTCTGAAATGTGCATGTAACGTTGCATACAATTACAGCATTAATGCTGCCTTTTTAGGGGAGTTTCACTAAGACTAGACTTGAAGATTTCTCGGTACTAATGCCCTTCTATGAGGAAGCCCTCCTATTTTGCTTCCTCCTCCCTTTTCTTCTCTTGCAAGAAACAGTCAGGTTGAGAAACTTGACTTTGAACAGGAGCAGGGCAGGGAATAACAGGCACATGAAGATTAATTACCCTCGTTGGAATCCAGCTTGACTGGGCAAGGTGAGACAGTTCAATTATTTAATCATGTTGGTGCTATTGGCTTCCAAATCCTTGAGTGCCAGGATAGCCCTTCCTTTCCATTTAATTTACATGAGGAATTGCTCCTCAACTCGCTGCTCTCAGCTGAACCCTCCGGCAGAGGGAGAGGAGCAGTCGATTTTGGAAGGAGATGATCCCATCTCTGTATCCTCTTGGGCTGCATTTGTGAAGAGTTCTCAGCGCTTATTTTGGAAGCTGCCAGACTACTTGTGTCTCTCCTGTCCCCAGCAGGCTGCTCCGTTCCGTGTGTAATGGAAGCTTTCTCCCTTGCACATGACTTTTTAAGGCTTTCTTTTGGCTCAAGAATGTCTACCCATTGAAGCTACAGGTCAGAGCATGTCTTAGAGCAGAACATGCTAGAGCAGCACAGTCCAATAGAATGTTCTGTGATGATAGAGATGTTCTGTAACTGCCCTGTCCGGTGTGGCAGGCAGTGACCAAATGTGGCTATTAGCACTAGAAATGTGGCCAGTGCGATGGAGGAAATGAAATTTTAATTGAAACTAATTTAAAGTTAAAATTACCTATGGCCCAGTGGAGACTATACTGGGCAGTGAAAGACTAGATTGTACCTGCGATGCCAACAGAGAGGTGATTTTTGTTTGTTTGTTTCTGGTGGGGCTTGACCGTCGCACTGCCACACAGCAGGGCTGCCTTGCACATTTAGTCCCCTGGTATTAACGTAGTTTTTCCATTATATCCCACCAAGCCCTCTTGTTTCTCACCATGCCCCTCTGCTACTGCATCTTGGTGATGTCACTCCTCATTAGCATCTGCGAAGGGACAGGAGAATGGAATTTTACCTATTCAGCTATGGTTTCTTGTCCTGCACTCCCCACACACAGGTGGTAAGAGATCTTAATCCCAATGAAAACTGCATTCTGTCAAAGTAAAATGAGTTAGCTGGGCGTACCTTCACCATATGTTTTAGTGTCATGACCCGTGGACTTCTGCAAGGGTGCTGCCACCCACTTAGTGTCCCACAGCCTGTAAGGCACATGCTCTGTTTAGCATAGATTTTTCAAAGTTGTTCAGTGATTTAATGCACATATAAGACCAATTGACAGTTTGTCTATGAAAATGAGCTTTTTAAAAAATGGCCTCATGAACCAAATATATATGGTCCAAACTAGATACAACAAGAAAGGGATAGGAGCATGAAGTATCTCGCACTAAGAATGAAAGACAAGGACTGAGTTTCCACAAATCTTAGTCATTCAGATAGAGCTATGGAGTCATAATCAATGACTTCCAATCTCCCTCATCCTCCAGCCTCACTGTGCCCCCAAGCTCATCAACTCATCATTCCCCTGCTGCTTCCACCACACTGACACTGGGCCCTGCACACTTCATGCCCTAGTTGCTAAAATTATACAAATAGAGAGGAGAAAAAAATAAGTCTGTGAAATCATTCTCTTGGTTCCTGTGGTTTACACTTGCTAGTTAATTTGAGCCTTAATGTTGGTCTCTCAGAGTGACAGAAACAGCAGCCAATCTGCTGTTGTACAAGCAAGTGCATATAGCCTCATTGCTAACACCCTTGAAAAATGTCCCCAGAAATGCAGCTCAGGAAGAGAGTTCTTTAAATTAAGCTAGATTTGTAAAGAGCCCATTTACTGCCTGACTTAGAGCTAAATCCTGTGGCAGAATGGAATGTGAGGCTAGCTGCCAGGGAACAGAAAACAGCTTGGGTACCAAACCGTGAGCCTGTGAGTGGCAGAGAAGGAGTGATGTTAGAACAGAAGGCATCCTCAAGTCTGACAGGAAAGGAAAAAAAAGTCAAAACAGAAGGAAGTATCTAGAGACACAGTACAGACAGGTTGTCCAGGAAAGTTGGGGTGCAGAGAATGAAGAAAGAGAGAAGAGGAATGAGGAGCCTTCTCTGGAGAAAAGAAGGATCTAAAGGTAGAAGAAGAGAATGTACCTAGTTCTTTCTTCTGCTTTATCTCATTAAAGAGACATGACTGAAAATCAAGTCATTTCAGCAAATAACCAGACAGTAGCAGGTCACCAGATGAAACTCCTTCCCTGCCTGGACGTTAAGTCCTGATTTCATGCGAACAAGTAAGCAAGTGAGCAAGTCAAGCCTCCTCTTATATGCTGCTCTTTCTAGGTTAATCATTTACCTTCAATAGGAGGAATTTTTTTCAGACATTCCAATGTAGTTGATTTCAAATCCCTTGGAGAAGGATTTGAAGAGCAATGAGAAGGTGGGTTCTCCTATAACATCTCATCCAAGTGCAGCCCCTTTCCATTTCCTCTACGAATAAAGAGCACATGACCGGCTGATATCCAACTGCAGAACTTTAACTTGCTTTCTGTTTTAGGGCCTCTGCCTTTGGTGGGCTTCAAAATCTCCAGGGGGAGCTTATTAAGAACATTGTTGCCTGGACTCTAGACCCCAGAGATATAGAGTCTCAAGGGAAAACAGCATCTCTGAAAGAAACCCAGGCTGGGAAATTTTGGGAAGTGGGGCAAAACTGTAAAATGTGAAAATTTTCAGGCTTAGAGGATGCAGCAATTTGATGCTAGTTAAAAAAATTCCCCAAAAAGACAGTTGTATGGAATAATTTCTGTATAACTTGGTTGGAAGTTAAGGATAAAAGATAAAGAGGTTTCTTTTTCTCCCACATTAAGTTATTGACTAGTAAAGTCCCCCTTTCTCTCCACTTAATTATGGAAGAAAGAACAAACTCCAATTTTAGGAGTTGCTCATCCATTTTAGGGATGGCCCAGATGGGGAGCATATTTGTGTTCGGAAATCTCTTTACTTTGGAATATGGTTTGTACGTTCCATCTTTCCTCCAAGCTGAGGGGCCATTGCTGAGCCTCCAAAGGCCCTTGCGATTCCTGCCACATTCAGTACCTCTGGAGGGCCAGCCTCCTGCTCAGGGCACCAGAGAAGGGGGAAGAGGGGCGACATCATAGAGTCCCACAGATGGAGGTCTCAGTCCTGCCCAGCCACTTACTGTATGATGTTGAAACATTACTCTCCAAGCTTTGCTTTCTTCCATTTATGAAATGGGTATAAGTGTTATTCCTCACTGAGTTGTAATTATTAAATGAGTTAAGATAGAAAACGTGCTTGGCGGAGGAAGTGGTCACTAAATGTGGCCATCCTTTGGAGGCTTCTCCCCCATTATCCAGCAGAGAATTATCTGTCCTCCATAATGCTCAAATTTTCTCTACACTTTCAAGTGTATTCTTAGAAATAAGCCCCACCTGAGACCATGTCTCAGGTGAAATTACTGTCCATGTTTATAAGCCTCCATAGCCTTCAGCAACTCCCAAGAGGACTTGAGAAACCAGCAGGTGCTACATTTATGTGCTGAGGTTGGGTGGCTGCAGGTCAACCTGATTGTCAGGACCTGCCAGGTTGTATACGCCTGCAAGACAGAAGAACCTTAGGAATTCTCTGGGTTGTTTTATTGTGAAGCACAATTACTTATTTGCAGAAAAGTATGTGTGCTGTAATTTCAAGGATTGACACGTAGAATTTCCAGCCAAGCCTTGTCTTTGATCCCTCCTGGGCAATATACAAGATGGAGCGTCTAACACCCTTGTGGGAATTCAAACCTGTCATACTCACTGACAGGCAATCATGATTCTAATGAGGGCAGAAGAATTTAATTCAATAAAAAACCTATTAGAATTGACAGTACAAATGTAAACAGGTCCCTGATGGATAATTTTGCAGGGCCTTCTCTGCTGCTGTGTTTGTTGACATATACCATAACCAAACGTGGAAGGCAGATGCTCACGTCTGTTCCAACAGGACGGAATGGATGTGTTCCTCTTTCTTTCACCTGTGGGGTAATACACCACTGGCTTTGAAACCGTAGACCTGGTCACTGGGGGTAGTCTCATAAAAATGACATTTTTGTCTTATTTTGGGGGGAGGAAGGATCCTGCGATGATTGGAGATAGATGTTTCTGGGGATTATTTTTTGTCATTTTTCAAGAGATTCAGGTAGTAAAACGTGTCTTTAATCTGCTGCTTTGGTTTTTTTTTTTTTCCCTCCTCCGAGACTCTTAGCATATCATGCAGAATAATTTTATGAATGTCTGGAGTTTTTCCTTCTGTTTTAGCCACTAGATTTTAAAGACTTTTCGCTGGACTAGTTTATGAGTTGCTGCCTGTTTCAGCAAATGTAAATTTTACCCAACAAATTAGAGTTCCATTTTTTAAAACAGATATAATCAACAAGAAAAATTACTCAGCATTATTGCTTGAGAGACTCTGAGACATAGCTATGTCATTGTACCAATAGTTCTTCATAAAAACAGTGGTTCTTTCTACCTGGAAACTTGTTGTGTCAAAAAAAACAAGACGAAGCAAGAGAAAAGAAAACAAACAAACCAATAGTTCCTCTTCATTGTTGTTTTCTAGCGCTTCAGAGTAGAGATAATGGAATGGGGGCTCTTTAGAATCAATCTACACATTGGCCTTACAAAAAGTTTGGCTTATTAATAACATTAGCAATAAATTTATTCTCAGTATGTGGATGTTCTCTCTGTTTTCCTATTTTTAAACCTGTGCTTCAAAATTGACCAAATCATTATTCATCTTGAAGTTTCTTGATGGAGATTTTTACAAAAAGCAAGAGACTCATTCCCCTCAGGGGTTTTCCCCCTGTGGGCTTTGTACCTCTAGGAGGGAGAGTGTCTACGATATTGTTGTAATGAATCTGGAAAGCTGTATTTGCTCGAAGTGTCCTCTATTGGTGGGATAAATAATATCTTACAGACAAATGTCATGGTAATTTTTCAAATATATGTAATTTTTCAAATATATGAGGTTAAGTATAATACAAATTCAGTCTTTTTGTGATTATGAACTTTCTCAATGGACACTAAAAGGCAGCTCATACCATGTTGGGAAGAGGTGGTACAGTGACATTTTTGACACTGCAAAAGGGCTTAGTCTCATATTTCTGAATATTGGGAATCCTGGCCCTAAACCAAAGTCAGATGACCAAATGAGTGTTCTGAGTCTAAACCTTTACTTAAATCATGAACATGCTGGTTATTAAGATGTTGTCCTGGGTGGGGAAGGGACAGATGCTTCCTGCAGTAATTCATCATTGTTGCAAGGGCCTCCTTAGTAGGCTCTCGATGCATTTGCATTTGCTCTTCCTGCTGTAAGAAAACAGAACTAAATGTTTATTACATTTTTTTAGTGACAGAGAATTTCCATTTCCCAGGATTGCTTTCCTTTTGCCTCATTTTTTACTCATTAGTTCACTTCTGCCTTCTTGCTTGTGACTGCTCTACCTCCACAAATTGAAGTTCAGGACCTTAGAAAGAGAATCCAGTGTTGCTTATCCAAAGCCATTCTGAAGGAAGAAAGGAAGAATCTCATATCTCCTGAGTGACTGCTACATACTAGGTTTAAACCTTTATCTCTCATAGAATATCATGCTCTCCATTATCACAGAGAGGAATCTGGAGTTTGAGGGGAGTGAACTTGCTGGTAGTTGCTGCAGAGCATGTAGGGAGTCCAGGAATCAAGCTTAGTCTGAAGATTTCTAAAACCCATGCTTCTGCTTCCCACTTTTTCTTCCTCTCTCCCTCTCTCCCTCTCTCTCTCCTTCCCATCTCCACAATACTTCAAGACTATTCACCACTCTGGATTTTTGTATGAATTTACGTTTGCTGTGGATGCATGAGCTTTATTTTCCACTCAAGATTTTGCCTATACTGTCAAACAGATGCCAATCTGTTGTTTTTGAGAATTTTCTTTTCTTTCTTTTTTTTTTTTTTTTTTTCTGATGCCTAGGAAAATTCTGACTTGAGATCTGATATATTTTGGGTTTATATTTTTGGAAACATACTGTAAACAGTTCTAAATATATCGGAAAATGAAGTTCCATGCTTTGTGTTGCTAGAGAAAACGTGCTCGTATGAACAACAGAAACAAATCCCAAATGTAGACTCTTTTAACCAACAATGAACCTTTTGCTAATAATGTTTACCTCTGTTTTAACATTATTGTCCCAAGTGATTAAAGTATTTGGATGCATTGTGCTCTGATTCTCTTTTTGCAGCCCTCTGTATTGAGAGTCGATGAACAATATATTTAAACATATTGTCAAATCATGCTTCTTTGTCATTTCCCTTTTGATCTACCTCTGTTTCATCAAAATTAATTCTGTAATTTTCCCATGTCTTGTCAAGACTTTGAGCCATGAACGGTAATGGACAGCTCACAACCCTGACCTTTGCCGCCTCTCACATTCTTTTGCAGAAGTGCTTAAAATAGTAAACAGCAAGTTGAGAATTCCCCTCGGTGGAGGAGCTCTGTTGCTTGCTTCCATTCGCATGCCTGCGGGCCTGTTCACTGGTAATGCAGTCGCGTGTGCCTGTGCGTGTGCATGTCCCTCACCAAGCCCCCTGGCACATTGCAGCAAAGTCGGGGGGCTTCTTTTTGTGCAGGAAATGCACTTGGGCTTTTCTGTGTGTGTGGAGGATTTCCTGCGACCTTACCTCCTTAGCCACCGTGGAGAAGGGCAAAATTTTGTGCTTCGAAGAACAAAATCCAGTGCCCTCCAAAGAAAAGAAGTGCACCAAAGAGGAGGGAAATCATGTGGAGGTCAAAGTTGGGAACACAAATGTCTCTTGGGTCTCTTTGCAAGATCAGCAAAGCCTCTGAGGGCTGAGAGTTTCATTCTGAACAAACAATCAGAATCGTAGAATGACTGACCCTGGGCTCCTGAAAACCTCTGGCCTGGAAACCCTCACAGCTCTGCTTTCCTTCTCCCTGACCCCGAAAAACACACGTTTCCTTGCTGTGCCAGCGGGTCTGTTGACCCTTTCTACAGAGTTGCTTTCTGTTTCGCTGTCCCAGTGGCTAGAAGAAATTAGACCTTCAGTCTCCCAGAATCAGTCTAGTGCTCTAGGAAAGGGGAAAACAGAAGCAAACTGGATGCTGTCCTTCAGGAATGATGATCTGCCCCAACTGCTGCAGCCTCAGAGATGAGGCTGGCTGGGGGCTGGGGGTGAGAGTGACGAGCATGTGCGAACCCAGGTAGGCTCGCAGATGTCTTGTACTAATTAGCCAGTCATGATCTCCATTCTTACCAGGGTCGTTACCCTGGACTTGGCACTACAGGGTCTTGTTGTCTTTGCTTTTGCCTTCTTTTCCAGCTCCTTAAAGCTTTTGTAAGCACAAAGTAACAAGAGGAAAGAGAAACATGATGTGAATGTCAGAAAGAACAAATACTTGAGACCACCTTGAAGGGAAACTTCCAGTCCTTTATTCATTACTCGTTCATTCATTCACTTATCAAATATTTTTAGGGCATGTTCAATGTGCCTGGAACCATGCTAATTGCTAAAATTACAAATACGACTTAATTACATAAAAAGTTGTCAGCCTTCCAGGATAACTCTCTATTCTGTTAGCCAAATAAAGGGGCACATGCATCTGTTCTGTGGACTGTAGGAAATTCAGTCACTCTTCCTAAAGATTACGTGAGGATGCACCTGCCTGCTGATGTCACCTCTTTCTCTGCCACTGCTCTGGCTTGGGCTCCTGTCATCACAGCTTTTCTTCACTCTCTCCTGCTGCTCCAGCTCTCGGTGCTCTAATTTACCCTGAAGCATAAACATATTTTCTTCCTTATTTGCCTAAGGCTGCTACTGTGGGGTAGGAGAGAACAGATCAGAGTGATATCTTAGAACTTATTGTGAGAAATTGATAACAGAAAAGCAAAGCTCAAGTGAGATATTGGCTAGCACTACTCCAAAGGCATCTCTTTTGGCCCTGGCCATTGGCTATCTTGCTGGTGTGGTCTACTCCCACCCATCCATGTTTTCTCTATCTCTTAGTCTCAGGCTCCTCACTAGGGAAGAGCAGAGAAGACTTAGTAGCCAGATAACGTGTCCTTAGAGGTACATCAGGCCACCAAGGGCTTAATTTTAACACTGTTTGGCTTCTCATTGTTTTAGTCTGCTTTTGGACATTTTCTTTGCTTAAAAAGCATGCCACATTGTTTTGCCAAATTTAAACAAAAAAAAAACACAATTTTTCCCCAAAGATAAATTCTGTTGCACAACCTAGAATGCAGAAATAGCCATGGGCAGCTTTTAGAGGAGTGTTCTGCTTCATAATTAAGATGACAAGGGCTCTGCCCACAAGGCAAGCATGGTAGGAGAGATGACAGGTGACCCAGCTTTGTAGCACAATATGATAAGTGACATAGCAGAGGTGTGTGTGGGCTGCTATGGGACCACCCAGGAGAGAGCATTTAATCCTGCCCTCTAGTCCTCCTGCAGGCTTGGTAGACTTACTTGAGTTAGGAATTTTCCAGGAAGATAATAGGGAGAGAGCATTCCAAGAAGCCAGAACAGTATGTGAGAATCACAGAGGCATGAAAGAGCCTGGCAGATTGGAGGAACACCAAGGTTTGGTATGAGGGGAGCATAGGACGGAAAGGTCGGCATGGACCACATAGCATGCTCAGGAGTTGAGAAATAGCCTTTCTATCAAGCTGTGCAACGGTCCTATCTGTGCATTAAAGACTGTGCTGTGGAGGAGAGACTGCAGAGAAGGGAGGCAGAGGCACTAGTGTGGAGGTTGTGGTGCAGTCAAGTTCAGGCGTGAAGCACAGAGGAAAGGGGATGGAGAGCAGATGTATGGCAAGCTGAGTGACGTCACCTACAGAGCAAGAGAGGCAGGACTGTCAGTTACCTCACTGCACTCACCAGGCTGCCTAGAGCAGTGTCTGCATTCAGCATAGAGAAATCGACCAATAAAATACATATTGGTTGAGAGAATGAATGATGGAGTTGGACACTGGTGTCCAAAGATCTTCATAGTAACTCTCTTTGCATGCATATAAGTGGCTGAGGAGTCTTCATTAGACTTATATGAAGTATGAATGTTTTAATGAAGGAAGCATCTCTTTTCTGACATTTTTTAATGAAGGAAGCATCTCTTTTCTGACATTTTTAAAGGATAATTTGAGGCTGGTTTAATAAAGAGTCAAGTCACAAAGTTGTGGCTGGGGTGTAGGAAAACTTCAAATGAAGGTGAAGAGCCTGGGGAAAATTGGCCTCCCCAGGGCTTAGGAGATCAGGGGAAGGAGTGGTCCTGGGGCCTGGTTTGGAGAGAGTTACATAGGGTAGGCTGTCTTGACAGGGCCCGTAACCTTAGGTGGAGGTTTGCAAATGGCTGGAAAAGGCTGGGGGGAAAAATCCTTTGCTATCACTCTTCTCTCTCCCTTCAATCTTCTACTAGGCCTCCCTGTTGGCCAAATTCTACCAGAATCTGAAGGGCAAGGGAGCCTGTGGCTGCTCCCAGGCAGAAACTGTGGTGTGCCTGCCACTTCTGGTGTGTATCTGCCTTTTTTAAACTCAAGGTCAGAATGCACGTGGAAACAAACGGAAGTGCTCCTCTAAGCTCTCTAGCCTGCCTCAATCTTCTGCTTCAGCCATTAATCTCCCAGATGTCCAGGCTTCAAATCAGACTTGAAGCAATGAGGTTTCTCTTTGCAGAGTTGCAGCTCCCTTCTTGATCTCTACATCACTGACTGGTGACCATGTGCTGACATCCCAGGCCAGTAGCCGAGACAGAGTGAATTCAGTGGGATGCTTTATTCATACAGCAGCAAAGCCAAAGGATCTTCTTATAGATTTGAAATTTGGGCTGAAAATGTAAGGTCTCAGATATAATTAAGGACTGTATTTAATTTTTTTTTTTTTTTTTGCTGTAATTGGATATACACCCACACATGTGGTCACCTTGAATGAAAAGGGAAGTGATATTTGTTGGAGGTCTATCGTGATCAGGTACTACGTCACTGAAGCTCTCAAGTGATTGAACTTGGAGGTCCACATTAGTCACCACCAGTTAGTCATAGCTCTATTAAAAACAACCTTGATAAAACATCCCATCTCTGTGTATTACTTCTGTTACACTAAAGAATTTTTGCAAAGCTTTGAAAAATTAAAATAAAGTAAAACCTCTGTGGGGAATTGTTGCCACAGCTGGGTGGAATGTATCAACTATTAAATAACAACTCTTCACGAGGCAGACAAGCATAGAGCAGAGTGTCCCACTGAAGCCGCAGAGAAATCTAAATGGACAGAATGCAGAAGCTTGGTAGGAATTTGACTAGGCTAATGATATTTCATGGGTATATAAACCTGTAATTTAGCCTCAGGATTTCTGCCCTTTGTTACCCTTTTCTACTTCATTCTCTCATGTAGTTTTTGACAAGGAAAATAAAGTTGTCATAAACCTTCCACCTTGGTTAGTGGATTCATTGCAAGAGGCCTGGGATTTTGCTACAAACCACAATTAAGAGTCAACGGGGCTCAATGAAACGATAGGATTTTAGCAGTTGAACCTGGCAGCTATTTGGTTTGTTGAAAGTCTCTTGATGCTCAAATGCTGTCTCCTCTGGGAATTTTGTTTTTTTAAATGAAGCCAGCCAAGGAAGTTCTATCATCACTCTTCTTCACTGACGTGAAGTTGGTGGGTGAAACCAAGGTGGATGAAATACATATCTCTTTGTAGGATTTCCTAACACCCAGTTGCATGGCCTGGAAGAAGATGACAGTTTACAAGTGTTCAAAGAAACAGGCGTGTGCACTTTAACATGGGGTTACAAGAGGAAATGTACTGACCTGATGCTCAAATTAAATTATAACCTTTCAGACTTAGCTAAAGCCAAATGGATATTTATTGCACTCAATTAGGAGCTCTTTTTAAAATCTCAGTTTTCTAGAAATCCTGTCTTTAACTGTGACTTGGGTGGCCCTAGTTATTCAGTTAGGCCTAAGAAACCATTATTTTTAAAGGCAATTTGCATTTTCTTAACTCTTGCTTTTACCTGCTATGAAATACTCTAGCTCTTTTCAAAATCACCCCCCTCCACCCCCATTAATTTCTGAGTGTCTCCATGACATGACTTAGCATGTCTGTGGACTAGGGCACTCACCTACTACCACATGGTATCTGCTGGCCACCACACGGCCTGCTACTGCTTTTTCTAGGCATTCCCGCATCCACCAGACACTACCACTTACGTCTTATCTAATTGATGTACCAGAGCCCTTGATGCTCAGAACTTCCCTGAGTTCTCCAAGCTATTTGTGTACTTAGCTATGCTATTTTAGGTGGGAGAATAAGAATCATGTTGTTCCCTACTAGCCAGGTACCAAAGCAGCATCACTTTGTGCTACTAAAGCTAAAAACATTTTAAAAAAGAAAAATAATTCCTCTGTTTTAATTTGAGGTCTATTTTTTCCCCAAGGAATAAGAATGTATGGGGGTTAGAAGAAATATCCAGGTGACAGAGACCATGCTCTTCCTCTCTGGCCACTGGCCACTCGTCTGTCAGCCCTCTTTTGGGTCCTTTACTCCTAGAGGTTCCTCAGCCTCTTAGGTAATGTCTTAGTCCATTTTTGTGTTGCTATAAAGAAATACCTGAGACTGGGTAATTTATAAAGAAAAGAGGTTTAATTGTCTCATGGTTCTTCAGACTATACAAGCATGGTGCCAACATCTTCTTAGCTTCTTCCAGTGAGGCCTCAGGAAGCTTACAATCATGGTGGGAGGTGAAGGGAGAGCAGGTGTCTCACATGGCGAGAACAGGAACAAGAGAGAGGAGGCAGGAGTCAGATCTCGTGTGAACTCACCAAGAGAGAAGTCATGCATCATCAACGGGATGGTGCTAAGTCATTCATGAGGGATCTGCCTCCATGACCCGAACACCTCCCACTGGGCCCCACCTCCAGCACTGGGGATTACATTTTAACATGCAATTTGGAGAGGACAAACGTCCAAACAATGTCAGGTAAAGGTGAGCTCTTGGCAGGCTTGCCTTACCAGACTGTGAGACATGCGCCTATCTGAGGCCTAGCGGTGAACATTTTATTTTATTTTATTTTATATTTATTTTTTTTTGTGACAGAGTCTCACTCTTGTTGCCCAGGCTGGAGCGCAATCGTGCAATATCGGCTCACTGCAACCTCCGCCTCCCGGGTTCAAGCTATTCTCCTGCCTCAGCCTCCCCACTAGCTAGGATTACAGGCATGCACCACCACGCCTGGCTAATTTTGTATTTTTAGTAGAGACGGGGTTTCTCCATGTTGGTCAGGCTGGCGTCGAACTCCCGACCTCAGGTAATCCACCCACCTTGGCCTCCCAAAGTGTTGGGATTACAGGCGTGAGCCACCGCGCCTGGCCCAACAGTGAACATTTTAGATGTAAACTGGGATCCTCTCATTATACATGTGAGATTGACTTGAAAATCACTGCTCTGATACCCTTAAAAGCTCAGACCTAAGTAGGGAGTGGGGTGAAGAACACTGGCAGGAGGGCAGCTGTCATCGGCTGAATCGTGTCCCCCCAAATTCACATGCTGAAGTCCCAACCCCCAGTAACGCGGAATGTGACTGTATTTCAAGACAGGGTCTTCAGTAAGGTAAGTCAGTTAAAATTAGGTTATTCTAGTGGGCTCTAATTCAATGTGTTCTCATAAGAAGTGGAAATTTGGACACACATGCAGAGAGGGAAGATGATGTGAAGACACATAGGGATCGGACGGCCGTCTAGAAGCCAAGGCGAGAGGCCTGCAACAGATTCTCCCTCACATCCCTCAGAAGGAACCAACCCGGCCAACACCTTGATCTCGGATTTCTAGCCTCTAGGACCGTGAGACAGTAAATTTCTTTTGTTTAAGCAACCCAGTCTGTGGTACTTTGTTTTGGTAGTCCTGAGAAAAAGATAAAGCGACATCTCAGGACGAGTCCACACCCTTGTGGCAAGGTAGGCCCTGAGAGGGTGACCCTGCTTGCAGGAATGGGAGCAGTCTGACCTGCACGTTATGTGTGGCGTCTGAAAAGTGTGTGGCTGCTGGAGAAGTGCCAGTGTCAGGGTGGGCGAGCAAGAGGCGACAGGTGGTGCTTCTGCAGGGAGGGGGAGTGTGGTGGCAGGGGGTCTGGCAAAAGGCAAGACACTCAGACTCAGGAAGGCATGCATCATTGTCAGGGAGTCTGCCAGACTGAAAGACTAGACAAACCACAGGGCTCTGGTTTTGAAGAAATGAGGATAAGGCTGTTTGTTGCGGTGGGGAGCAAGGTTGGAATGCAGTGGTTGTAACCTGGGGAGAAATGTAGGCACCTGGTCAAGGGAGGAAGGTCATGTTTAGTTACTAGAATACGATCATAAAGTGAGACTGGAACTACCAAGGTCAAATTCCATCCCAAACACTTGTATTTCTGACTTGTATGTCCCTAAATTACCCCTGACTAGGGATATATGGGGTTCTGGTGTCTAAAGCAAGCCTCAACCTACAAGACAGAATGTCAAATGGCTTCAGCAGTCAGTAGTAGTGGTCCAGGGAGACAGGTAGGTCATTACACTGACAATACAATTCTGCTGAATGAACAAGAGGGTACAGCTTCCACAGGAGCCATTTGCTTGGTACGCTTATTAATTTCCAATGTGCCATTCTGGGATCTTTCCCAGAAATGTCATCCATGACTCCTGGGAGGAATTTTTCCAAGCAGGTGTCACTGCTTTGCTGCGAATAGACGGAGCTTCTGAAAGCAACAGGAGTTACCTTTCATGTACCAGGTATCCCAGGCAGAAGCAAAAGTGCCCAGCATATGAGAGGTTGTAGAAAATTTAACTAGGGTTTCCGTTTAGTTTTGCTTATAAACGGAAGATGATTTAAGTGGTTGTTTCATTGTTTTGTGAAAGTAATCCGAGCTACTAGCAGGGGCCACAGAGTCAAATTTACTGGGCCTAATACTTTAGAACAGCACCTTTTGTACGTTTTGCTGCTATTGGATCTTTTGTTCCAGTGGATTTTTAAGGGGAACTCATGACATGAAAACAGATGGAAGAGAAGCAGCTTTAGCTGGAGTAGGGTGGGAGGTCCACATCCTACTCAGGTTCATCTGTCACCCAGAGAGATTTTTTGGTGTGGTTTAAACACCATATACAGCTTGTAGTTCACTCAAAAAGAGTAGCTCGTTCATCAACTGACCAAGCTGAAATATTCTGAATATTGAAAAATCTCAGAAATTTTTTAGATATTTGAAATGTGGGACTTATCTGAAAGGACAAAAAGAAAGTCAGGTAAGTGGCTGTCCCAGTTATTAAATGCTTTTAAATAAATGATTCCAAGACTTAATGGCTTGAAATAACAACACTCATTTGATTTGCTCATGAATTGCATTGGGTAGGGTTTTGGAGGTATGGCTTGTCTGCTCTCATGGTGTCAGGCTAGGGTGGTCCATCTGGGGCTGGAGGAGCCACTTCCAACAGGGCTGACACATATGATTGGCAAATTGTCGCTGGCTGTTAACTGGAGGTACAGTTGGGGCTGTTGGTTTTGACTCCTGATTCATTTCCACATAGGCTTCTCCTTGGGCTACTTGAGCATCCACAGTGTGGCAACTGGGTTCCAAGAATGAGTTTTCCAAGAGGCAGCAGTGGAAGCTGCCAGTGTTGTAAGATCTCGGCTTGGAAACTGGCACGGCGTTACTTCCACCTTACTTCATTGGTCAAGGGAGTTCCAGAGCCCACTCACATTCAAGAAAAGGGCACCGAGAGCCCACCTCTTCATGGGAGGACTGTCAAAATTTTGTGGCCATCTTTAAACCACCATAGGGATCACCTCTCTCTTTTTCCCGTTTTCATATCATCATCCTCTTCCTCCTCCTTCCCCAGAATTGCAAAAATATGAGGAATTATTGCTACGTACCAGTTACTCTGTTCAGCGTCTCAGCATCACACAAGAGAGAAGAGACAATCACATATTCACAAGAGAAGCTTCATTACCTCTACAATCTATCACTGAAGAAAAGTCATTATTTACGATCGCTTATATTTAACATGTTTCAATATTGCCTATTACATAAGCTAGACACTAGATGGAAAACCAGGATCATTGAGACCCAGGACTTAATCTGTTATGAGTTTATAGTCAACAGCTTTGACATAAGACAGAATGTGACTAATTTTATTGTAGATCTGTAAGCAATGTGTTAGGAGAGCACAAACAAGGGGGAGACAGAGTTTGTCTTGGGATAAGTGGGGAAAAATTCATGGGGGAGGCAGCAGTTGAAAAAGCCTCAGATGAGGGCTGAGAATGAAGAACAGTCTAAGAGAGAGGACTTGGAGAGCAGAAGCTCAGAGGTTGGAAAGTGCCAGTTTTGTTTAGGGAATGATGCTCCAGTGTTTTGTTAGGAATCTGCCATGCATGAAGGAGCACTGTGGATGGTAATGTTGGAAAGATGGGCTGAGACCTTGTCAAAAGGTCACACAATTACATTTTTAAAGCTGTGATTTGGAATACTTTCAGTTCCTCGTATTTTATTTGAGAATAAAAAATTTGTCCTGTGCTCACGATGATGTGAGGTTCCACAACGCCATCCACAGCTGCTGTGAAAGGAAAGGAAATCTTGCTTCACAGTGGAGGATGGCTGGAGGTGTGGGGGTGGTTCTTCCTGCTGTCTTTGTCTGGCCACAGTGTGGCTGCATGATTTTGGAGACATTTTGTTTCCTGCTGAAAACTGTGAGTGAGGATTTTTGCCTTTTCCGATGCTTTTTTCTTTTACAGTCTCAAAGCCTTGCCTGCTGGTGTGGAAAAGGTTTCCAAAATAGCTATTGCTCACTTTGGGTAAGATGCCTATGGTCAGCTGGAGGAAAACTGAGCAGGATACAGAACTGAGGGTGTGAATAGCCTGCTGCTGTTCCTGGATCTGCTGCCAATTGACAGCCACATCTTGGAGAAGAAAAAAGAGAAGCAGATATACATAATATGGGATGAGGATGAAATAGGAAACTATTTTTGAAATTAGGGGTCAGGATACTGGGGTATCATTTGCAGTTTAGGGGTTGAGGGTAAAGGAAGTGTTGGAGTGGTTATTCCAATTAGAATATAATGTCATATCAGAGGAGTTGCAATAAAGAATATAGGAAATCCCTTCAGAGGGAAATAAGAGTCTGAAATAGGTCATTAGTGGGTGACAGCAAGGCTTGCAAATGTTTTGAGAAAAAAGATGAAATACTTTGACAGCTATGAAGACATAGAAAACTTAAAAAAAGGAAACAACCCTTCAAAAACTTTATTTTGATATTCTTAAAGTCTGATAGAAAAATTGGAGAAGGTCTTTAGGCAAGAGGGTAGAATCATGGAAATAGGATAACTAATGCATTTTTCATCCTTTTTACTTTTTTAGCTTCTATACTTGTGGATGAACACAAATATAATTAAAATGAAAACAACATATTAAACCCTACTTTTTGGCATTTCAGATATGAAGACACAGGTCTCTACACTGCCAAGTGACTTTTCACTCACTGGGTTATGTGATCACAAGTGCCCATTCAAAAGGAACCTACATGAAGTCACTTTTTGAGGAGTGCAGTTTCCCAGGTCAATTGCAGGTTGACAGGGAATTTACTATGTGCATGTTGGTGTTTCCCCCTCCCCAAAGTCGTGGCCTATCTGGGGCTTGTATCAGAACTCTACATACAGTTCTCACCGCACTGTGTGGTTATCTGGTTTATTTTTGTTTTCTTTTCTACTCTATTTCTCTCTTGTTCTCCTCTCAACTCAAGATATAAGTTTCACAAGAGCAGGGACCTTGCCTGTGCTGTTCACTGCTGAATTCAAGTGCATAACAGCATAGTGGTGGGCTCACAGTACCCACTCCATAAAGAGTGGTTTAATGAATGAATGGCACTGCCCTCACTTAGAGCTGATCTTTCCATAACTTTTGAAAGAAGAGCTTTCCTCCTTACAATGTAACTGTCCAGAAATTGTCTCCATTTAGAAATGTACCAATAAGCAGAGAATGAAAAGGAAGAGAAGTGTGGTTATAGACAGCAGTAGCACCTCTAGCACTGAGAAGCAAAAGGCAGTTGGGTACCAAGGTGAGATGTATTGTCTTTGTAAGGGTGACAAGGCCGAGTGGACAAAAGGATTATAAATACTACACATTGCATGATGCCACACACCTTTCATAGGAATGTCTCTTGCATTTTGCTCATCTAAAGTCCTCAAGGGCAAAGCAGGAAGACAGGGTAGGTATCAGCCCCAGAGTACACAGGAGAAATGATCACTGGGGAGTCAGGAGAGCAGGCTGCTAGTGGAGCTCGCATCAGAATCCAGGTCTTCTCATGCTATTGAGGTCAGGGCTTCTCTCACCAATTGTAGGGGATGCAAGAGGCTGACATTCTTTCCTAGGATACAACAACCTCATATCTGCAAGATGAACAATGAGAATTTGGAAGAATAATTTTGCAGAAGATGGGAAGATATTTTGGCTGTCTGTGTGAGGGGACAATCAGGAGTCACCAATGTGAATAACTAAAGGTTTTAAGGTAATGCCCAGCTTTCAGGTTTCTGGGCTCAATTCAGACAGATGGGTTGAGGCCCTGAAGAAAATATAAACCAGTTCTGTTTGCTTTTTTGCATGTTTTTTTTTTTTAACTTTAAAAAACATGTCCAAGTGTCAGACGTATTCCAACCAGAGAAACTCCATCTTGAGTGAGGACTAGGAAAATGAGGTTGGGACTTGCTACGCTGCATTCCCAGAAAGTTAGGTACTGCTAGCCTCTGGTGTTTACAGTTAAGGGAACAGATTGATAACATTTACTAAACAGACCCAGACTTAGAAGTGTACTGATATCCTGGTATCTTGAGAACAGAAGCATTCCTAATTTTGCTTTAAGGATAATAATATCGATTCTCGCAAAATATAATAATGAAGAAAATTAATCATTTATCACAAACCCTCGTAGCAAAGCACATCTCCCCATGATTTTTTTTTAAATCTTATATATAAACAAGTATTGTACCTAGGGTGGACGCATTCCTCCTCTTACTTTCCGGAATGTCCTACTCTGTTTACAGGATAGCTGTCTTTCAAAACTTTGTTTTCTTAATAAACTTGCTTTTGCTTTGCACCATGGACTCGCCCTGAATTCTTTCTTGCATGAGATCCAAGAACCCTCTCTTGGGGTCTAGACTGGGACTTCTTTCTGGTAACATGAGGAGCTGAACTCCTGGGAGGCATGGGGCCATTTGATTGGTTGTTATTTGAGGCCATTTCCTTTATAAACCTGAAATACAAAGGCAAGTAATGCATCTCTCATATTTCTCATCTGAGGGCTGTCAAACTTTCCCTGGGACTGAGACCCCAGGGTTTATGCTGCATCACCTGTACAGGGTAGAAGAGTCCTCTCTCCAGGCTCCACAGTGTGACTGTGCCTGGGTGCAAGCAGCAGAGTGGCTCTCTGTGTCTCTGGTAGGCCGTGCAAAGGCCACACCTCTTGCAAGAGCCCACTCACAGGAGGCATTATAAATATAAACTGATACACAGTGATGCCACAGTAATTTTGTAAACTAAAGGTTATAATGTTTGAGGAGGTGGGAAAAGTGTTTCTCTTGGTTCAGCCAAAAGCACATCCAGGAAATGTGCATGAAGTTGATTTCTCTTCCCCATCACTAAAAGCCTACATAGAACCTTAGCAGGAACTTAGAGATAATTTACATGAGGAAACTTACTATAGTGGCAGTACACTAACACGTTGGACTTTCATTTTTTTAAAAAGGTATTTTAACTTGTTACCAAAAACATTGCAGTTGAGATAAGGTCTTTTGAATTTCTGTGGATTTGCTTGGCTCCTTTTTTGCCATGTTCTCATATGAAACACGGTAGGGTATTTTCTGCTCCACATTTTAATTATTCTTTCAACTCTATTTATCTGTTAGAAAGCAGAGATTCTTAATTGCTTTAAAGAGAAGACAACATTAAAACCCAGAGTAGGTCAGAAGAATCCTGGTAAGTGACTGTTTCACTTCGAATGGGATTGTTTGGAATTCTAAAGTCCTCTAACTTCTCATCCTTAAATACCTTTTGAAGATGAATTACAGGCATGCATGCCAGAGTAAAGTACTAGGTCAGTTCCTAACCATCTATGGATAACTGACATCCACAGACAATAACAGCATCTTCTCTCCATCCAGCAATTTTATTCCTTCCACCCACCCACTCCTTACCTAATATTTGTTGGAACTCTTAAGAGGAAGCAAACTGACATTTATTCATGTTTCCCCATTAGATTTGTTTTCTGATATGAAGCAAAATGGACAAAAAGGCAAGTGACAGAAAAGAAAAGAGGAAAGGGGGACAGTGGGACATTAAGTCGCTGATTGGAATGTGTTCACTGCCCAGTCACAACAGTGTTCAGTCCTATTGGAGCTACGCAGACCCCAGGGCTTTTCCTGCATGGCCTACAGCTCTTGCCAGCCAAGAGGAGCTGTATGCTTGTCCGAGCAAGAGCGACCCTCTGGTGCTTCAAGTTGGCTGCTCATTTGTCAAATGGATTCAAATGCAAATGTTCTTTGGTATTCTGGAGGCTCTCAGCTAGGGTTTTTTGGGGCCCTTTGTGGAATCTGATGAATCAATCCACCTTCTCCTTGATGCCTGCTGAGTCACCCTCTCCGCTGCTCCTTTCTGTGGTCGGAAAGGTAAATGAAAATCCCATTATTCAGCCCATGCTATTGTGATGGCAGTTTCCTTTGAGCCTCTTGGCAAAACCCTGCTTGCTTTAGAACTGTACATCATATTGGATCCATTGAGAGCCATTATGTATCTGACAGGATATTTATAAAAGCCGTCATTAGCTGCAGCTCCAAGTCAATATGTTTCTCTCTTGCTGACACACATCACACCAACAGGCTTGAAATATTTAAATACAATAGTCCCTTCAAGAAATCATTAATTTTTCTATCACTCTTAGAAGTGATAATTTGATGGAAATGGATTTAGTTGAAATAGCTGAGCTGACTGGAGTGGATACTTTAAAGTGCCCAGACTTCAGAGAAGTCAGCCTAGGACACAGTGAGGGTCCACTGAGGACCAGAACCCAGAGCCCTGGGGGCAGCAGCACTGCTACAGCCTGCTCACCTCCAGTGCCACCCCACCCACTTCAGTGGGGAAGACGCATGCTCCGAAGGAAAACGTTTAACTATCAAGGAGAAGAAATGAAACAGGGACGAACCACCTCATTACTGGCCGCGTCCCTGTCTCTTTTTGTCCCCGCCTGTCTCCCTCCTGCTTCTCTTCTCCCTCACACTCCTTTGCCCTCCTCTCTCTTTTATCCCCCTGTCTATTTTTCTCGGCTTCTTCCCTGGTTCATCTCCTGCGCTTTGATCTTCCTCCTCCCTTATTCACATTCCCTGCTGTGTGTGGCTGCACTGAAATTGAGGATGTCTTAAGTGTCTCCCTCAGGGTCTCTGCTCCTGCTAGGGGAGGGGTCCAGGACAGTGTTTCTGCATCTGGCCATTGGCTCAATCCCTCTCCAGGGTTCCTCATACATAATTAATGCAGAAAGTGTCTGTGACCCTTCGCAATACAGGACAGGAGTCAAGCTGCGAGAGTTTCTGGATGGATAAAGGACTTGGACCTTGTCTGGAATGTACTGTACCTTCTGTTCTTCAGTATATTTCCCAACCGAAGGAAAGAGGTCTGCAATTGTGTGATCTCCAAGCTAGCATTATGTTCCTTCATAAAAGCAGCATCGGAGCCTTTTCTGCACCAGAAATGGTTCATCTGCTTTGAAGATGGGGCAAGAAGTAAGAGAGAAGATATGTTTTCTTGTGTATTTCTTAATGACAATTCTAGGTGAGACAGGAAAAAAAAAAGAAGAAAATTCTGTGTAGAGTTAAATTGTCATGTTGGGTTGTGCCTTGGAATTTTCCTCTCAGTTAGATTCATTGTTAAGGAAATCAGAAGCTTAGAGGAGCCACAGGCAGCATGATGAGGAGGATGATGAGGAGGCTCCCCACAGCTGCCTCCTGCAGTGCTGTCCACCCACTGAGTCCAACTAGCTACCAGGACGCTCGCCTCATTCCTCTCCTGCTCCATTGTCAGAAAACCCAAAAATCTCCTAATGCATTTCTTCTGTTTCTCTTCTGACTTATTATTGTCAATTTATAATTGTTGTTGACTCCAAGCTCTGGGGCCATTACAGAGAGATAGAAAGGGAAAGACAGAGAAAGAGAAAAAGAAATGCTTTCTGAGTTCAAAAATCTACATATTTGGATTTAGCTGGGGAGAGAGAAAGTGGTTAACAACTACAAGCAATTTACAGTTAAAAGAGTAAAGTGTAAGCAAAGAGGAGGGAAATCACTCTAAGCTGGAGTGGAAAATGTTTCCAGTAGGAGGCCGGCACCTGAGTTTCTTACACTGCCATGCAGTCTTGAAGATTTTTGAGTTATCCTCAAGAGGTTTTACATTTTGAATTTTTATTTGGATAATAAAAAAATCAGGTTATAGTCTAAATGACCACCCTGTCTCCAGATCCTGCTCTTTCAGTGCCTGATGGTGTTGAGGATGAAATTGGCAATAAGTATTATGACTTTAGCTATACTGGCTGGTGAATAGAGGTTGTCTTCATTTGCAAAAGACACATTTGGATCACTTGAAGGTCAGATGGTATTACTAAGCCACGTGCAAACGAAGACTTAAATAAATTTGAATATACTGCTGGGCGTGGTGGCTCACACCTGTAATCCCAGCACTTTGGGAGGCCAAGGCGGGTGGATTACAAGGTCAGGAGATCGAGACCATCCTGGCTAACACAGTGAAACACCACCTCTACTAAAAAACAAAAAATTAGCTGGGCGTGGTGGCAGGCACCTGTAGTCCCAGCTACTGGGGAGGCTGAGGCAGGAGAATGGCTGAACCTGGGAGGCGGAGCTTGCAGTGAGCCGAGATCGCGCCACTGCACTCCAGCCTGGGAGACAGCGAGACTCCGCCTCAAAAAAATAAATAAATAAATAAATAAATTTGAATATAAATGTATCTCTCCCCTCTGCCCCCTCAATATCCTAAGGTAAAATTTGGAGATAACTTTGCCTTCCTTATATTGATAAGATTAGTCAGCTGGCTGAGGTAGAAGTAGATGCTAAAATGGAGGGTTTGCATTGGAGAAGGCTCAGATTGGTCCAAATAAGAAAAGAGAGAGGGCAGAAGGAGCAGGGAGAAAATAAGTAAATATTTGGAGCCTCTCAGAGAGTTTGGGTGGGAAATTGAGGATGAGAAAGAAAGAAAAGATTTAGGCCAATTTTGGTCTGAAAAATCCAGAAAATAATTTAAAAAAAAAGAAGAAAATAGGAGTTTTAAAAAAGTTGCTCAAAGTTATAAACCGGATCTTGTACACTTCTTCTGGGACCTCAGAAGAATTAAAACTCTCAGCTGGAAGCTCAGGTCCACTAGGAATTGAGCAGCGATTAAAGAAAGCTTTGAGTAGGTTGACATATTTTCCTCATACTATTCACATAAAATTTTTAAAAAGGCTGAATGTTTAAAGCCTCTAAGTGTTCCCAGACTAAACCGAGGGTTGGGCTGCTTGTTCTCATGGTCCAATAATGAGATGCAGATGAACTGGGAAAGAAGAGTTTATTTCTGTAACCAGGTATAGGGAGAAGGCCAGGGATAATTCACCAGACCAACTTAAAGTTACAAAGTTTTTCCAGTGCTTATATACCTTCTAAGCACTGAGTCTATGTTGATAAAAGAAAAACTTCAGCCAAATTAAATTTAAAGGAGTTTACTTGAGCAATGAATGATTCGCGAATCAGGCAGCCCCCAGAATCACAGCAGATTCACAGAGAGTCCAGCACAGCCACGAGGTGTTAGGAGATTTATAGACAGAAAAGGAAAATGACGTACAGAAATCGGCAGTGAGGTACAGAATGGCTGGATTGGTTACAGCTCGGCGTTTGCCTTATTTGAACACAGTTTGAACACTCAGCAGTGTATGAGTGGTTGAAGTATGGCCACTGGGATTGGCCAAGACTCAGCTATAGTTATACGCACATACTAGTAAGTTCGGTTTTCAATCTTATCTACCTATTTAGCTAGGTTGCAATTTGTCCACAAGGACTCAAATATAGAAGTATGGTGTCCTTCTCGGGCCATATTTAGTTTGCTTTAACAACATGCAAGTGTGCATTCATCTAAAGACGCAAGTGATTGATTCAATGTAATCTATAACTAAGGTCTGGGTCCTGGCAATCATTTTCTAGAGCCTCAGTAAATTTACTTAATTTAGATGGGTCCTGGTACCAAAGGTGATCACCCTTATCTTGTCTCCAGCTAAGGTAAGGAGGTCAGGGGAGTTTCTTTAGATCCCCAGTAAAACTTGTTTAATCGTAGATGGGTCCTGGTATGAGGAGTGTAAGAATTCCTTCATTATCTCGACATGCTTCAAGGCCCAGGAAAGGCCTGAGCAAGACTCTTGGTGGGCTTCTGTTACATTCCAGCCTTTGTGTAAGGCTCTTTCAGCCTTTAATATTTAACTTAACCATTCAGTCAGTGCTGAAACAGTTTTCATGGAGGCCTGCCTGTTCAACTGAGACCTGGCCTGCCGCTTTGGAAATTTCCTTACATGGCATAAAAATTAGGAGGTAGGATGAGGAAGCATGAGGTGGAGGCAGCTGGATACCAGTGAAGTGTATGGCAGGGCATAACTCAAGAATATTTTTTCAAGGAAAGATGAAGATGTAGCTCAAATAGAAAAGTCTGATTGGCTTGGGGAGATTTGAACATGAGTTAGGGCTCATTAAGTAGATGACCCTTAGATGGAAAAATCTGCCATTTTAGGTTCATTTTGAAGCCTGGTACTTGTCATGTTCCCACTGCTGGTGGCTAGTACTTCATATAATGGCATTTTTCATTTTTGAGGGTTTTGAATAGAAAAGCAGAGTGTTCAAAAACCATTAAAGCTGCTCCAGGAAGCTGTAGAGCATTCAAAGAATCGCTTTCTTTGAAATCAAGGATTAGAAGGAAGCCCTTCTAGATTTAAAAAATTGGAGTCACTATGCTTTGTACTTTTGGAGACTCCATAACTATCCATTGTTATATGATTGTTTAGTAATCCAGGCAGGATTACAGGGTTAGTTTGATTCCGCAAGGTATCTTGGTCACAGTGATAAAATGCTTGGCACAGACACCTGTACCAGTCTGTTTACCATGGAGTGGAAAGATGCTTTAAAACTGGGCAAGAACTCAGCAACAACACAATGCCATATTTTTTGGACAGCATGATGGAAGCTCATCAAATTTCTCAGCCAGTTCTGAAGTGAGTTTAAAGTTGGTGATCTTTTTTTTATTATTACTATGGTTGATAGTTCCAGTGAGTGCTTTTTTCAGCAACCATGAGACTATATTAAAAATCTGCAGAAGAAACTAGCTTTTGCTAGACACAATAATGTACATATGCCCAGTTTTTCTTTTCTTTCTATTTTAAAGCTTCTGGCTTTTTATGCTTTTGGAACAGCAACCTACACATTTGTTAATGAAATGCCTAAATTAGAGGGCCAGTTCTGCTCTAAATGCATGGCTCTTCTGACTACCTAGATTCCAAACACTGGAAGCAATAAGAAAACTGTTCCAAATACCTCTTTGTCATTGTCTGGAAGTGTATATTTTCAGGAGACTGGCCAAAAGCAAAGTCTTGTCTAATTATTTTGCAGACTATTTTATCTACTTTTTCCAACAATACAGCATGCCATGATGGCGTTTGATCTTAACTTTGTCCAAGCGCATCATTTATATATTATCCACCTCCTTGTTTTTTCTTTTCTCATTCATTCGTGACAATTAAAGTAATGGCCTTTGGCATCAGTTATATCATAAATATAGATTTAAGCAAGGACAATGAAATAACAAAGCATTTCTGTCTTGTATGAGTGTAAGGTGGCCATCTTGCTCCATATTTAAATTATATGGATAAGTTATCATCTCCTTCTTGTCAGGAACCTGGATATGATGCCTGGCGATGCAGTAGCCATCTTGCAACCATGAGGTAACAAGCATAACAAAGACCTGCATGCTAAGGTGGTGGAGTGGAAAGATATAGGAGCTTAGTCCTTGATGAAATCATTGAGCTACTTGATCAGCCTTGGATTGTTCACTCCTGGACTCAAGTTGTTGAGACATCTATCAGTTAAAGTTGCTATAGCAGGGTTTTCTGCTAATTGTGTAAGAATACAATCCTAAGTGCTATTACTAGATTGTTCATATCTATTTGATGGTGTTCTTTCTTCAGTAAGGTGAGAAAGTAATTGATGAGCAGCTTCTGTATATGATCTTTCCATATAGTTTTATACTGTTATGAGCTACCCTCAGCTTCATTTCTGAGTTAACTAAGCCCAGTATCCTTCTGATTTTCTGCTGTATGGCCCAGCACCATCTGAAGTCTTTATACTACACAGAACAAGAGTTAGGGCTCAGGTTGGGAGCTATCTATAGTTGAGCATAATGGATGGTTGTAGTTTTCAACATGTGAATGGACATGTTGAAGTGTCCTAATTAGACACCTGGAGTCATTGTTATTTCATGAAAAGAAGCATTTTGTGGCTGACTGGATGTAGTCAGCGAAATTTTTCTTATGGCATATCCAAATGTCATGCTTCATTTGATTTGCATATCATATTTTTTTCACCTTCAGTACATACATTATTTACACATTTAATATTTTATTAATGTGTCCTCAAAATAACCTGGATGGGCATAAATACTGATGGGAGTTAAATAATCGAGATTTAATCACAGTGATTTAACACCATAATTCTTCCTTTTGGAATTAAATATTATGTTGCTTTGGTTGTGATTATTATTAGGCATATTAAACACCCTTGTAGTTATTACATGTTAATTATCTTTTCCGTTTTGGATGAAAAATTGAGATAAACGTATTGGAAATACATGCCTTGAAAATACAACAGTCGTATTTCATTTGAATATGAAATTTTGTTACTGAGTTAAAAAAAACTCACAAAATTTTGAAGTCAGTTCTGACTGTAGACATTCCCTCTTTGGGGCATATTAGTGACTGTTGGAGTTGTAAGGCAGGATGAGGTTCCAGCAGAATGGTCATTTTGTTAGCAGAACACGTAGAGGAAGAGAACCTGGGACTGACGCAGGGAGCAGAAACTAGAGAAAGTGGATTTGCTCTTCATAATAAAGTAAGGATAATTATTTTTCTGCTGTCATGGGGGAAGAAAAAAGGGAAAAAATGAGGATTGAGCAAATTAGTGTATGTCTGGAGTGTAGCCTTTGGAAATGTCTGAAAATATTTTAATAACAGCTTTATTGAGATATAACTCACATACCAAAAAATTCACCCTTTAAAAACATACAATTCAGTGTTTTTAGTATATTTACAGTTTGGTGCAACCATCACTGCTGTTTAATTTTAGAACATTTTCATTACTCTCAAAGGAAGCCATGTACCCATTACCAGTCAATTCCCCAATCTCCATACAATCCATAGAATGGAATATTGTTCTCTCTGTCCCTGGCAATTGGTAATTTAGCTTCTGTCTCAGTGGGTTTGCCTGTTCTGCATATCTCATATAAATGGATTCATAAAATAATATGTGGTCTTTTATGACTGGCTTCTTTTACTTAGCATATTGTTTACAATGTTCACTCATTTTGTAGGATGGACCAGAACATTTTAATTGTGGAACAATATTCCATTGTATGGATAAATCTCATTTTGTTTGCCTATTTATCAGTTAATAGACATTTGGGTTGTTTCTACTTTTTGGCTATTATGAATAATGCTGCTATGAACATTCATGTACAAGTTTTTGTGTAGACTGACAATGATTGTCTCTTTGGCCAAGGCTTAGTCAGGATCCTCTGAGCCCTCTTCTCAACTAGGCCTTGACCATGGCCCCATCCTTGCCAGGTCTGCATACCCCAGTTTTAGCTAGAATCCTGCTGAATCAGTTTAGCAATAATCCTCCTGTCTTTCATATCTGATCATGCTTGATATTTGATAAAGTTCCTCATCTCTTCCCTTTGATGTATGAGTCCTTGATCTGCTGTATCACTCTGTTATCATGCTGCTATAAATAAATACCTGAGACTGGGTAATTTATAAAGAAAAGAGGTTTAATTGGCTCATGGTTCCATAGGCTATACAGGAAGCATGGTGCTGGCATCTGGTCATCTTTTGGGGTGGCCTCAGGAAAATTACAATCATGGTGGAAGGCAAAGGGGAAGCTAGCACTTCACATTGCTGGAGCAGGAGGAAGCGGCGGTGGGGGTAGGTACTACCCACTTTTAAACAACCAGATCCCATGAGAACTCACTCACTATTCAGTACCAAGGAGGGATGGTGCTAACCCATTCATGAGAACTCCACCCCATGATCCAATCACTTCCCACTAGGCCCCACCTCCAACATTGGGGATTACATTTCAACATGAGATTTGGGTGGGGACAAAGATTTAAACCATGTCACCTGCCTTTAGCAAGAATGTCGATAAGTTGGTTTAGCTAGAACCCCCTACATTTGATATCTCCTCTTCATAATTTTCCATCCATTGACCCCCTCACTCTTTTTGTTGGCCATGGATTCCTGGTTGTCTTTGCTGTATTTACACTTGAGTCCTATCTCTGTCTTGATGCCTATTGTAATAATCCTGAATAAAATCTTCCTTACCATTTTAACAACTGTCAGAATAATTTTTTCTTTAACTGGACATATGTTTTCATTTCTCTTGGGTATATTCCTAGGAGTGGAATTGTGGAGTTATATGTTAACTCTATATTTAACATTTTGAGGAACTACTAAGCTGTTTTCCAAAGTGGCTGCACCATTTTACATTCCCACCATCTATGGATGGAAGTTTCAACTTCTCAATAATCTCACCAACACTTGTTATTGTCTGCTGAGAAAATATTTTAATAACACAAAAGCCAAATGTTAATTTTTTGAGTTTTGTTGCTGTTCTGTAGTTTGATTTCCTTTGGTAGAGTCTTCTGTGTCATAAGTGGTGTGTGCAGTGAGCTTATGGAAAGGAGTAAGTGATTGACACCACTTCTGCAGAGGTCTGGCCCTGGAAGAAGAAAATGGGAGTGACAGTGAGGCTTGGGTGAGGCTCACATCAGGATTAGGCACCCCAAAACAGAACCCCAGGGGAAGAGTGCACAGAAACCAAGGGAGAATGTGGGATGGGCTGTTTCATTTGGTATCTGGGTGATATTTTAGAGACATGTGGAATATGCTTAGAAGAATTGCTGGCACATCCTAACTGCCTAGTAACTGCCTAGTTGTTTTCTTTCTCTTGACTTTCTTTCACAAAAACTCTCATAATATTCTACTTATTAAAAAAACTACATTTGCAACTATCCTTGAATCAAAGACCTGCTTCCTGGCAAAGGCAAATAACATCTGTGATATTGTGAAATATATATTTGGTCTTGGTCCTACTTCCTGTCACACAGCTCCTAAAACTCAGGATCTCCAGTTGGATAAGAGTGACTTTTTTATGGTAACGAGATGACTGGTGTCTGGGGATCCCTAGATGGCTTCAGGATGGGGGCTGATTACCAGAAATGCTGAAGCATGACTAAAGGTTTTGGACTTTCATCCCTATCCCCTACCTTCTGGGGAGGGGAGAAGGGCTGAAGGCTGAGTGATTACCAATGGCCAATGATGTAATCAACCACAGAGTTGTGAGTGCTTTCAGATGGCTGAACACGGGGAGGTTCCTGGAGGGTGGCAGGCTGAGAAGCTCTACTTCCCTTCCTACATACTTTGCCCTATGCATCTCTTCCATCTGGCTGTTCATCTGTATTTTTTGTAATATCCTCTGAATATCACGTTTTAAATAAAATAATTTAAATTTTGCTTTGATAAAATTTGCCATATTTTGTTATATTGTTGACATAGTTAAACTTATTTTAGAAGGTAGCAAAACCAAGATTAAGAATGACTGTTTTTCACAGAATTTAGACACAATCTGCCTTCAACTCTGTTCACCGTATACTCTCCAGTTGCCAACTCTGTTCTCAAAGGACAAGGAAGGAAATAAGAGAAAAGAACAAGCACCCAGATGAATAGGACCCCTTCCACACATATTATTGCTTTTCTAAATGTGTTCCTGTGTGTGTGCACATATGAGCAGACACTGGAACTTTTTCTTTAAGCGCTGTGAGTGCAAGATTATGGTAACTCTTTTCTCATATCCATAACCCCACTATGTGCTCTGCCACTGTGGGGATGGGCACACACGTTTGATTGATTCTCTCAACTTCTGCTCACTCGGTTGTTAAAGGTCTCAATAACTAAACAGCTTTCTCTCTGTAACACGTATTTTTTCATAAGTCATATATGGCACATTTACTTTCTTTTGAAATAGGCTATTTTACAGGCAAAATGTTGTACATCAATTACTTCATTTAAAAATGTTTCTTTCCAGAAGTTGAAGAAGAACAACAAAAGAACCCATAATCTTATTGATTGGGATGTGTTGAAAATTTTAACTGAAGTATATTTTTTATAGCACTGAAATTCAATGCCTTTGAAGTAGGAAGTAGACGGTTTTCCATGAAGACAGAAAGCTTTTAATTAATATTCATAAGAATTGATATGTATAATTTTGGTCACTGGAGGACTACTATAGTTTCCCATTGATGCAATAGAAATATATTGAGGACAACAAAAAAGTAATTAACAACTGAATATGAGGGTCATAAAGTTAAATTATTCCCTAGTTCATAGTACACTCTTCATGCATACAGAATTATTTTCTGAAAGTAAGACGATACGAATGTCATGTTTTTCTTCATCTCTAAATTGTGTATTTAATGTTTTTCTTGAACAAAGACTACTTTGGGTACAATAAAGATAATTAAATGCTGAATACAGAAGCTCGAATGTTGTGAGGAATTTAGGAATAATGGTAAGAGATAATAGATAAAACATAAATTCCACTCTATTTAAATTTCTTATTTCTGAAATGTATAAAGTATTATTTAAACTTAGATACTTGGAGCATTATAGTGATTGAAATTGTCACATGGAAATCTGTGTTCTGATCCTGACTGAACAGGTGAAAATCAATAAGCCATTTTTGTGTTCATAGGCCAGCAAATAAATACGTATTCAATTCAGTTTAGTTCAGTTCGACATAGTTATAGAGTGCTTTTTTTTTTTTAAGGTAACTGGTAGTACTGAAAGATTCAGTTCCTTTCCTCAGGAAGCTTAAGAAGAAATGCATGAATGTGATTGCAGAAAGCTATGGTGTACAGTGCCGATAAGCATTCGACATCTTTTCTCCCTTTGTTTGTTTTTCATTATTTAAATATGCATTCCAGAATAGTTCTCTGGGTACCAATAAAGCTGATAGGTAAAATATAACTTGTGGCATATGACAATGCTTATTTGGAACTATGTTCCCTTTTTAGATGCAGTCTAAAACTTTCCTGTCTTTATGATTTGCTAATTACACAATAAAAAATATGAAAAGGGATGGTTTTCCTAGGCACCAGATGCCACATCAGAGGCTGGTTATACAGAGATGTTGTTACACAGATCCCAGTGTGTTTAAGTCACATTGTAGCTATTGAAACATAATATCTAAGATAACTTACAAGTGTGGGAATTTGCATATTGTGATGTGATTTTCTGTGGTCCTAACTGTTCCCTCTAAGAGATCATCTTCCATGTTTACTCAACTCCATGTTCACTGCCAAGGTGAGCAGTGACATGAGCCTTGAGTGGGAAGGGGAAGAGGAGGTATGTTATGGAAAGACATTTACATATTTTATCCTGGAACCCCATCTGTGCCTGTTGGGGGATGGGGTGCGCGGCAAGGAGGGAGTTAGTGAGATGAAGTAGAAGGGGAAAAAGCACCCAAAGGACTAAGCTCCTCATTTTCACCCTACCAGCTGCATGTTCTATTACTTAGAGTGTAATTTCAGTTATCCAACTTCTCTAATACACTGTTTCTTCTCTGAGGGCTAAAGCCAGTTGTATTAGTCCATTTTCAAACTGCTATAAAGAGATACCTGAGACTGGGTAATTTATAAAGGAAAGAGGTTTAATTGACTTGCAGCTCTGCGTGGCTGGGAAGCCCTCAGAAAACTTACAATCATGGTGGAAGGTGAAGCAGGAGGGAACACAAACACATGGCAGCAGAAGAGAGAAGAGTGAGTGAAGGAGGAACTTGTTAAACACTTATAAAACCATTAGGCCTCATGAGAACTCACTATCATGAGAACAGCATGGGGAAAACTGACCCCATGATCCAGTCACTTCCTACCAGGTTCCTCTGTCAACACCTATGGATTACAATTCAAGATGAGATTTGGGTGGGAACATAAAGCCTAACCATATCACCAGTTATTCCAATATTCAAATCGTCAAGGCAAGGGGTTAAGAGACATGTGGAACATGAGTGTGGGTAATGGCAGGGAGGTGAAAGGGGTGATGTGGGTGTGGAAGTGGATGGAGAGCTTTGGACATGGAAGGAAGAAGACGGTGTTGGGTTGAATGCTCTGGGGTCAGAGAGTAGTAGGTGTTCTGGGCTGAATTGTGTCCTCCCACAATTCGCATGCTGACGCCCAAACCCTAGTACCTCAGGAAGTGACTATTTTTGGAGACAGGGTCTTTAAAGAGGTAGTTAAGGTAAAATGGGATCATTGGGATGGGCTCTATTCTAATATGGCTGGTGTGCTAGTAAGGAGAAAAGATTGAGATGCAGACAACACACAGACTGAGGGACAGCCACTTGAGGACAGAGGGAGAAGATGGACACTTACGAGCCAAGGAGAGAAGCCTTAGAAGAAAGAACCCTGCTGAAATCTTGATATTGAATTTCCAACACCCAGAATTGTGAGAAAATAAATGTTGTTTAAGCCACTCAGTCTGTGGCACTTTGTTACAGCAACCCAAGCAAACTAATGTAGTAGGAGACCAAGGAAGTGAGATTGGTTCCTAAGGAAGTGGGATCACTTCTCCCGCAGCAGGTGGTATGTGGCTGAACACCACTGGGAGGTGGTTGAGGTCTGAATGCAGAGAGTGTCAGACTCATTTGCAAGGCTGTGGAAGCTTGTTTCTGAACCCTCAGGCCAGGCTACTCCAGCTGTGCTCTCCAGGAGAGTTGCATTTTTTCCAGGTTCTACACCTGCTCTGCATTTTTTGGAAGGAAGTAAGGAGTCATAATAAAATAGAGGAAGGGGAAAGGCGATCATTCCTGTGGCCTTCCAGGGAGCAGGCAGTGAGGAGATGCATTGCCTATAGAGATTTTAAAACCAGCTATAAAACTGCCTATGAGTTGGTGTGCTTCTTATTGTCACCCTGCTCCAGCAATTTCAAACAATTTCAGAGGTAAAATACTGCAAAGGAAATATTTTGTAGGCCTAAGTGCTAAATAATTGCTATGGGTACTGTTGAATTTTATGAATGTATATCAATGCTTCCAATTGAACATATTTTTACTACCTTGTTCTTTAATAAAAATTTCAATCTGCATGGAAGTTAATTTGGAGTATATGGGAGACCCTGCTGTAGGCCAAGTCAGCTATAAGCATTGGTTTTGAGAGTAATTCATTAGGGCTCAGGATTGGGTGAGCTGCTAGCAGTGCAGTTTTTGTCTCCCCGCCCTGTGGTACTTCATGTTACTGCTTTTAAACAGTAAGTTACAAATTAACAGTGATAGCACATGATCATAAAGATGAAGAAAGGTAACAAGTTACTTCAATTCTATGATCTTCTGTGACCAGTTGGAGTTTTTGCTTTTGTCTAATACTTTAAAAAGTCAAAACAAATGTGAACTGTGAGGTGTAATATTTTTGTTTAGTAAGTGCACACATAGTCCAAACATGAAATATTTTGCTAAATTTGAATACTATCATGAAAATTAAAATTAATATTAAAAATTCCTTTAAACTAGTACTTTTTAAAAACTACAGGACACCTCAAGAGAATAATGGTTCTTACAGAATAAGAACCATTTGTGGGCTGGAGGAAAGAGGTATTAAAAAATAGTCTTTTCTGAGTGTTTAATACGTCAGCTTCATCACTGGTTACCCCTTGTTTCTGTTCCTCTCTATTATCTTTAAAGAGGGTAGAGCATTGATCTGATTTCTGTTTTTGAGATGAGGTTTAGACCTCACGCCCTGTGAGCTTAGACATTAACCAACTAGGGGAATGCAAATTATATTTTCTCACATAGGCGTTATAGACATTCAAACATAAGGTGTACCAAGGCCCAGATTAACGTTAGATTAATTTGCTCTTTACTGGTTCATTCCATATACTCTCCTTGAGGGCTGACTCTGTGTCTGACACTTTGCTAGATACTAATTCCTGCTTTTGAGAAAACATAGTTTGATTGGAGTGACAGATATTCAAGCAAATAACTGTGACACAGAGTAGGAACATGAAGAGCATGAAGTAAAGAGCAAGTAATTAGTCCTGTTGAGTTGAGAACAGATGATGATTTTTCAGCTGGTTTTAAAAAAAGTGGTTCTTTGCCAGGAAAAGCTAGGGCAAAGCATTATAGGGAATGCTTTGGGAAGAGCATATGAAACTATGGAAGCATGGAAGTCCATGGAGAGACTGGGGGGAGCAGTGGGTAGCTGGTTCTCTGCTGGGCACAGTGGGAGTCTCCCTAGATGAGGCTGGTGGATGGCAGGGACTGGGCTTTATTCCAAAGTCTGTCTGTGGGGCCAGCAAATGATTTATTGAAGAAGGACGACTTGAACAGAACGAGTTTTGGAAATAGTGCTCAGGTAGTATTGCATTGGAATGGGGAGGTCAAAGGACGGGAGAAACATCAGTAGGCAAGTTTTCTGTTACCTGCCCACAAATGAGGCAGGTCCAGCAGCTGGTACCAGTGTCTCCGAAGAAGCTCTGTATCAGCAGATGTGTCCCAGAGTCCCAGGCCCTGCTTCTCACCTTTTCCACAGGGATAAACTATCACGTTCACTTTGGGAGGCAGAGGTGGGTGGATCACTTGAGACCAGGAGTCCAAGACCAGCCTAGCCAACATGGCGAAACCCCGCCTCTACTAAAAATACAAAAAGTAGCGGGGTGTGGTGATGCATGCCTGTAATCTGAGGCTACATGGGTTGCTGAAGCATGAGAGTCACTTGAACCCTGGAGGCAGAGGTTGCAGTGAGCTCAGATTGCTGCACTGCACTCCAGTCTGGGTGACAGAGCAAGACCCTGCCAAAAACAAAAACAAAAAAACCAAAAAACTATCACTTAAATTGCTATCAAACACAAGTTGGTTCTGCCACGACTGGGCTGACTCAGCCTAAAAAAATTTCTAAGTGTCATGTGTCATTTTAGGTAGATTTTATTATTTCCCCATCTGTTGAGTTTAATCTGGTTTAGCCAATAAAATCAAAAGATGGGAATAAATCAACTTCTTGTATTAGTCTGTATTCTGGTTTCTTTGAAGGATAAATCTTTAAAAAATATTTAATTTTTTCAGAGTAATACACATACGTGGTTTATTAGTATTTCAAGGGTTTTATTGTTAATATTGGAGCTGCCAGCCCTGTGGGGTGTTCACTTTAATGCTTTTCGCTATTCTCCTGGTATTTATCTCTATATTTCTAAATTGTTAATGAGTACATAGGGAGGCCTTGTCTCCTGGTCGTCTTCGTGGTATTTACATCAGGTGGTCAGGACATTTTGGAGAGCAGCAGCAGAAGAGGGCATCTCATTGTTGAGTATTTCACCTTTACTTAACTTTCCTGATTTATGTCCAGCACCTTTTCCTTTCTCTACACCCTGCCTGTTAGAGGCTAGGGTAACCCTGCCTGTTACCCTGAAATGGGAACTTCTCTGTACATCCAGGAAGGGCACTACAGGAGGTAGAATTGCTCCTGCTTTTCAGACTTCCAACTCATGCCCTTAGTCAAGCCCCTGCCTCACTCATTCCTCCCAAGATAACTGCTGGCTGTAATTCTGGAGTTTGAATTGACTTGTGTCTCTAGGCACTTGACACTCAGTTTTCTCAAGAGTCTAACTCCTCGGTCAGCTTTTTATCTTCCAAATATGTGTTGATATTGCTCGTTCCCTGCTGCTGCTTTGTGTTTGTGCTTTGTGGGTTTGTATCTGTTAAGCATTGATTATTCTTAGTGCAGTGTGATTTGAGGAGTAAAGAAACATACATGTGCTGATTTCACCGTGGTGAACTGGAAATCGCTGAAAAGCAAATTGCGTAATAATAACAACCACCATGGCAATCAATTATTGTTTTAAAATATTGAATGCACTTTCACATAGTTAATTTCATGTGATATTTAGAAATCCCTGATGAGGACAGTAGGAAGGGGCTAGTATGCCTATTTTATGGACAAAGAAACAGGTACAAAAGGGTAAAGTAACTGGTTCAATTTCATAGGATGAGTTAATGAAAGAATTAGAATATACACAGTTTTCTGATTCCTAGCCAAGGCTCCTTTCTGGGAGGTTTTCTAGAGGTTAATATTTTGGATAAAATCCTTTTATCTCTTTTTGACATAAATTGCAGATAATTTTAACAAGAAATAGGTCAGTTCTTCTCCTCCATGACTATTATAACTTTACATCATTGCATATTTCTAAAGATAAGCATCTTTTCAGCATTTGCAATACACTACTTGCTGAATAGATCCTAAAAGCACAAATTTTCCCTGTGGGCTTATGATCTAATGAGACATATAAGCCCATAAAGGCAGAAAATGAATAAGGAGAAGTTGGGTAACTCTCCTCGGATACACATATCTGGCATCTGGCTGCATGTTCAGAGGCATTTTTCTTTCTTGAATTTTTGGGTCCTCTCCCACAGCCACTTAGCTATGAGAGATATATTTAAAGGGAAGGAAGAAAGGACTTCTGAGGAGAAATTTTAAAGAGAGAAAAAAGGAATTGCTGTAGGTTTGGATATAGAGTTCTTAGGCTATGTGGAATAGAACACAAACACTCCTTGGCTTATACAAAACAAAATAACCCACCTAGAAATGAAAGCTCGATTAATACAGGGCAAACATAAATGTTTGCTCCCAAACATTTCTTCCTTCTCTCTTTGTGATCTCATGAGTGTTATTCTGAAGAAATCTCCTATATAGGACAGAAACATTTTCAAAGAAAGGTGAAAAAATGTACGAAGCTGGTTGCCACTTCAAGAGACTCATGTAACAATGACACTAATTGTCACTAAATGACCTATGTTTTTCCAGTCCTTAATTTGATGTATACTTTAATGTAAGAAAAAAACTGATGAAAATGAATAGAGGCTCCATTGCCATTTTTAGGGTAGTTTTCAAGGTTTATCAAAGGAAGGACTTAGGGAAGGGTGATGGTTGCAGCTTAAACAAGGAAGCAATCCATAGGAAGGGCCCAAATTCTTCACGCCACCTACTCCAACACACGAGTTCACATATTGCAAGCAGAACTACCAAATACCTGGTGACCTAACTGCTGTCCCGAAATCCTCCTCCTGCCTTACTCCATGTTTCTAATCAATATGCATATTTTTCTTGGGACATCCTGAAGCATCCCCTGTATCATCTGCCTCCCCCAGTCTAGTTCTTTTCTCAGGGTCCTTGCTTAGTCTTCATAATCCTCTTTCTAATGTAGTTAATGAGGACACAGTGGGACAAAGTTGAGAGAACATGGGTTGGAGTATCAGATAAATTTGTCTGTGATGCCTGGCAGTTCTACATGTCTGTATGACCTAGAGCTAATTACTTCTCTGAGATTCAGTTTCTTTATATGGAAAATGGGGATAAAATAATACTTACTGCAGAGATTTTTTTTCAAGAATATTACATGATATAATGAATGCATGATGCTAAATCAGTGCTTGGCATACAGTAGATATTCAACAGAAGGCAACTATTATTGTTAATATTAAATATGTAGTTTCAAAGAGCCAAACTGATGAACAGAATTCTGTTCTGCCCCATTTTCCCTCAAATTTAAAACCACATTTAAAAACACACATAAGCCTTTTAGCTGTAATACTTTTGTGTGAAGTTTGAAAACTAAAGCAATCAAAATAGAATATAATACTAAGTTAACATCAGATACTGCTGGGTGCAGTGGCTAATGCCTGTAATCCCAGTACTTTGGGAGGCCGAGACTGGCAGATCACCTGAGGTTGGGAGTTCAAGCCTGACCAACATGGAGAAACCCCGCCTCTACTAAATATACAAAATTAGCCGGGTGTGGTGGCACATGCCTGTAATCCCAGCTACTCAAGAGGCTGAGGTAGGAGAATCACTTGAACCCGAGAGGTAGAGTTTGCGGTGAGCAGAGATTGCGGTGAGCCAAGATCGGGCCATTGCATTCCAGCCTGGGCAACAAGAGCGAAATTCTGTCTTAAAAAAAAAAAAATCAGATACTAATTTCAACGCTGATATGAGTAATTCTATAACTCTCATTAGAATAAATATTTACTCAACAACTAGTATATGCAACATATTACATATACAGAAATAATATAAACATTAATAAAAATAGCTATGACTTCCAAAGCTCATAACCTTGAGGAATGTAAAACTCTGTATGTAAATGTGACACAGCATGGTAAGTACAATATTAGGGACAGATGGCACCATTGCAGTAAAAAGAAGGAATGGCTAATTCTAATGAGTGGCTTCAGTGAAGCTTCACAAGGTGGTGGGTGTGATTTGGATGAGTAAGGTTTGGATTTAGTCGGACATGGAGGGGGCAGGGAATTCCAGGTGTAGGAAGAAGCACTAACAAAGAATGAAGGGCAGAAGCTCCTGTTCAAAGAAGAAGTCTGGTATGGCTACAATGAATTTTTGAGGAGAAAGATGAATGGAGATGAAAAGACTAGAAAAGGATGTTGGGGTCATATTCTCAAGGCTTTACATGCCATGTAAGACGCTCCTACTTTAGTTGGTAGATAATGGGAAGCCACAGAAGGTGTTTGAGGCTGACAATGGCATGATCCAATTAAAGTTTTAGAAGAGATGGCTTTGTGGAAGGAGAATTGTAAAGTGCTGAAATAGAGCCAAGAAGTTCAATCAAGATCCTGTGACTGATCTGTTAATATCTGAAGAAGTACTGAACATGGGCAGGAGTGAGGGAAAGGTTACAGCTGAAGGGAAAGGTTAGATTTGAGCATCATTTCAGACGTAGAATCCATAGCATTGGATAAGTAATTGGATATAGTGAAAAGTTATTGGCATTCAAAGACATCCTATTGTTTTTCTTAAAAAAGTAATACATCCTGGATGTAAGAACACACATATCATCAAGTCTAAAATGAGGGTGATTAAAATTCCTCAGAGACAACATCTGAGTCTTTAGGACTATTTGCAGGGAGAAATCCTGGAGAAGATTTGGATTATGGGCCTATGTATTGTGTGAAGGTTGCTCTAAGATGTGTTCCCAGGAATTGAACTGTTGGGCTAAGGGGTTACTTCCATTTTGTAAAGAAATAGGGCAATAACAAGCAAAAGAAGAGGCTCCCACAGAAACAGAATATGGAAAAGAATAATGGGCTGAGTGATGGTGCATTATCCTGGGTGAACCTGGAAGGGCGAGGATAGTGATATGCAGTTCAGGATTTGCTGGAGGAGAAGGACCACCATTTCATTTAAGTCAAATGAGAAGAAAAAAATGAGGGATGAAGGAATGGGGACATCTTGAAGAGAAGGGGCTGGAAGGTGAGAAAATCTGTTAATTATTTCCATGAATTAGGGACAACGTTCTTGGCTAAAAATCAGGAGGGTGCCTGGTGTGGTGGCTCATGCCTGTAATCCCAGCACTTTGGGAGGCTGAGGTTGGTAGCTTGCTTGAGCCCAGGAGTTCAAGACCAGCCTGGGCAGCATGGCAAAACCCCATCTCTACAAAAGATACAAAAATTAGCCAGGTGTGTTGATGCACGCTTGTAGTCCCAGCTACTCGAGAGGCTGAGGTGGGAGGATCGCTTGAGCCCTGGAGGTCAAGGCTGCAGTGATCCTTGATTGCGCCACTCACTGCACTCCAGCCTGGGTGACGGAGTGAGATATTGTCTCCAAAAAAAAAAAAAAAAAAAAAAAAAAAGAAAAATCAGGAGGGTTAGAAATGTGAAAAAAAAAAAAAAAAGGTTGGGGGGGTGGGGAATACTTGGAAAACTCATTTTGAAAGATAGAAAAACAATCAATTGGGAATAAATAAAGTATTTTTAAGCACCAGCTAGTTGGGGCCCAACTTATAAAGCATGAATTTCTAGAACACCTAATACACACATAAAATCTGAATAAATATGGAGGGAAGAGATAGCATCATGTACTATTTCTACCACAAAAGTTGAGTATTTCGCTCAGTGGAAGCTCAGTTCCTAAGACAGCACTACCAGATGAAATATCCTAAGTGTCGTAGGATAATAATCATATGTCTTGCATATTATTTGCATATATGTAGAAAACCTAGCTTGAGAATCTTTTTAGGTATGAGAATCTTTTTAGCTGCTGAGCAGTTTCCTAGTACCTGGGGTAAACAAGGGTAGGAGCAGTTTATTATTCACTGTTGCAAATTTTAGCATGTAATACAGGACTCTGTAGAGAGTATGCATTCAATAAGTGTTGAATTAATGAACAATTACATATCTCTTTAAGTCACTTAGCTTTATATGTGGAAGAGCTGTTTTCTGGCCCCTGGCTACTCCTCTTGTTCCAGCCAGCCATTTTAGAAACGTGGCCCATTATTTACAAGGGAAGTTGAGTTAGATTGTCATTAAAACCTACTATCCACTGCTTGCCATGTGAGAAAAAACTCCAAATCGCAGATGATAAGTCTACAGCAGTGTCTTTGTATAAGAAGACAACATATTTTTAGAACAGGAATTTGAAAAATATAAACCTAGGATTTCTTTTCCGTAGATGACACCATTTACTTTTTTAATCTTTAGGAGAAATAGAGTTTGAGAAATGAAACGTCTAAAGAAAATTAGTGATGAATTGAGATATAGGACCCAAGAATCTTGTTTTTCAGTAGCTATCCAGGTCTCTTTCCATAGTAAGTGGAACAGAATGAGTCACTTATCCACAGGCTTGATTCAAATAGAAGGATAAATTGTGGTACAGATAATAGCTAATGTAATGCCAGACCTCTCTCAGGAACTATAGAGATTTCAGATCAATATGTAGTCAAAGAGTACATAGTGATGACTTTCTGAAAACTTGATCAATAAGTATACATCACCAAGATCAGAATTTATTTAAAATTATGAACAGCCTGGAAGGCTGCCAATGACTGAGTAATAACTCCAGACAGTCCAAATTTATGCCAGCTTCCTCCATTTATATAAATTGCTGGAATCTCTCATGCCTGACCCCTCTAATGTGTCAGCTTTGTTATGTCAGTTTAGATATAGGTAAATTTCCTTTGGGCATTTATTAGCTTTATTAAAAAAGAGGCAATTGTCCAAAGGCCTCTGGCCATGTACACCCAAAACATAAAATAAAAGAATGAAATTAAATACTCAGTCTGCCAAACACCTCATAAAAAAGCCAGGCCAGTTCAGCCTACTGAGTCAGGCCAGATTGGCAAGCTAGATCTTGTGGCATTTTTTTCCCTGAAGATTCACAAAAACATTCTACTCTCTGGTTGGATACAGAAATGAATTGCAAAGGCAAACAGCCTTAGTGACCTCATTTTTGGGATCCATACCTAGAATCCTTTATTAGAGGTAGTATAGTTGATCTTAATATATTTGAATAAACCAGTGGATGGGAGAAACCCTCAACGGAAATCTCTTCCTTTATTAAAATGTATCTACCCAACATTCTCTGACTTCATGTATTATTTTGCTGTGATTGATGGCTTTCACTCCTGGAATTCTTCACATTGTCACTTCCATGAAGCCCAACGCTATTCCCTATCTGCCTCCTAAATGAAACATTTACTCAGATACCATATTGCTTTAAATTAGTTATTTTCAAACCAGAGTGATTCTGCTCCCCCAGGGAGCATTTGGAAAAGCCTGGAGACATTTTTTGTGTCACAACATGGGGAGAAAGGTGCTTTAGGCATCTAATGGGTAGAGGCCAAGGATGCCGATAAACATCCTTATATTTGTGCTATAATGCACAGGGCAGCCTCTGCAACATTTATCCAGCCTCTGTGGCAGGAGTGGGGAGATGGTAAAATCTTGCTCCCAATTTCTAGGCATTGTGGTGCTTCCCACACTTCAGTTATTTGTCTTCTACTTTCACTATTTTTGCCAGATCCATGTGCTTCCTGTATTGTTTTACACTTAACAGTTTTTTTCCCTAGAATTAAACCTACTTCTCCCCCAAATTTAATATATTTAAGAGGAAACTTTATATTGCTGTCATGTATAGAAAAACAGTTGTAGATTTCATAAATGAAAGGTTATGGTGAAAGTTCATACAGTGAAGACAAAGCAATATTATTTAATTACAGGTTGATACTTGATGACTGCTATCTTTCTAATAAAATGAGAGATTAGCAAATTTTAGAGACTTATATTACAGAGAAACACCAAACAGATTTTTTTTGGTCTTATAAGGTAGGTTGATAGACTGAACAGAGAATAACTTTCTCATACAGTGATTCATTGGTATTAAAGTTTATGTCTTACATCTATTTTATATCAAAAACCATCTCCCGCACCAGTTAAGGTTATCATGAATACAGGTGCCACATTTTACAAAACACTGAATTATTCGTATGCCTCATATATCTATATATAGTCTTCTGCCTGGATTCATGTTCTTCTGCTAGGTTGCCACAGATTTGAGTGACTGCTTCACTGCTATCTTTAGGATGTGTTTTTTACAAGGATGCATCCAGATAATGGCCACCTGTAACCAGGGTGGCCTGGATTTCTCTGCATCTAGGAAAGTCAGAGAAATCTTAGACTGTAAAATAAAAACCTAGAGTCTATCATTGCCAACCAATGGCAAATGCTCTCTTGGAGATTTTATTGCCCAATTCCACCCCATTAAAAAGGACATCTAAAGTGTACTTGTAATCCTTTTTGTAGAATTAAAGTGATTCTGCCTCAGTAGGCTTATCAGAGTAATTATTCTGGGTCATGATATTTTAAAGAGAAAGATTAAATTCTTTGATATTAATTGAATTGCACCTTAAATGTACCAAAGCATAATAATGAGTCAGTATCATTCACAATATCTACTTTTGGTTCTATGAATCAATTTACAGTAACATTATTTTTATAAAATGCAGTATATACTGAAGGTTCTGAAATTTTGACCGTCTATCTGCTCTCTGGGGAACCCAAAATAAGGTATGCCACAGCCTAGCTGCCTTGGCAAAAGGTTGGGAAGTTGCAACAGATCCCTGAGGCTTCTTTAAGTTCCCACTTGCTGCTTGCTGCCGTAGGCCTGAGGCTCAGTCCAGAAGACTGACATTGCAAGAATTTTGACCCCTCAGGGAAAATCAATTAATGTTTCACATTAAAAGGGAGCTATGCTGTATTATGAAAACAGTCTGGGCTTGGCTGAATTTTTTTCTCTCTGGAATTGGTTTCTATACCTATAATTATCTTCAAGTACCACCATAAAAGCCCTCCAATCTTTACCTCATGTTGTTCTTCCTTTGGGGCACTGATTCTGAACCTGTCCAACTTTTCTATCAAGCCATAATTAGTAGAATTATATTTAATAATCCCCCCACCTACTGAAGCGAGCAGAGGCGGCATCGAGCGAGTACAGCAGCAGATAATGAGGGCTGCAGAGATTCTCCCTGAATTGTATCATCACATCCAGCAAGCAATATGCTGCCACTGTCAGCCGGCATCAGCCTCAGCGGTGCGGTGGCCTCTGCCTCAGTGACAGTTAGAAACAAGGGAGACACATACTACCTGTGCTTTTTCCTCCCCTTAACTAAAAAAGTCATATCCTTAAAAGAACATGCACAGTGCTGCTCTGTTCTGCAGCTGCAAGGTTTTTCTAGGTGTGGAACAAGATATTTCCAAATTTCCTTCAGTGCAGGACCAGGTGTTACATTATTGATTTATTTTACCAGTGGGATTCAGGCCCAATAAAAGATACAAGGTTTTGGCGTTAGCTGTACTAACCAAGGTCTCACTCAGTTGAGATTTCATTATTTCGCTGTTAATGTTAACCATCATGTGTTACTCTGAATGCTTATTAGAATCTATTTTGTAATGAAATAAATCATATCAAGTAATGTTTCCAACAGTAAAAATGATCGATTTAAGGACACAAAGACTCCCTTTCTCCATTCTTACAGCAAAGAAAAAAAAATAACAAAAACCAAAAAACCAAAAAACAAAAGTTATATTCCAGCGACTTGTTTTGTTTTTGTTCTGTTTGTTCTAAAAGGAGCCTAAATAAAATGGTTTTGCTTTTAGATTTAGAGGATGACCCACCTGACATAAGCTCAGATAAAAGAAAAGCATTTATGTGTAATCTCTGGCAGATAGTGAAACTGGTTCTTATATAGAGTCATAAATTTTACTGCTGGAAAGGACCTTCAGGAACATTTAGTTCAGTCCCTTGTGGGTAGTAAATGGAGGTAACTGCGTGGTACCTTCAAGACTGAAGTTAAAGTTACCTTCTGAGAAGGAAGCTAGGAAAAAAAACCACAAAAGCAAAAACAAAAAAACAAGCAGAACATGTAATGAATACGATCAGTCATTTATAGAAGCAGTTGAACTGAAAGAGATAATCTGTAAATGGGCAGCTGAAGACCAGTCCGAAATTCTAACTCTGAAGGATCGGTATTAAATTCTATATTGGAATGTTAAAATGGGCAAATCGTATTGTGCCTGTGTTACAGAGTGGGATACGCATGGGATATAGGCAGTTTGCAACGGAGATAAAGAGGAGTTGCAGTGTGTATGCATCCCAGTTATAGCTGAAGCAAATTGGTCGGCCTCGTGAGAAGACATAATCTCTCACTACGAGGCACCAAGTAAGGGATCTAGAGGCAGGGCAGGTCCCAGGAACAGTACCTCAGGCTCCAGATTGCTTTCCCTGTCTTCTCAGATGGCTTCATCCTGGGGCTGGAAGCAAGGAGGTGGCAGCTGTTCCACAGGGCTATCTTATGGGGATATTTTTTGTTTTCAGTGGAAACTGAGAAAAAAATTAACCATGGTCTATATTGGTGAGGTGATGACCACCTCACCAGTATATTGAACGCGACAAAATTAAAAACTTGGAGCCAAAGGTTGCTATTAAATGTACACGCCCTGAGAATATGCAGCTATCATGGGGAGGGCACTGGAATTTCCTCTGGAGAAGTTACAAAGGCTTAAGCCTGGTTGATTCTTTTTTATGCTTGTCTATGAGGCTATGTGGCCCTAAATGACATCTGGGATACAAGGGAAAATCTGTACGTTGGGGGATTAAGAAAACTCCTTTTACTATACTGTGAACATCAGAATAAACTTGTACTTTTCTGTCTCAAGATCAGATGTACACAATGCTTTGTAACAGTGAAGATACAGAGAGTTTATAGGATATGAAGTACAGTTCAGGGTCAAGGAGGGGCTCTAAGTTTAGATGAAGGAAACGACCTAGAACAAGTTGTTTAGAACATGATTTTCTCCAGATTCTCAGGTCAGGCACCTGCTTGAGCAGGGTGAGAAATTCTGCAGTGCTTACGTCAGAGCAGATTTTCAGCATGTGCTAATACTTGCAGGAAGTGAAATTTGTAGTAGTTGGGAAAACTGGTAGAGGAAGGTGCTTGGTACATGTTTGTTAATATACCATTTTAGGTTTAGCAAAAAGTATGAATGAAATCTGCTGGAGTCTTAGAAATATAGACTGACAGAACTGGAAGGGAGTATAAGGTGGATCCTTTTTTTTTTTTTTCCAAAGGGACAGGACAAAAGATGAAAGGAGGGTTAATTAACCAAGGACCTAAAGGAAAAGAATGCTGAGCATCTGCAAATGTAGTGTTAGCGAAGCTGAAGTTCAGAAGGACATAGAACAATTCTAAGTTTATAGAACAGGTCCAAATGAGAAAGTTGCTGCAGCAGGATCCAAAATGTTTAGTTAATCTGGATGCACCCGCTAACAGACTTCTGCTTTGCCTGGTCCTTTGCAAGGACAATGTGGTCAGGTCAGTCAAGCTTTTTCTATCAAGGAAATTAGTTTTGAAACAGGGAAGGGTAGGAAAATGCTGGTAAAGAGGAAACTGAAGACTCAGAGAACCTCTGTTTGTGTTAATGAGTTTTAAGGTTTCTGGCCTGGAGGAATGACATCCCACAATACTGTGATTTCTTGAAGAAGGGATTGTAAAACACACTTGGCGACCTATCAGGACAGACGCCAAGAGATGGAAAATGTGCTAGTTTTTAGCACATTTTTAGAAAGTGGAAAGTTTTAGAAAGTGGAAAGATGTGGGTCCTGAATGTGTCAACATGTGAACTTGATGTTTGTTGATAAATAGTTTTAGAGATGAAGCAGGGTAATGAACACGTGGAAGCAAAAACAAGTCATGTTAAACTAACCTCAAATGCCATTTGATGGCATTAATAGACTCAGATAAAAGTTAAATGATACAGGCAAATCATGTTGTAGAGTTTTTCAGGATGCCTCATCAAGAATACTGAGAGTAGGCTGTAACCTCTAATTAAATAATTTTACAACGAGAATGAGGATTAGTAAATTAGTTAATCTAGAGGCAATGATTTAGTGGCAGGTTTCAAGTTTCTGTTCCAAGTTTTTTATTCTTTTCTTCACAACTTGGGGAGGGAGATCTATATCACTTACCTAATAAGCAAATGTCTTAAACCGAGATTAGTAATAACATACTGAATGACAGATTCAGAATTCAAAATGGTGTTGTAAAAATAGAACTATGGAATTAAAATAATAAGATTTACTCATGAAGCAAAATGAATGTATTGAACTTAGAAAAAAGGCAAATGAATAGAAGAGTGAAAAAATTGCTATATATAATGTCATTACAACGAAATCCCCCAAACAAACAGAAAAAAAATCCCCCAAACCAAATCAAAGAAAAGCTGGCATAAAGTTAAATGTACATCAGCCTTTTTGGCTTCTAAATATTGACCTACAAAGGGTCAGCTAATGCCACTGGTTGGACTATCTTTAAAATATTATGGTTCGTTCTCAGCACATTTTTATACAAAGATTACATACATTCCAGTGGGCTACAAGCAAGGGAAAGCAAGATTCTGCAAGCTGTATCCATGAAGAGGGGTGTATTTATTCATTCATTATCTCAGCAAGCATTTATGGAGTGCTGGTAAGTGCTAGTGACTGTGCTAGGCATTAATTAATAATGCATTTTGTCTGTTGGCTAACAAAGGAGACTGTTCAGGGAGGCCGACAAGCAGGCGTACACAGGCCCACTGGGAGAGGACAGCATGGGGAAGAGTTTAACCTTTGGGTACATTATTGACAGCCTGTAGTAATGAACCAGGTGGAGACAGGAGAGAAATGGTCTCCATGTGGAGGGAAAAACATATGGGAAAACACAGTGGCAAAAAAGATCCAGTTGGTGCAATTGGGAGTAGGAAGTAGTTTGGTGTTGCTGGGGTGTGGGTTGCATGTGAGAATGGCATGAGCTAAGGCTAGAAGTAGACTGTGGTCACTACTGGACAAACGAAGGAGTGTGACTTCATCCTGAGAGCTTGGAGAGGCAATAAAGGGTTTTCAGCAGTTGACATGATGAATAATGTAATTTAGACCAATCATTCTGGCTTCTATTTGGATGACAGATTGGAAATGATGAATCAAAGTGACCAGGAAATGACTGGAGCGTTTGTCCACATGAAAAGTTATACGGGCCTGATCTCAGGGGTGGCAGTAAAGATGGAAAGGTAGATACCTATTTTAGAGTTATGAAGGAATTAGCATCCACAGAACTTTGGGGTGGAGAGAAGAAGAAGGAGTCTCGTCTGATTCCCAGAATTTTAACCAGTGTGACTTGGTGGATAACAATGTGACGAGACAGGAAATTTAAGAGGAGCAGCAGGTTTGAGGAACATGTTTACTTTGAGGTTTCTCAAGAAGATCTCCAGCGATGGCCAACTGGCAATTGGATATATAAGTCTGGAACTTTAGGAGAGGCCTGCGATGCAGCTCCAAGTTTGGAGGCAGTTCTGTGTAGGTCAGCCTGGGATGGCATCTGGAAGTCAGAGAAGAAGGGGTATGGATAGAGGTATTAGGAACACCAACATTGACATGATACACACAAAGTAGCAACAGGAGTCTCTGCAAAGGTGACTAAGGGGTAGCCAAAGAAAAGGGAAGCAGATTTCAAGACAGAATGTGCTAGAGATACAAGAAATACAAGGATAGAAATATGCCATAGAATTTGACAACTTAGAGGTCATTGGGGCTGCACTGAGAACAGATTGATTGGTGTGCTCAGGGCATAAGTATCCTCAGAGAGTTGAGAGTGCATGAGAGCTGAAGAGGTGGTGGCACTGGAGGTAAACTTCCCTGAAGCTAAACTTCGGTGCAGAGCAAGGATGCTGAGATTAGCTGGAGCTTTGCCCATATTGTTTCTTCACTAGCAATCCTACCCCTCACCCGGCCATTTCTGCCTGCTCAACGCCTGTTAAAACTTCAAAGCTCAGTTACAACAGATAAGAAAATATAGGCTACAGAGTTGTCCATTTCAAGGGACTCTTGCCCACCATGTTGGAATGCTGCATTTGCTCTGTGTGTCACGTTCTGAGAAGGTCACTGGCAAACTCAGTGATGTAGGTGATCCTGAGTTCCATGCCTTCCGTTGAGCTCTCTCAGTACTGTATGCTGCCTTGGCTATCACCCATCTCATATTGCATCCTCATCATGTCTCCCTATCTTTCTTCTTGAGGCCATTGTGAATGTCTTGGGAAAAAGGACCATGCTTTTTTCTCTTTCTTTTTCTTCTTCCTTCCTGCCCTCAACAGATTTACTATCCAAGATCTATCAACAATACTCAGACAATAACATCAAATGAGAAAAAGGCTGCCAGCCAAGCCACAACCTACCAGCTTGGTAAAAAGGTGGTGCCCTCATATGATTTTTCTGTACATATCTCACCACTTATTTCACCTCATAATCTAAAAAAGTATTACTTTGGGAGAATGTGTTCATGGCATAAAACTGTATGTGTTTGGATCATCCAGAATAACTATTTGTTTTTTTCCCTATAATTCTTCACATCACATGGGTTAAAGATACATTCTTGCATTTGACAAATATTGGGGCTGAGTACGAGGTGCTCAAAGTAAGAAAAAGAAGGAAGGAAAAAGGAAGGAGGGAAGGAATTAATCTGGATCAATTTCAGGAAAGGTAGCACAGCTCAGTGATTAACACACAGGTTTTGATATAGTACAGAGCTGGAGTCAATGATTTAACTGGGAGCCTCAGTTTCTTTATCATTAAATGGGTTGATAACTATACTTATCTCTAGCTATGAAGACTAACTTATATAATACATTTACTGTATCACAGCTGTAACATAGAGTAACCACTTAAGTAACAGCTGCTATTGTTATTCTGAAGGAATGTTGAGGAATCTGCCTTAGTTTGCAGATCTACATTAGGCTGAGAGAAGGATCCGACATATCTCAGCCACAAGTGGCGGGAGCCAGATCTGCAAAGACGATTTCTGATGAATGCATTTCCCAACTCTGTTGCCTCCATCCGTGTCTGTCTTACACCCCATCTGCCCTTGCCTTGTCATATATGTGCTCATGGCCCTACCTAGGCCCTCCTACCTTCCTGCTCTTGGAGAGATTTTTGTAACTTCGCTTCCTTTCAGTCACTTTTCACTACCAGAGGACTCTTATGCGAACACAGATCCTGTGTTAGCACTCCTTCATTAAAACCTCCAATGGCTTTCCTTTATCTAGCTAATCTCTATAAATGTCACTTGAGGCCTTCAGAGCTCCTTCCTCTTGGCTTATTGAAACAAACTTGGGCTATTACGTAGGCTCTTGTTTAAATATGACAATGGCACAAGTATTTGACTTTGGTCCTTATTTAAATTACCTGAGCCTCTGTTTTTCATTTATAAAATGAGGAATATGATATTTGCCTTGTGGGTTGATATAAGGCTTAGAGATGATGGAAATAAAGTTGTCAATGCATGCTCAAAAAACTATAGCTATTATCCTACTAAACTGCTTTTCTCTTTACTGTGCTTTCTCACCCTGGTATCTCTTCTCATATCTAAACTATGGAACATCCTACTTTTACCTTCCCACTCCTGCCTTTTAAGCACCCCTAATTTAATGAATTGAACATGATTATCCTTGAAGATTTCTACCCAGACTGGTGTCAAGTGTAAACACTGCATAATCAGAAAATCATATTCTTAGTTTTAATGCAACCAACAGTAAGATTCAAAATTTTTTTTCATTCACCTTGACTTTAATGTATATGTTTCCTCGTATCAGTTCCATAATAGATATGAAAATTGAGAAGCATGAAATATGGAATTTAGGAAAAGCAAACTTAGACAGGATTCCTACTGTGGTAATTGTCAAGAGGACAATGGAGGATTAATTTTTTATGTCTCTTTGGCTTGACTTTTCAGCCTTCTGGGTGTTCCTTCAACTTAGCAAATATTAGTATTTACCAATTCCACAGCACATTTGATCTCTCTCTGAATCATGTGCAGAATACCCCTTAAGTGAATACATTGTTGGCAGGAATGATGGATTTTACAAAATACCTGAGCTGTAAGAAATATGTCTTGGGAAGAAAACAGTCTTAATTTTAAAAGTTTCAAATGGTTTGTTTTGATAACTAGAGAAGGCATGAATTTAATTTGGAATTGAATGTCCTAAACTCTCTCATACATTCTTTTCAATTCTTGAGGAGCTGAATGGTGTTTATTGAAGAAGGTGGAGGAATGTTCAGGTTTAAGCAGGTTTCTTTCCAAGAGGCCCTTACAAGACCAAAGTATTGACAGCTAGGTAGAGAGTATTTGCATGTATTTGTGGAAAGGCCGCAATAATTCGAGTCTTTCAGAATCATAGTAAGAAATTAGAATCAAATACAATTAAAAAAATTAAGAAAACCAGAGAACAGATAATTAGTTTCATTTGACAACTGGGTGGGCTTTTTCCCTTACTCACCTGTGATCATCCACAGGCAATGCTTGAGCCAAGATGTTTCAATAATTCTTAACTTCCTTCAGCTCCAATGCTGGGTCGAGACCTGCCACATGGCAGATTATATAGCATTGAAGATCAAAATGAAGACATGAGAGTTAGTTCTGTTTTTATTCAAAGCTGACATTTTGTTTGTGGAAGAATATAGATCTTCTCAGATTCATATGATACACTGGCCTCCTATCATCTAGGCTTCCTGTGTATTTTCAACCAGAGAATAAGAATAATATGGCAATCTCGTATTCAGTGGGATTTCAAACAATGAAAAATTTCTTCTCATCATGAACACTCCTCCCCAACTCACACACAGATCAGTTCTGTGATGCTGCAAAATGTTAGTCTTAAGTGTTCAGATAATTCAGTGATGTTTCGTTCTGCTAATACAGGGCCTATGTGTTGACTGTTGTCTAATTATTTTGAGAATTGACAAGTTGCCCTTGAATAGCAAATATGAGTTAGCTGTACTGGATAATGTTAGTAATGCATCTGGAGTTTTCAAAGGAGATTTTATAAAAAGTTTATTTTAAACTTTTTTAAAAAAATGTACCCTTGTTATTGGTATTCCTTCTCTTAGTCTGCTGGTCTGAATGCTCACAAAGGAGAGCTACCTGTGCAGTATATTATTCTCAGCTTGTGAGTCAAATGGGTAAATCGCTGGGTCAAATCCAATTGGTTCTAGAAAGAAACTAAAGCTCTGTAGCCTATGCTGGGTGCCAGAGAGATTATGCTTTTGATGTTCTTGGGGTTAATTTGGGAGCTGCAGTTCACTGGTCTAATCTTCTTTTCAAATGTATTCACCTCTTGCACTTTACCTCCAAATCCTTCCCTCAAATTTAACATGCTCTGTTGTCTGGTTGCACTGGCCAGAACTAATAGTAATATGAATTCATGTAATGGACAAATCATTCTCCCTTTGCCATTTCTTGTTGCTTGCATCTGAAGTTAAGATTCTAGAATTCATTCCCTTGTCCTACCTCCACTTCTCTTCAAACAAATTCAGACACATAGGGATCTCATACCTCCACTCCAGCTTTGCTCTAACCCAGAACACATCTAGTTTCTTCTGCTATTTCATTTCTTACCTTTGCCCTCACTCCCTACTTATCCAATTTTAGAAAAAATGATAAATCTTCGATCACAAAATAGGAAGAAAATAAACTGTAGCTAAATGAAACATAGGTCCTGCTTTTGAATATGTACTCATTTAGCTTTTTTTAGTGACACTTCATCCATGCACAGAACCAACTTTCCTCAAAACATAATTTGACAAAAATCTTTGAGTAAACTAAGTAATATTCAATAATCTAGCATAATGAAACAATCTAATTGAGTTAGCTATTATTTATTTATGAGAGAAACGGAGCAGAAAAGAAAACAGAATGAACTTAAAACATTATTTTCTCTTAAATTCACCTTGTAGGCATTGGTCTTCATACATAATAGCCATTTATTTGGAGGAAAGCTGGGAGTCACTGAAGCTACCATTGCTTTATATAAACTATGATACAAGATCAATAATGTGGCTGGTGCACCAAGCAAAAAGAGCTCAAGATTATGTTGCTGTTTTCTTTTACTGTTCAGTCAACAGAAAAAAGAACAGAAAGAAAAGAAATAAAATACAAAGAGAGACATTTTCATCTCCCAGTTTCAACTTCCATTCTCTAACCACCCCCCCAGGGGAAACAGTGTGCAAGACAGTGTAACTACCATCTTAAAAGGTAGTTCTAGAACTTAAAAAAAGAAGCATCTAGGTTATCAGGCTTTCATACATACAAATAACAAAGGCTTCTTTGATGAAGTTTCAGTTCGCCTATTAATGATATTTGACTAGTGTAGTTTTGTACATACTTTTCAATTATTTTAACTTATCTGTGTTCTTATTTTTAAAGTGGGTTTCTTATAACAATCATATAATTGGGTTTTGCATTTTTAAAAATGCAATGTGACCATTTCTGCCTTTTAATTGGGGTGTTTAAACCATTTACATTTAATATGATTATTGATATGGTTGACTTAAAATTGTAATCGCCCAGTGAGTTCTTCTTGCCCGCTGCCTAGACACATTTATCAAGACAGACGAATTGCAATAGAGAAAGAGTTTAATTCATGTAGAACTGGCTGTATGGGAGACTGGAGTTTTACTATTACTCAAATCAGACTCCTGGAAAACACAGGGATCAGGGTTTTTAAGGATAATTTGGTAGGTAAGGGGTCAGAAAGTGGGGAGTGCTGATTAGTCGGGTCAGAGATGAAATCATAGGGAGTCAAAGCTGCCTTCTTGCACTGAGTCAGTTCCTGGGTAAGGGCCAAACGACCAGATGAGCCAGTCTATTGATCTGGGTCGTGCCAGCTAATTCATCGAGTACAGGGTGTGGAAAATATCTCAGGCACCAATTTTAGGCTTTACAATGGTGATATTGAGAGACAGGACTAGCTGGATTTCCTAGGCCAACTAAGAATCCCTAAGCCTAGCTGGGAGGGTGACCGCATCTGCCTTTAAACACTGGGCTGCTTGCAACTTAGCTCACATCCCACCAATCAGGTAGTAAAGAGAGCTAACCCTTATACTCTGCTTTCCCAAATACCAGAGGAAGCAGAGTGGTTTACAGTCCTGGACCTTATGGATGCCTTTTTCTGCATCCCTGTACATCCTGACTCTCAATTCTTGTTTGCCTTTGAAGATCCTTCGAACCCAGCATCTCAACTTACCTGGACTGTTTTACCCCAGAGGTTCAAGAATAGTCCCCATCTATTTGGCCAGGCATTAGCCCAAGACTTGAGCCAGTTCTCATACCTGGACACTCTTGTCCTTCGGTACATGGATGATTTACTTTTAGCTGCCTATTCAGAAACCTTGTGCCATCAAGCCACCGAAGCTCTCTTAAATTTCCTCGCCACCTGTGGCTACAAGGTTTCCAAACCAAAGGCTCAGCTCTGCTCACAGCAGGTTAAATACTTAGGGCTAAAGTTATCCAAAGGCACCAGGGACCTCAGTGAGGAATGTATCTAGCCTATACTGGCTTATCCTCATCCCAAAACCCTAAAGCAACTAAGAGGGTTCCTTGGCATAACAGCCTTCTGCTGAATATGGATTCCCAGGTATGGCGAAATAGCCAGGCCATTATATACATTAATTAAGGAAACTCAGAAAGCCAATACCCATTTAGTAAGATGGACACCTGAAGCAGAAGAAGCTTTCCAGGCCATAAAGGAGGCCCTAACCCAAGCCCCATTGTTAAGCTTACCAATGGAGCAAGACTTTTCTTTATATGTCACAGAAAAAACAGGAATAGCTCTAGGAGTCCTTACACAGGTTCAAGGGACGAGCTTGCAACCTGTGGCATACCTGAGTAAGGAAATTGATGTGGTGGCAAAGAGTTGGCCTCATTGTTTATGGGTTGTGGCAGCAGTAGCAGTCTTAGTATCTGAAACAGTTAAAATAATACAGGGAAGAGATTTTATTGTGTGGACATCTCATGATGTGAACGGCATACTCACTGCTAAAGGAGACTTGTGGCTGTCAGACAACTGTTTGCTTAAATATCAGGCTCTATTATTTGAAGGGCCAGTGCTGTGACTGCACACTTGTGCAACTCTTAACCCAGCCACATTTCTTCCAGTCAATGAAGAAAAGATAGAACATAACTGTCAACAAGTAATTGCTCAAAGCTACGCTGCTCGAGGGGAACTTCTAGAGGTTCCCTTGGCTGATCCTGACCTCAACTTGTATACTAATGGAAGTTCCTTTGTAGAAAAAGCACTTGAAAAGTGGTGTATGCAGTGGCCAGTGATAATGGAATACTTGAAAGTAATCCCCTCACTCCAGGAACTAGCGCTCAGCTGGCAGAACTAATAGCCCTCACTCAGGCACTAGAATTAGGGGACGGAAAAATGGTAAATATATATACAGAATCTAAGTATGCTTACCTAGTCCTCCACGCCCATGCAGCAATATGGAGAGAAAGGGAATTCCTAACTTCTGAGGGAACACCTATCAAACATCAGGAAGCCATTAGGAGATTATTATTGGCTATAGAGAAACCTAAAGAGGTGGCAGTCTTACACTGCTGGGGTCATCGGAAAGGAAAGGGAAATAGAAGGGAACCGCCAAGTGGATATTGAAGCCAAAAGAGCCACAAGGCAGGACACTCCATTAGAAATCCTTATAGAAGGACCCCTAGTATGGGGTAATCCCCTCTGGGAAACCAAGCCCCAGTACTCTGCAGGAGACATAGAATGGGGAACCTCACAAGGACATAGTTTCCTCTCCTCAGGATGGCTAGCCACTGAAGAAGGACAACAGCTAACCTAAAGCCTGCAGCTAACCAATAGAAATTACTTAAAACCCTTCACCAAACCTTTCACTTAGGCATTGATAGCACCCATCAGATGGCCAAATCATTATTTACTGGACCAGGCCTTTTCAAAACTATCAAGCAGATAGTCAGGGCCTGTGAAGTGTGCCAAAGAAATAATCCCCTGCCTTATCACCAAGCTCCTTCAGGAGAAAAAAGAACAGGCCATTACCCAGGAGAAGACTGGCAACTGGATTTTACCCACATGCCCAAATCTCAGGATTTCAGTATCTACTAGTTCGGCTAGATACTTTTACTGGTTGGGGAGAGGCCTTCCACTGCAGGAAAGAAAAGGCCCGAGAGATAATAAAGATACTAGTTCATGAAATAATTCCCAGATTCAGACTTCCCGAGGCTTACAGAGTGACAATGGCCCCGCTTTCAAGGCGACAGTAACCCAGGGAGTATCCCAGGCATTAGGCATACAATATCACTTACACCGCGCCTGGAGGCCACAATCCTTAGGGAAAGTTGAGAAAATGAATGAAAAACTCAAATGACATCCAAAAAAGCTAACCCAGGAAACCCACCTCACGTGGCCTGCTCTGTTGCCTATAGCCTTACTAAGAATCTGAAACTGTCCCCAAAAAGCAGGACTTAGCTCATACGAAATGCTGTATGGATGGCCCTTCCTAACCAATGACCTTGTGCTTGACTGAGAGACAGCCAACTTAGTTGCAGACATCACTTCCTTAGCCAAATATCAACAAGTTCTTAAAACATTACAAGGAACCTGTCCCCAAGAGGAGGGAAAGGAATTATTCCACCTTCGTGACATGATATTAGTCAAGTCCCTTCCCTCTAATTCCCCATCCCTAGATACATCCTGGGAAGGACCCTACCATCATTTTATCTACCCCAACCATGGTTAAAGGGGCTGGAGTGGAGTCTTGGATACATCACACTCAAGTCAAACCCTGGATACTGCCAAAGGAACCCGAAAATCCAGGAGACAACACTAGCTATTGCTGGGAACCTCTAGAGAGTCTGTGCCTCCTCTTCAAGCAACAACTGTGAGGAAAGTAACGAAAATCATAAATCCCCATGGCCCTCCCTTATCATATTTTTCCCTTTACTGTTCTCTTACACCCTTTCACTCTCACTGAACCCGCTCCATGCCACTGTATGACCAGTAGCTCCCCTTACCAAGAGCTTCTATGGAGACTGTGGCTTCCCAGAAATATTAATGCCCCATCATTTAGGAGTTTTTCTAAGTGAAACCCCAGCTTAACCACCCACACCCACATGCCCCACAACTGCTATAACTCTGCCACTCTTTGCATGCATGCAAATACTCATTATTGGACAGGGAAAGTGGTTAATCCTAGTTTTCCTGGAGGACTTGGAGCCACTGTCTGTTGGACTTACTTGACCCGTACTGGTATGTCTGATGGGGGTGGGGTTCAAGATCAGGCAAGAGAAAAACATGTAAAGGAAGTAATCTCCCAACTGACCTGGGTGCATAGCACCCTTAGCCCCTAAAAAGGACTAGAGCTCTCAAAACTACATGAAACCCTCCGTACCCATACTTGCCTGGTAAGCCTATTTAATACCACCCTCACTGGGCTCCATGAGGCCTTGGCCCAAAACCCTACTAACTGTTGGATGTGCTTCCGCCTGCACTTCAGGCCATACATTTCAATCCCTGTACCTGAACAATGGAACAACTTCAGCACAGAAATAAATACCACTTCTGTTTTAGTAGGACCTCTTGTTTCCAATTTGGAGATAACCCATACCTCAAACCTCACCTGTGTAAAATTTAGCAATTCTATAGACACAACCAACTCCCAATGCATCAGGTGGGTAACTCCTCCCACACAAATAGTCTGCCTACCCTCAGGAATATTTTTTGTTTGTGGTACCTCAGCCTATCATTGTTTGAATGGCTCTTCAGGATCTATGTGGTTCCTCTCATTCTTAGCGCCCCCATGATCATCTACACTGAACAAGATTTATACAATTATGTCATACCTAAGTCCCATAACAAAAGAGTACCCATTCTTTCTTTTGTTATTGGAGCAGGAGTGCTAGACGGACTAGGTGCTGGCATTGGTGGTATCAAAACCTCTACTCAGTTCTACTATAAACTATCTCAAGAACTAAATGGTGACATGGATTGGGTCACCAACTCACTGGTCACCTTGCAAGATCAACTTAACTCCCTAGCAGCAGTAGTCCCTCAAAATCGAAGAGCTTTAGACTTGCTAACTGCTGAAAGAGGGGGAACCTATTTATTTTTAGGGGAAGAATGTTATTATGCTAATCAATCCAGAATCATCACTGAGAAAGTTAAAGAAATTCAAGATCGAATACAACATAGACCAGAGGAGCTTCAAAACACCAGACGCTGGGGCCTCCTCTGCCAATGGATGCACTGGATTCTCCCCTTCTTAGGACCTCTAGCAGCTATAATATTGTTACTCCTCTTTGGACCCTGTATCTTTAATCTCTTTGTTAAGTTTGTCTCTTCCAGAATCAAAGCTGTAAAGCTACAAATGTTCTTCAAATGGAGTCCCAGATGCAGTCCATGACTAAGATCTACCATGGACCCCTGGACTGGCCTGCTAGCCCATGCTCCAATGTTAATGACATCGAAGTCACTCCTCCCAAGGAAATCCCAACTGCACAACCCCTACTACACCCCAATTCAGCAGGAAGCAGTTAGAGTCGTCATCGGCTAACCTCCCTGGCAGTCCTTGGGTTTTCTTGTTGAGACGGGGGCCTGAGAGACAGGACTAGCTGGATTTCCTAGTCTGACTAAGAATCCCTAAGCCTAGCTGGGAAGGTGACTGCATCCACCTTTAAACACAGGGCTTGCAACTTAGCTCACACCCCACCAATCAGGTAGTAAAGAGAGCTTACTAAAATGCTAATTAGGCAAAAAAAGGAGGTAAAGAAATAGCTAATCATCTATCAACTGAGAGCACAGGGGGAGGGACAATGATCAGGATATAAACCCAGGCATTAGAGCCAGCAATGGTTACCCGCTTTGGGTCCCCTCCCTTTGTACAGGAGCTCTGTTTTCACTCTATTAAAATCCTGCAACTGCACACTCTTCTGGTCCGTGTTTGTTACAGATCAAACTGAGCTTTTGCTTGCCATGCACCACTGCTGTTTGCCACCATCGCAGACCTGCCACTGACTTCCACCCCTCCAGATCCAGCAGGGTGTCCGCTGTGCTCCTGATTCAGTGAGGCACCATTGCTGCTCCCAATTGGGCTAACGGCTCACCATTGTTCCTGCATGGTTAAGTGCCCTAATCAAGCTGAACACTAGCCACTGGGTTCCACAGTTCTCTTCGGTGACCCACAGCTTCTAATAGAGCTATAACACTCACTGCATAGCCCAAGATTCCATTCCGTGGAATCCATGAGGCCAAGAACCCCAGGTCAGAGAACAAGAGGCTTGCCACCATCTTGGAAGCAGCCCACCACCATCTTGGGAGCTCTGGGAGCAAGGACCCCCCAGTAACAATATTATTCCCAGAAGCAATCTGGGGAGGTTCAGAATCTTGCAGCCTCCAGCTGCATGACTCCTAAACCATAATTTCTAACCTTATGGCTAATTTGTTAGTCCTGCAAAGGCAGTCTAGTCCCCAGGCAGGAAGATGATTTGTTTTGAGAAAGGGTTGTTATCATCTTTGTTTCAAAGTTAAACTGTAAACTAAGTTCCTCCCAAAGTTCGACCTAGGCCCAGGAATGAATGAGGACAACTTGATGGTTAGAAGCAAGATGGAGTTAGATCTTTTTCACTACCATGATTTTCTCAGTTATAATTTTTGCAAAGGTGGTTTCAAAATCTATCTTGCTATTTATTTTCTCTTTGTTCCATTTGCTCTTTGTTCTTTTTGCCTTCTTTTGGATTGTGTGTTTTTAATGAATCCATTTTATCTCCTTTATTGGCTTACTAGCTCTAACTCTCAGTTGTATATTTTTAGTGGTTGCTACATAGTTTATAGTATACATCTTAAGATTGTCTCAGTCTACCTTCAAGTGTCATCATACCACTGCATGTATGTATAAGAAACTTTGGGCTGGGTGTGGTGGCTCACGCCTGTAATCCCAGCACTGTGGGAGGCCAAGGTGGGTGGATCACGAGGTCAGGAGTTTGAGACCAGCCTGGCTAATGTGGTGGAAAGCTGTCTCTAGTAAAGATACAAAAAATTAGCTGGGCATGGTGGCGCACTTCTGTAATCCCAGCTACTTGGGAGGGTGAGGCAGGAGAATCGCTTGAACCCAGGAGGCAGAAGTTGCAGTGAGCCGAGTTTGTGCCATTGCACTTCAGCATGGGCAATACAGTGAGACTCTGTCTCAAAAAAAAAAAAAAAAAAGGAAACTTTTTACAATATGCTTTCATTTCCAGGCTCCTGGCCTTTGTGTTTTCACTGTCATTCATTTTACTTATACATGTGTTATAAACTCCACAAAACATTGTAATCATTTTTGTTTTAATGTGTCAATTATTTTAAGATTTTTAAAAACTAAGAAAAGAAATCTTCATATTTACTGTCACTCCTCATTCCATTGTGTAGATCCAGATTTCTATTTGGTGTCCCTTTCCTCTGCTTGAATGGTTTTCTTTAATGTTCATTGTAGTGAAGATTTTTTGGTGAATTCTTTCAGGTTTTGTCAGTCTGAAAATTTTTTGTTTTGCCTTTATTGCTGCTTATAGAATTCTGGGTTGACTTTATTTTTCTTTCAGTACTTTGAGTATATTTCTCCATTATTTTCTGGCTTGCATTGTTTCTGAAGAGAAGCCCACTCTCATTTTTTTTTTCTCTGCCATAATGATTATTTTTACTCTGGCTGCTTTTAAGATTGCTTTCTTTTCCACAGTTTTAAAGAAATTTAATTATGGTATACCACAATGTAATTTTTTCCATGTTATTAGGCTTGGGGTCCACAGAGCTCCTTGGATCTGTGGGTTTATAGTTTTCACCAATCATGGCATAAATTCAGCCATTATTTTAAAGGATATTTTTCCAATTCCTCTGTCTCACCTCTTCTGGGGACTCCAGTTGAATATAGTTCTTTCACAACTTACTATTGTTTTGTTCATTTAGAAAAAAAAATCTCTTTTCTTCATGCTTTATTTCTAATAGTTTTTCTTGCCATGTCTCCAAGTTCAGTCATTTTTTCTTCTGCAAGGTCTAAGCCGCTGTTAATCACATTTCAATGTATTTTTCCCCTCAGTCACTATGTTTTTTTCTCTAGAAGTTTAATTTGTTTTTTTAGAATTTCTCAAATATCTTTATTTACATGTGTAAGTTTTTATCTGACTTTTTGAAAATATGGAATAGACTGATAATAATTTAACGTACTTGTCTGTATTCTACCAACATTGTCTTTTCTGGGTCAGTTTTGCTTGACTTATTTTCTTCCTCATTGTGAATCACATTGTCCTGCCTCTTTTCATGTCTGGTAATTTTTGATTAGGTGCCAGACATTGTGAGTTTACCTTGTTGAATGTTGAATATTTTTGAAAAATTAATACATATTTTTGAGCTTTCTTTTGGAATGTAATTAAAAATTAAAAATAGTTTGATCTGTCTAGGCTTGCTTTTGAGCTTTGTTAGGCGGGACCACAGCTGCATTTAGTTTGTAGCTATTTTTTAGCCCACTGTTGAGGCAATACCTTCTGATATTCTAAAGTATCTCATGGATTAAGTGAGTTTCCACTCTGGCTGAGGAATAGAGACTATTTCTGAGCTGTGTGATCTCCAAAGATTGTTCCTTTTGTTTCTTTTGGGTTTTTCTTTTTTCTGTAGCTTCAAGTAGTTTTCTTACACTTACAGACTGACCAATACTACTCTGAAAATCCAAATGGGATCCTTTGCAGATTTCAGTAGTTGTCTGTGAAGTTGTCTCTTTTCTGGTATTCTGCTCCACAAACTGTAGTAGTCTTGGCCTCCCTGGATTTCAAGGTCTATTTCCTCAATACAGGGATACCTCTGGATGCCTTTTGGATTCCTCCTCCATGTGTTATACCCTAGAATCTCTCTCTAGTCAGTTAGTTGGGATATCTAGAGTATCTTTTGTTTTTCTTCTCTCAAGAATCATTGTCTTACATTGCCTGACGTTCAATGTCTTAAAATTTTTGTTTTATGTATTTTGTCTGTTTTTTTATTGTTTCAGGTAGGAGGGTAAGTCAGTTCTCTAATACTCTATCACAGCTGATAGCCAAAATCTCTGTTAATCATGTTTTATTTAAAACTTATCAGCCTACCAAAGTACATTTCTAGACTCAAAAAAGTTTGCCTGTCTTTGCAAGAAGTATGTTGAATCTGATTAAAATTTCCCATTATCTGGGCTCCCATCTGTTAATCTCTCATCTGTTTACAAGAACATGGCAGCAAGTTCTCCACCAATTTATTACTCAATTTTTCTATAAGGAAAATTGGTACAATAACATTAGCCTTCAATTTTTATAGAAGTGTTCTAAATATATATAAACAACATTCATAAATGGTTTGAAATGTTTGTAAATAGAACACTCAATGCAAGCTATATTAGTATACATTTTAATGGCTAAAAAACAAAGTAAAACTAGATTCTTCCGTTTCTATAATTCTAAAATTTAGTTTTTATGATGTTGTCATGGTGGGACAATCCAATTTAGAACTATTTTAAAAAATATTTGTTAAGAAGAACTCTTTAAAAGAAGCCTACTATGATAGCATAAATGGAATATCAAAGGTTTTTGCTAAAATGAAAGATTTAGAGTTATAAGTATTTAGTGAATAATTAGTTTCAGAATAAAGGGCCAAGAACAGTAACAAAAAGTGCATTCCTTAATTGTGTTTTTCTCAAAGACAATATTATTTTCTGAAAGTTCTTTCTCTTTCTCTATCTGCATGTATGTTTATGTGTATATGCATCTATGCTTATATGTGCATAGTTGTGTATGTAG